>NC_000018.10:12110349-12410399 GCF_000001405.40 Homo sapiens
AGCATGAGCAAAATGATAATCACTTTTATATAATCTAGAAATGCTCTATAATTTTATGGCTTTATTCATTTATACCATGGTCTGGCTTATAAAAATGCCATATGTGTATAATTTTTTAAATGCTTAAGGTGTTAAAACATACTAGGTAATTAATCATTATAAAAGTATTGGGAAATACAGCTGAACAAGAAGAAAATTAGGTCATCCACGATAATGCCACTTAGGTATGATGTCCTTGAAGTTGAACTGTCTGTACTCATGGACTCAACCTTCCCTTCCATTCACTCTTGAACTCACTGCTGTAATTTTCACTCTCACCGCTCCTCCAAAGTTGTTATTCTCAAGCTTGTCATTTTTTCACTGTAATACATCTAGACATAATTTCTTAGATCTCATTTTATTTAACCTACCAGCAATATTTGACCCCATGGAGAACTTTCTCCACCATATCACTTTGTTCACTTGGCTTTCAGAATGTCAGTCACTCACCTAGATTTTCCTCCTGCCTTTCTAGTTGTTTTAGTTGTGACATTAGGTTGTGAACTTAAGATCTTTCTTTTTGATGTGAGCATTTAGCTTCATCCCTGTGATGCAAGGTTGTTTCAACATGTGCAAATCAATAGGCCAGGCACAGTGGCTCACGCCTGTAATCCCAGCACTTTGGGAGGCTGAGGTGGGCGGATCATGAGGTCAGGAGATTGAGACCATCCTAACATGATGAAACCCTGTCTCTACTAAAAATACAAAAAATTAGCCAGACGTGGTGGCACACACCTGTAGTCTCAGCTACTCAGGAGGCTGAGGCAGGAGAATTGCCTGAACCCGGGAGGCAGAGGTTGCAGTGAGCCAAGATTGCACCACTGCACTCCAGCCTTGGTGATAGAGCGAGACTGCCTCTCAAAAAAAAAAAAAAGATCAATAAATGTAATTAATCAAATAAACAGAATTATTCTGTTTATTATTGAGATAATCACATCTCAATAGATTCAGAAATGTCTTTTGATGAAATTCAACATTTATGTTAAAAGCTCTCAACTAGTTATTGAAGGAACATACCTCAAAATAATAAGAGCCGTATATGACAAACCCACAGCAAACGTCATACTGAATGAGCAAAAGCTGGAAGCGGTCCCCTTGAAAAGTGGCACTAGACAAGGATGCCCTCTCTCACCACTTCTTTTCAACGTAGTATTGTAAGTTCTGGCCAGGGTAATCCATCAAGAGAAAGAAATAATGGGCATCCAAGTAGGAAGAGAGGAAGTCAAACTATCTTAGTTTGAAGATGACATGATCCTATACCTAGAAAACCACATAGTGTGAGGCCAAAATCTTCTTAAGCTGATACAACTTGAGGAAAGTCTCAGGATACAAAATCAATGTGCAAAAATTAGTACCATTCCCATAGACCAACAATAGTGAAGAGCCAAACCAAGAACTAATTCTTACTCACAATTGCCACCAAAACAACAACAACATAAAAACCTAGGAATACAGCTAAGTAGAGAGGGGAAAGATCTCTACAAGGAGAACTACAAAACACTGCTCAAAGATAGAGTTTGAAACCAGCCTGGCCAACATGGTGAAACCCTGCCTCTACTAAAAATACAAAAATTAGCCGGGCGTGGTGGCAGGCACCTGTAATCTCAGTTACTTGGGAGGCTGAGGCAAGAGAGTTGCTGGAACCCAGGAGGCGGAGGTTGCAGTGAGCAGAGATCATGCCATTGTGCTTCAGCCCAGGCCGACAACAGCAAGACTCCAACTCAAAAAAAAAAAAAAAAAAAAAAGTCATACTGCCCAAAGCATTTCGTAGACTCAATGCTGTTCCTATTAAACTACCATTGACATTCTTTACAGAACTACAAGAAACTATTTTAAAATTCATAGGGAACCAGAAAAGGGTGTGAATAGCCAAGGCAGTCCTCAGCAAAAAGAACAAAGCTGGAGGAATCACACTACCTGACTTCAAACTATACTACAGAGTTACAGAAACCAAACAACATGGCACTGGTTCAAAAACAGACACATGGACCAGTTGAACAGAATAGAGAACCCAGAAATATGAACACACACCTGCAACTCTCTGATCTTCAACAAACCTGACAAAAAGCAACAAGGACAGGACCGTATTTAATAAATGGTACTGGGATAACTGGCTAGCCATATGCAGAGGATTGAAACTTCACCCTTTCCTTACACCATAAACAAAAATTACCTCAAGATGGATTAAAGATTTAACTGTAAAACCAAAAACTATAAAAACCCAGGAAGACAATCTAGGCAATACCATTCTGGACATAGGCACCGGCAAAGATTTCATCATGAAGATGCCAAAGCAATTGCAACAAAAGCAAAAATTGACAAATGGAATCTAATTAAACTAAGGAGCTTCTGCACAGCAAAAGAAACTGTCATCAGACTGAACAGACGACCTCCACAAGGGAAGACGTTTTGCAAACTATGCATCTGGCAAAGGTCTGATATCTAACATCTGTAAGAAACTTAAATACAAGAGAAAACCCCATAAAAAGTGGGCAAAGGACATGAACAGATTTCTTTTTTTCTTTTTCTTTTAGTCTGGCGTTGTCTCCCAGGCTGGAGTGCAGTGCTGTGATCTCCACTCACTGCAACCTCCCCATCCCGGGTTAAGTGATTCTCATGCCTCAGCCTGCCGAGTAACTGGGACTACAGGCATGCCCTACCACACCCTGCTAATTTTTGTATTTTTAGCAGAGATGGGTTTTTGCCGTGTTGGTCAGGCTGGTCTCGAACTCCTGACCTCAGGTAATCTGCCCACCTTGGCCTCCCAAAGTGCTGGGATTACAGATGTCAGCCGCTGCTCCAGGCCAAGAACAGATACTTTTCAAAAGAAGACATACACAAGATCAACAAACATGGAAAAAAAGCTCAACTTCACTGATCGTTAGAGAAATGCAAATCATAACCCCTATTAACATGCCATCTAACACCAGTAAGAATGGCTATTATTAAAAAGTCCAGGCTGGGCATGGTGGCTCACGCCTGTAATCCCACCACTTTGGGAGACCGAGGCAGATGAATCACGAGGTCAGGAGTTTGAGACCAGCCTGACCAATATGGTGAAACATCGTCTCTACTAAAAATACAAAAATTAACCTGGCGTGGTGGCACTCGCCTATAATCCCTGCTACACAGGAGGCTAAGGCAGGAGAATTGCCTGCACCTGGGAGGCGGAGGTTGCAGTGAGCCAAGATCACGCCACTGCACTCCAGCCTGGGTGACAGACTGAGACTCCGTCTCAAAAAAAAAAAGTACAAAAATAACAGATGCTTGTGAGGTTGTACAGAAAAAGGAATGCGTATACGCTGTTGGTGGGAGTGTATATTATTAGTTCAGCCATTGTGGAAAACAGTGTGGCATTTCCTCAAAGACAGAAGTACCATTCAACCTAGCAATCTTATTACTGGGTATATACCCAAAGGAATATAAATTATTCTGTTATAAAGACACATGCATATGTTCATTGCAGTACTATTCACAATAGCAAAGACCTGGAATCAAAGTAAATGCCTATCACTCATAGACTGGATATAGAAAATGTGGTACATATATACCAGGAAATATTAGGTAGCCATAAAAAATGAGATCATGTCATTTGGTGGAACATGGATGGAGCTGGTGGCCATTATTCTTAGCAATTTAACACAGTAAAAGAAAACCAAACACCACATGTTCTCTCTCACAAATGGGAGCTAAATGGTGAGAACACATAGACACATTGATAGGAGCAAAACACACTGGCACCTTCTGGAAGGTGGAGTGGAGGATGAGTGGAGGGAAAGGATCAGGAAGAATAACTAATGAGTACTAGGCTTAATACGTGTGTGATGAAATAATCTGCAACAAAACCCCGTGACACAAGTTTACATATATAACAAACTTGCAGTTGTACCACTGAACTTAAAAAAAATGCCAAGATTAAAATCTTATTTTTAAAATATTACAAGATTCAGACATTATTACTTATATTCACAAATGGAAAGATAATATGAATTCATCTGCTATCATATTACTTGAAAATAAATATTACTTTCATAGCATATTGCGAAACGCATGTTTTGGAGCCAAAGTTCTTGGGTTTGAATGCTTAGTCTGCTATTGAACAGTTTTATGTGTTTGGGCAGGTTATGTGGCCTTTCTGTGCCTAGTTTCTTTCTTTATAAAATATCTATTATGTTACCTACTTTACAGAATTGCTGGGAGGATTTAAATGACTTAAATACATGTACAGTGTTTAGAATAGTGCACAGTACTTGCGCAGTATGTCCCAAAAAGGCTAGCTAATGTTATCATTAAAAAAGGGATTCTGTTACACAAGTAATATTTATCAAATAGGTCTTAGTACCAGTAAAACTTTGTTTGTATTGAAAAGGGCAAAACCCCAGGATACGTATTTTTTTATCAAATACTGCAAATAACATGTTTTTTTTTCTGTCTTTGATGATCAGAAAGCTTGATTTAAACTTAATTTTTTGATATTAATATATTTCATTTGTCCTGTAGTGCTACCCTTTCCATTTAGTTTTTCCCCTTGTAAAAAAAATTGTATTTTGCATCACCTGTAAAAACATTACCTGTAAACATTATAAATAAGAGAGAGAAACTACAAACACAGAGATTTTATATAAAAAAGTTTTAGATATTCTTTGTATTTTACATATTTACTATTTGCCTGATTGGAATTTTTTGGTTTTTTTTTTAGGCTTGCAAGGAAAACCTCTAATGAAAAGAGCAAGGTATTATAAAAGTAAATTGTCAAGAATGCTGTTGAACATACCTTAAAAAAGATCATGGTAAAAAACAGAAAATCTTTTGCTGTAAAGACATTGACTTTGATAAAGCAGCGGTAACCATTCATAAAAGCACCCTTTTAACCAAAGTCAGTTATTTTAAGAAGTACCTGTGTTTTTGCTCATGTAAAAAGACGGATAATTCCCACTGGTGTATATTTAGTATATGCTATAAATATTTCGAGGGCATTTTGAAACAGTGTTATTTATTTTATAGGTTAAAAGCCAAATATATTTCACGGATGACCTTAATGACATAAGTGGGTCATCTGAAAAAACCTCAGAGGATGATGAGTTGCCTTACTCTGATGATGAGAATTTTATGTTACTCATTGAACAAAGTGGAATGGAGTGTAAAGGTAGGACCAATGCATAAATATAAGGCTCTTTCCCTATCCTATAGTAATGTATGCACATATTGCTTAGCACGGCACCATAGAACACTGATGTGTTATAGGGATGTTCATCTCGGAAATATCCTTCTTGTGAACATAGAATGAGAACTACTCTATCTTGTATACTCTTAGCCAAAGAGCTGTGATCATTCCACTGTACCTTTCTCAGTGTGAATGACACTCCCAATCTATTTGTTGACTCTGCTTCTCCTCTATGCCTTTACCCAGGGTCAGGTTGTCATTATCTTGTACCTGGAATACTGTGATAACCTTACACCTCTTTTCCCTACTGCCCCACCTTCCAAAGCCATGGTCTATTCTGCAATCATAATTATATACATTTTTAAAATTCACATCTGATCATGTTACCTGCTTGCTTAACACCCAACTGCCACTTGTCATTGCTATAAGGTAAAGATGACAATGCTCTAGCTTTATACTGCTTCATTCCATACCCTTGTTTCTCTGTGTGTCACAGCCAGTGCCCCAGGTGTTTGCTCCTACAATCAGTAGCTTCAGTGAGGTATAACTGATACATGTTAAAGTGCACATATGTAAAGTGTATAGTTTGATAAGTTTTGACAGATACATACCCGTGTGAAAGTGTCACCATAATCAAGATAGTTATCCATAACCCACAAAAGTGTCCTATGCTGCTTTATGTTCCTTTTTTAGAAAAAGCTGCCAAATTGTTTTCAAAAAAAGTGTACTATTTCCATCTGATCAGCACAACAGGACAGTTGCGGTTACTGTGTTGTCACACTAAGTATTGCAGTATTTATTTGTAGCCATTCTTATGGGTGTGGTTAATATGCATGATCCTAATGACTAAACATGTTCACCTCATATACACAAACTTTGTTTCATGCACAAAATTATTAAAAGTATTTTTTTAATTACCATCTGTCTTTGTGAAATAGTATTTTGTGTTTAGACTTGGGTCCTATCGCCAAGATATCTCATTATGTAGATGCAAATATTCCAAGATCCAAAACCTGAAACACTTCTGGTCCCAAGCATTTTTAATAAGGAATATTCATCCTGTACCAGTGGCCAACTGTTTTGGTTACTGTTGATGTATAATAATTGTTGAAGTTGATTTTTCTATTCTTTGTTGTGTTTTGCTTATGCTAGATTTTGCATTTCCACGTGAACTTTAGAATCAGCTTGTCAATTTAAAAAAATTTAGAATCACCTCGTCATTTAAAAATGTCCAACGAGTGCTGGCTTGTTGGACATTAGGTTAGAATTGTGTTGCATTTATAGATTAATTTATGGAGAATTGACTTCTTAACAATAATGAATCTTCCTACTCTTTAAAAAAATGGATGTCTGCATTTATATGTCATATTTAATTTTCTCAGTAATATTTTGTAGTTTTTAGTGTATACGTCTTTCTATAGTTTATCAGATTTATCTCTGTTTCAGTTTTTGATGTAGTTGTAAATCATATGCTTAAAAATTTAGTCTGATTGTTTATCACGAGGGTATGGAAATACAGTTGATTTTTGTATGTTGGTTTTGCATACTTCAATCTTACTGAACTCACTTATTAGTCCTGGTACTAATAATACTCACTTATTAATTCTTGGTAGATTTGATCCGATTTTCTACATAGACCAAAGATTTTCAAACCTTTTCTTTCTCAAAGTACCCTCTTATTAAAGACTTGTGGCAAAAGGGGTCTCTGTTGTAGCTGATAGACTCTGCCATTGTAATATGAGAGCAGCCCTAGACAACCTGTACAATTAATGAACACAGCTGTGCTCATTGACGAAGACAAAAAGCTGGCCCACAGGTTAGAGTTTACGTAAACCTATTGTGTGGTCATGGTTGTGTACAAAGACAGTTTTATTTATTTTTTCAACTGGGATGACTTTTATTTCTTTTTCTTACCTGACTGCACTAACTAGACTCTTCAGAACAATGCTGCATAAAAGCAGTGAAAGCAGACATTCCTGTGTTGTTCTTTATCTTCTGGAGAACATATTCAGTTTTTCACCATGATACATGTTAGCTGTAGGTTCATCATAGATGTTCTTTATCATGCTGAGGAAGGTCCCTGGATTCTTATTTTGCTGAGACTTTTTCATTTTTACAAAATCAGCAATGAGTGTTGAATTGTATCAAATGCCTGTATCTGTCGAGATGATTCTGTGGATCTACTGTTTTCCGTTGTTAATCTGGCAAATAACAACGATGTTTGAATGTTAAGCCAACCCTGCAGTCCTGGGAAAAAACCCCATTTGTTTATGATGTATTGTCCTTTTATTATACTGTTGGATTCAATTTGCTAAAGAAGTTATGATAAAGTCTTTATTGGTTTATTATAAAGACTTTATTTATCAGACCAGTTTTATGTTCACAGCAAAATTGAGAGGAAGGTACAGAGATTTTTCAAATACCCTCTACCTGCACACATATGTAGCCTCCCTCCTTATCAGTAACCCTCCCCTTAGTGGTACAGGTGCTGTAATGGATGAGCCTACATTGGCACATCAGAATCACCTGCAGCCCATAGTGTGCATTGTACACTGGTGCTATACATCGTATGGGTTTGGTCTTAAGGTACACTGACATGTATGCGTGTCATATACATTATTTTCACCTCCCTAAAAATCCTCAGTACTCTGCCTGTGTATCCTTTCCTGGTGTCCCTCATCCTCTGGCAGCCACTGATGTTTTTACCATATCCATAGTTTTACATTTTCCAGAAAGTCATATAGTTGGAATCATACAGAAAGTAGCCTTTTTAGGCCGGGCACGGTGGCTCACGCCTGTAATCCCAGCACTTTTGGGAGGCCAAGATGGGTGGATCACCTGAGGTCAGGAGTTCAAGATCAGCCCGGCCAACATGGCGAAACCCTGTCTCTACTAAAAATACAAAAAGTAGCCGGGTGTGGTGGCGGGCGCCTGTAATCCCAGCTACTCAGGAGGCTGAAGCAGGAGAATCGCTTGAAGCTGGGAGGCAGAGGTTGCAGTGAGCCAAGTTTGTGTCATCGCACTCCAGTCTCGGAGACAGAGTAAGGCTCTGTCTTAAAAAAAAAAAAAAAAAAAAGAAAGAAAGTAGCCTTTTTAGGTTGACTTGTTTGACTTGGTAATATGCATGTATGGTTCCTTCATGTATTTTCATGGTTTGATTTGTCATATCTTTTTAGCATGGAGTAATATTCCATTGTTTGGCTGTTTAACCACAGTTTATTCATTCACGTATTGGAGGATGTCTTGGTTGTTTCACAAATTGGTTCAATTTTTACATTCACGCTCATGAGGGAGTTTTTTTTATTGGTAATATCATTGTCTGGTTTTGGTTCAGGGTAATGCTAACATTAAAGAGTGAGTTGGGGTGTACTCTTTTTTGTTTCTTTTTGGAGAGTTAGTGTTGAATTGTATTATTTCTTCTGAAAATGTTTAGTGGAGTTCACTGCCATAGCTAGCTGAGTTTGAATTTCTTTTTCTAGGACGGTCCTCAGCTATGACTGAAGTTTATTTTTTATATTTAGGGCAATTCAGGTTATTTATTGCTTCTTGGTTAAGATTTAGTAATTTTCCCTTTTAAGGAATTTGTTAATTTTATCTATTTTGTCATGTTTACACATAAAAATTATAATGTCACCTTGGTTTTTTTTTGTATCTGTACAGTCTGTAATCATGTGACATTACTCATTTCTGAAATTAGTAATTTGTATTTTCTCTTCTTCTTGATCAGCCAGGGTAAATAGAGATTTCTCACATTTATCAATCTCCCAAAGTGTTTGGTGTTGCTGATCTTCTTCTTTTTTTTTTTTTTTTTCTGAAACCAGTAGTATAACAAAATACCATAGACTGGGTAGCTTATAAACAGTAGAAAATGATTTCTTACAGTTCTGGAGTCTGCAGAGTCCAAGGTCAAGGTGCTGTCAAATTTGCTGTGTGGTAAGGAACCTTCCTGGATCATAGATGTGTTCTTTTTCTCTGTGTCCTCACATGGCAGAAGGGGCGGAGGAGCTCTCTGAGGTGTGTTGTGTAAGAACACTAATCCCATTCAGGAGGGCTTGGCTCTCATGATAAGACTACCTCTAAAAATCCGCCCTTGTGATTAGGTTTCAGCATATAAACTTTTGAGAACACATTCAGACCACAGCAGGTGGTTTTGTTTTTTATCCCTCTGCTTGCTTTGGATTTAATTCTCTTATTTTATTATTTATTTATTTATTTATTTTCATTTTCTTAAGGTAGAAGTCAGGGTTATTGATTTGAGACTCTTCTAATATTGACATTTAGTGCTAAAAATTTGTATTTAAGTGCAGTTGTTGCTGCATTCTACCAACCTCAATATGTTATTTTTTCATTTTTATTCAGTTCAAAATATTTTCTTTTTTCATCATCTCTTTGAACCAGGGTTATTTAGATGTGTGTTTCTTAGTTTTCATGTATTTGAGTATTTCTTAGCATTATTTTTGTTATTGGTTTCTAATATCATTGATTTGTGGTCAGGATATGTACTTTGTATGACTTACATTCTTTTTACTTAATCTTTTTAATGAGATTTATTGTATGGCCTAAAATATTGTCTATTTTGGCAAGTGTTCCATAGGTACTTGAAAAGCATGGTGTTGTTTAAGTCTGCTCTATTCTTGCTAATTTTCTGCCTCCTTGTTCTATCACTTCCTGAGTAAAGGGTATTGAAACTTCAGATTACCTAGAAATTGTCTATTTCTTTTTATAGTTCTATCTACTTTGGCCTCATGTACTTTGAATTTCTTATGTTATTAGGGGCATAAACATTTAGGACTATTATATCTTCTTGATTAACTGAAACTTTTATCATTGTGACGTGACCTTATTTATTGCTGGAAATTGTTTTGCTATGAAATCTACTTTGATATTAATTGAACCATTTCTTCTCAGTAGTCTTCTGTCAAGTGTTAGCACGTATCTTTTTCTATTCTTGCAGCCGATTTGTGTCTTTACATTTAATGTACATTTCTTATAGACAGCATGTAATTGGGTATTGCTTTCTTATAGAATCTGTCAGTCTGCATTTTAATTGAGGCTTGCAGACCAGTTTCATTTATAATGTGATATTCAATATAGTTGTTTGTCTGTCATTGTGCTGTTTGATTGCTGTTAGTCTCGCTATTATTTGTTCCCCTTCTTTTTCTGCTTTCCTTTAGATTAATCAGCTATTTTCTATGATTTGATTTCATATTTCTTTTTTGGTTTTTTATATGTAACTCTTTGCTATCTCAATGGTTTATTTAGGATTTATAGTATATAATTTTAACCTATCACAGTCTACCTTCAAGTAATGTTATACCACATCATAGATGGTATAAGAAAATGACAATGGTACACTTTTATTTATTTTTTTTGTCCCAGACAGTTCCTTCCTGGATCTGTGGGAATATGGATTTTGCCAAGTTTAGAATTTTTGGGCCAATTATTTTTCAATTTTCTTTTCTGTCTTTGTTCCTTTCTATTTGGGGATTTATATATTAGTTGCTTGAAGGTTTCTCATAGTTCATCATGACAAATTTACGATTGTGATCTGTGTTTATTTTCCTCCACTGTAGTTTTTACCTCTGACATTGTAATTTACATTTCTGCAAGTGTGGTTTGATTTTTAAAGAAATACCTTTCATGCCTTCACTTATTGTCTCGAGCTTTGTTTGGGGTACAGTGATTTACTTATAAACAGAATTCTTTTTGTTCTTGCTTTTAGATTTTGAGTAATTTGCCACTCCTGAGGCAAGAGTTTTCGGATTATTTGTTGTCCTGTGAAGTATGAGTGTTTTGGGCCTGGCTCTTGGGATTGGACCCTCTTCTGGGCACTTTGTGAACAGCAGGCTTGGTTTCTCCTCATCTTTTTCTATCGTGTCCCCTCCACCGCTCGCCATCCCTTGGTCTTAGGAAGTTTCCTAGCACACATCCATTTTTTTCATTATTCCACTAAATACTTTAGAGGGGACCTCTGCAGATCTCCAGGGTTTGTTTCCTCTGCTGCTTTCTCCTCTCCAGTGTTCTGTCCTGTGATTTCTCTCTGCTTTTGTTTTACCGGATTCTTAGCGTCACCACCCCAGCTCAGGGAATCTATGTCAGATTTTCTCGCTTTGTCATGGCCTGGAAGCTCTGTCAACAAAAGAAGCTCTGTCAACAAAAAGGCCTACATTTGTTTCCTGTCTTTTAGTGACGACCATCTTCATTATCTGAAGTCCACTGTGTTGAAAATCATTGTTGAATATATTTTGTCTGTGTTGTTTTTGGTTGTTTCAGGTAAGGAGGAAAATCAGCACCCGTTGCTCCCTCTTGGGTGGAAGCAGATTGCCGCAGAGCTCCAGCACGTGCCGCAGACTAGCCAGAGCGCTTTGCTTCCTCCTTTGCTCAACTGCTTCCTTCTCATTTTTTATTTCTCAGTGTCTCTTTCTCTTCCTCAGGGAAATCTTCCCTGAGCCAAGTATAGGTCAGATCCTCTTACGTGACTAAAACAGCTATGTATTCTTATAGCATCTATCCGAATTTGTAATTGTCACATTTTTGTCTGTGTTCTTTACTACACTTGAAGCTAAACAAGATCAGATGTGTTGTCTGTTTTATCTGAAGAGCTTTCTAAAATATTTTCCACATTGCAAGCACTTAATATGTACATATTCATTCAGTGTATGAATGAGTGCCATGTTGAAATGCATAGTCCTTTATATTTAAAAACCTACTCATGTATTTTATCTCTATTTTGTCTTCTCCTGGTAACAGATTTTGTTAGCCTATCGAAAAGCAAGAATGCAACAGCTGCATGTGGAAGATCAATAGAGGATCAAAAATGTTACTGTGAACGACTTAAAGTAAAATTTCAAAAAATGAAAAATAATATTAGCGTACTACAAAAGGTACTATCTGAAACAGACAAAACCAAATCACAGTCAGAGCATCAGAATCTTCAAGGGAAAAAAAAGCTCTGTAATTTGAGGTATCACATTCTAGTTTTAAAGAAATATTTCAACTATTTATACTAAGGATATGTAGGATAATTTTTGTAATAGCTGACTTACCTTCTAGGGTTTAATAGAGAAGAAAACCTCTTAAAATTGTGGAATGTGAAATTTTTGGATAAAAAATCACAAGTTAATTGTGAATACTTCTCTAATAATTAATTGCATATCCCTTTAAATCATTATTTTAATGGCTATATAGAATTCCACCCTATGGAAATTTCATTATTTAATAAATTGAAATTGGGGATTTTAATTTTTTGTATTAATGCTGTAAGAAACATCTTACAGATCCATAGTTTTCTACATTTCTATTTCTTTACTTTGGATAAATTTTTCAAAATAGAGCTATCTGGTTAGAGTATAGGAGCTTTTTAAAAGAGATCGTTGATTAATATTACTAAGTTGTTCTTAAGAAAGTTTATAATTTATAATTTGAGTATGAAATGTATACTTTTCTCCACCCAGAGTAATTATTTTTAAAATTAACCAGTTTTTTTTGTTTGTTTGTTTGTTTTTTGTCCTTTTGAGACAGAGTCTTGCGCTGTCACCCAGGTTGGAGTGCAGCGGCGAAATCTCGGCTCACTGCAGCCTCTGCTTCCGGGTTCAAGCAATTCTTGTGCCTCAGCCTCCCAAGTAGCTGGGATTACAGGCACACGTCACCATGCCTTTCTAATTTCTTTTTTTTTTTTTTAAGTAGAGATGAGGTTTTGCCATTTTGGCCAGACTGGTCTCAAACTCCTGACCGCAAGTTATCTGCTGGCTTTGGGCTCCCAAAGTTCTGGGATTACAGTGTGAGCAACCACGCCTGGCCCAGTTTTACTCTTAATATGCAGCGAATGAAAAGTAAAATGGAAAGTGATTACTGATTAGCTTAGTGAACATCTGTCTCTGCTACAGAGTTTAAATTAATTCAAACTTCTATGCGGAAGGCAGATATTGTTCTTTATTGTTTAAATATTAGATCTTGTCTTGTTTGAGAATGGATTTTAAAATTGTTTGTAAAATACATACTAATCAACAGAATAAGTCAAAAGTGTTACCAGAAAAAGAAACATAAAATGTATGGGGTAACATCTTAGATTCTTTAGCTTAGTCTTGGATTATTGTCATCTGGAGATACATGTTGCAAGAAGGCATCTGGAGGTGCTATCTTACAATGTAAATCATGTTTAGGGATACCTGCCGTATTTCATGAAGATGAAAATTTATTTCTAGTGAAGGTATCAACTTGTTTATAAAAAATAACTTTTTTTAAAATTAGCTAACTCTAAATGATTCATCCTGACTGAGGAGTAATTATTACTGTGTGAAGAAAAGGTAATTTTTAACTTGTAACTTTAGCTAACAATTTTCAACATCCTTTTCCATAATATTTACGAGAATTACTAGTAACAGAAGCTAATCAATTAGCAGGATGTTCATTCCTTACTACCTTTCAATTTATATGTCTTCTTTGGAAGACATCGAAGTGAGAAATTAACATGCAAACTAGAAAGAAAAAATATTCAAGAACATGGGCACTTTATTAGGATAATAAACCAGCATATGAGTGTTTTGTTTTTAAAGGCTTTTAAGATAAGTATATTTAACTACAGATTTATCTTACAACAACAAGAAGAAGAAAGAATAAAGGCTGAAGAGTTGTATGAAAAAGATATAGAAGAGTTAAAAATAATGGAAGAGCAATATAGGACACAAACTGAAGTGAAAAAACAATCTAAACTGACTCTCAAATCATTGGAAGTGGAATTGAAGACTGTAAGAAGTAACTCAAATCAGGTAAATTAATGTTTGGTAAAATTTTACATTTCTAATTTTATTTTATTAATATTACTTAGAATATCCCTTTGACTTAGTTCTAAAACAAACCACAAATTTTATTTCATCTTAAAAATAAATGATACTTATAGCTACAATTATTTATTATAAATCTTGGCTTCAAAGTTATATTTTATTTCAGGTCAAAGACCTTTGGAAAACAATGATATCCCATAATATATATACTTAGTGATATTTTGTTGGTAAGTAATTTGTTCCTAGTGACATAGTTCAGTGTAGTTTTCCCTATTTTGCATTAATTATGGTTTCAAACATTGTGAAAAGGAAATAAAAGTTATCATAATAGTACATAATCTCAGGATTTCCTAAGAAGAGCTTTATAAATTTTATCTTCTTTGAGTTTTGAAAGAAAAGGTTTCTATTGTATTTGTATATCTACCCCATGGAAGTAACTGTGATGTGGTGGAGGACCACTAGAAGCAGAGTCAGAGAACCTAGGAAAAATCCAGCAGCTTGCTTCTATTTTTAACCTTTCCCTGCAGAATTGTGATAACTAAATGAATTTATTGATGTATGCATACAAAAGTGCTTAGTACAATGCCTAGATCTGTCATTTATCAATACATGTCATTGTTAAAACTGACTCTAAAAATGTAAGAAAAGTAGAATTATCTATAAAATAGTCACAGGAAAAAGAAACTTAAGGAATTTGGAAAATTTTATCTGTCCAGATATCTGCAGAGCTAAGACTCTTACTATAGGGAAAGTAAAGGTTAGATGTTAGTGTGTAAACCCAGTTTCTAAATGTAATCATAGTTATTAATCATTTATGTTTTTGGGTTTGTTGAAATTCAGTAAAAGCCTTCTTTTAAAAAAAATTAGATTCTTAAAGAATTTCTAGTGGTTTCTTTTTTTTTGCTTTCATAGATTCACTGTCTTCAAATACGTTTTTGAACTTTTGAGAATTTACTCTCTAAAAGGTTTGAGGTTTTGATTCAACTTTTTTTTTCCAGTTGGATATCCAGATGGCAACTCTTTCATTGTATAAACGTACAGGTTATTACTTATTTAGTTTCAGAAGAAATCATAATATGTCATTTTATTGGGTGCTAGTTGAGAGTTTTCTTTGTTTTATTTAGAATTTTCATACTCATGAAAGAGAAAGAGACCTGTGGCAGGAAAATCACTTGATGCGGGATGAAATTGCCAGACTCAGGCTGGAAATAGACACAATAAAACATCAGAACCAGGAAACTGAAAATAAATATTTCAAAGATATTGAAATTATAAAGGAAAACAATGAAGACCTTGAAAAGACTCTCAAGCGGAATGAGGAAGCATTAACAAAAACAATAACCCGGTATAGTAAAGAGCTTAATGTTCTGATGGATGAGAATACAATGCTCAATTCTGAGCTACAGAAGGAAAAACAAAGCATGTCAAGACTGGAAACAGAAATGGAATCATACCGTTGTAGACTGGCTGCTGCCCTATGTGATCATGATCAACGTCAGTCATCAAAAAGAGACCTACAGCTTGCTTTCCAGAGCACAGTGAATGAATGGTGTCATTTACAAGAAGACACTAATTCTCACATTCAGATTCTTTCTCAGCAACTTTCTAAAGCTGAGAGTACATCCAGTGGCCTGGAAACTGAGCTCCATTATGAAAGAGAGGCTCTCAAAGAAAAGACGTTGCATATAGAACACATGCAAGGAGTCCTAAGCCGAACACAGCGTCGATTGGAGGACATTGAACACATGTACCAAAATGACCAACCTATTTTGGAAAAATACGTGAGAAAGCAGCAATCTGTAGAGGATGGACTATTTCAACTACAAAGCCAAAATCTGTTGTATCAACAGCAGTGTAATGATGCTCGCAAGAAAGCTGACAATCAGGAGAAAACAATAATTAATATCCAAGTCAAATGTGAAGATACTGTAGAAAAACTTCAAGCTGAGTGTAGAAAGCTAGAAGAGAACAATAAGGGGTTGATGAAGGAATGCACTCTTTTAAAAGAAAGACAATGCCAATATGAAAAAGAGAAAGAAGAAAGAGAAGTAAGTATCAAGAAAGATAAGTATTTTTCAAACTTCCTGAAGTAAAATTTAAAGTATATTTGGTTATGGCTAAACACTGAATCTAGTTGAATATCAAAATATATACATGATAAACGGTTCTGCTATATCACCTTAGAAACGGAATTTGTTTCCAGCAAATAAAAGTTAGACCTAGGAGATGCTTTCCTTTGAGTAAAGACAATGTGACACTTAGGAAATTTTAAACGTTTCAGTTACAAAATGTTAATATAGACTAACATTTATAATGTAGTCTTACACTGCTGAAATAATTTTGATGTCTGTATGTTGCCACATTTTAGGATTACGATAAAGCAGATATAAAGAAATATTCATACCTAAAGTGTTATTTTGAAATAGATTCAATTAATTAGATTACTTTGACAGTTAATTCCAGATTTCCCAGATGAACTAAAGTGTATTTCCTATTTTATAATTATTCTTCCTCAATAGCTTTTAATGTATCTTAGTTGGTATAATTTTATTTTTATTCATGTCAATTTGACTTAAATCTGAAAATAATTCGGTCTCAAATTATATATTGATACAAACATTCCATTCTTT
Source organism: Homo sapiens (assembly GCF_000001405.40). NCBI lineage: Eukaryota > Metazoa > Chordata > Mammalia > Primates > Hominidae > Homo > Homo sapiens. The sequence continues at coordinate 12,126,966 of NC_000018.10, forward strand.
AAAGACATCTTTCTTACATTATAATATGGGGAAAATGTGGTAAATGTTAGCCAAACCATATTTGATTTAATCTTCCCACTGGCATTTATAACTTACTTTCAATTTTTCAGTCAAAAATGTGGTCATAATTTTTATTTCAAGGCTCAATGACTCTCATTTGGATATAAGGTTATCCGGTACAAAGATCAGCTTAGCTGTCTGTGATTTATTAGTTTCACATTGGATCCTCATTTTTAGACTAATGAGGGGTGGTAGGAACGGTGGGAGTAGGGAAGAGAGACATAGCAGCTGGGGTCAGGGAGAGAAGTGGAAGCCAGGTTAACTAGAGCCTCTAAGGCCATTGGAAGGTTAGTTTTCTTCTGAGGTGGAAATCTGTTGGAAGGATTTGAGCTGGTGACTGAATATGTGAAGAACTCTGAGGTTGATTTGAGCTTCTTCTTATAAAAAAGACGGAAAACACTGCAGTGTAAAATTCACTGCCACCAGTCCCACCCACATACCTGTTTCTTTTTGAGACCTCAGAAGGTTTTTAAGCATTGCACATTCATCAGTGCGCTGAATCTGTTGTATGAGTAACACGGCACCAGTTTGGCACAAAGATAACACCTTCTTTATCCTTAACTGGATTCAGTAATAAACAGGAATGTGTACACATGAGGAGGAGAAGAAGAATCAGTGTGTGGTGGTATTTTTCGAAGTGTGTATATTAGAGTTAAATATTATTAACAAAATTTAATAATAAGTGATATGTAAAATCAGTAACAAAAATAACATCTTACCAGGTAGTCAGGAGACAGCTTCAACGAGAAGTGGATGATGCCCTGAACAAACAATTGCTGTTAGAAGCTATGCTAGAGATTTCATCAGAACGTCGTATTAATTTAGAAGATGAGGCACAAAGTTTAAAAAAGAAATTAGGCCAGATGAGAAGTCAAGTATGTATGAAACTTAGCATGTCAACAGTTACTCTGTAGCTGGTTAAATAATATCAAGTGTTTCAGGACACTAGTTTCAGTGGAGAGCTTTCTTTTGTATTTTCATTATAATTAATTTTATTAAAATTTGATTATCTTTATAATACATCCATTTCTCAATCTCTGCCATGTTTTATAATTATAAATATTTTTCTTACACTATTTCCCCTTATGAAAGTTGAGAATTACACATCATTTCTCACAGAAGATTAGAGAATTCTTTTTTCTTTTTACAGTATATTTTTAGTGATTTCTTTCATTGCCACGTGGAGACAAGCCAGATTAATTCAGAGGATAATGTCTAATGGAATGTTTCAGAAAATTTTCTTTTTTTAATCTCTACTTTTCTGTGTGAATAAAGACTTGTGCTTACTTATTTCATGGGTTTCTGGTTAACTGGTACAGAAAGTCCATTCTGCAGAATAAATTAGTATTTTGATGAAAATCCTTGCTCTGACTTTATATTGGTCTATAGTCAGAGTCATATGACTATGGACAGTTAGCATTTGCCAACATGTATGTGTCTACTTTCTCTTGCTTAAAACAAAAACAAAAAACTTTACAAATGGGGTTATAGAAGGTCAGCAAAGGGTAGGTTTGAGATGTTTGGGTGGGTCAAGTGGGCATTTTGACAACGTGGCTTCTCCTTTGGCATGTCAATGGACATCCCTGCATTTTAAGATGACACTTTTAAATAAATTATCTCCTAATGATGACATGAGCCCTGCCACTCGATAGGAGAATCTATCTATTTTAATTATTTTTCTGTTTGTTTTAAAATTTTCTTCTGGTTTCCCTGGAAAGGAAAGATGATGCTTAGTTTTAAATGTTAAAAATGGGTCGGGCGCGGTGGCTCACGCCTGTGATCCAAGCACTTTGGGAGGCTGAAACGGGTGGATCACCTGAGGTCAGGAGTTTGAGACCATCCTGGCCAACATGGTGAAACCCCATCTCTACTAAAAAAGATAAAGAAATTAGCTGGGCATGGTGGTGGTGCACGCCTGTAGTCCCAGCTCCTCGGGACGCTGAGGCAGGAGAATTGCTTGAACCTGGCGGGGTGGAAGTTGCGGTGAGCCAAGATGGTGCCACTGCACTCCAGCCTGGGTGGCTGAGCAAGACTCCGTCTTAAAAAAAAAAAAGTGCAAGTTTTCTTGCTACAGCAAAAATTAAATGCAAACAGACAAAAAAGAAATGAAATTATAGTTGATATAGTGGTGTTTGGAATTGAAAAATATAAATGCTTACTATAATTTCCTATGTTTCCCCATTTTACCAATTTTGTAAATTTGAGTATCTGATAAAATAGAAATTAGAAAAGAAAAATACTGTGTTTTAATCCTAGAGCATAGGCAGTAAACTTTTCTGTAAAGGGCCAAGTAGTATTATTTGAGACTTTGTGAGCCATAAGATCCCTGTTGCAACAACTCAACACTACAGTTACAGCACAAAAGTAGCCGTAAACAATATGCAGACTGAAGGGGTGTGGCTGCATTCCAGTAAAATTTAGTTAAAAAACAGGTAATAGGGGCCAGGCACGGTGGCTCACGCCTGTAATCCCAACACTTTGGGAGGCCGAGATGGGCGGATCATGAGGTCAGGAGATCAAGGCCATCCTGGCTAACACGGTGAAACCCCGTCTCTACTAAAAAACACAAAAAATTAGCCAGGCGTGGTGGCAGGCGCCTGTAGTCCCAGCTACTCGGGAGGCTGAGGCAGGAGAATGGTATGAACCCGGGAGGCGGAGCTTGCGGTGAGCCGAGACGGTGCCACCGCACTCCAGCCTGGGCGACAGAGCAAGACTCTGTCTCAAAAAAAAAAAAAAAAAAAAAAAAGTAATAGGTCGATTTGTCCTAGATTATCATTTTTTATTAAAATAGATTGTGATAGTCTAAAAACAGTATTTTATATATAACCATATTTTGTTCATTCATTCACCTATTGATGGGCATTTGGGTTATTTCCACACCTAAAGGTTGTTTTTAATTCTTTGTTTTAGTTGCAAGAAATGCAGAATCAACGCACAGAGATTCTAAGACGTGCTGAGGAGTTGCCAGACCACATGCAAAAGTACAGTTTAAAGCAACATACAAAATATCTTGAGTATTTATAAAGCAAATGAGTAGTGTAGTAGGAGAATTGTATCAGTTAAGATAATAAGTATGTCTATGTGAAGTCAAGGAAAAATTTCAGCTTTAGGCTATTTTGAAATGCATAAATTTTCTACATTATTTTTAATTTTACACATCACCCACAAAACAAAGGTAAAAAAATAACAACAGTTTCTCAATTTTCTACTTTTCAAATGTCTCAGAATTTATATAATTATTCCTTCAGATGTTTGTTCAGAATTTATATGATTTAAAAAAAATTATGTCTGAGAATAATTATTTTAAAATATATATTTTAGGCTTAAAATAGAAAATGCCGTGTTAAAAATTAGAATGAAAAAGCGAGCGGACAAAATTGAGCAGCTTCAGAAAATTTTGGTAAGTTCAAGTTCAATAAGTCAATCTCTTATTTTCTGTCACACTGAAAAGGAATTTTATTTTTCTAGAATATCCCTTGTCCAAAATGTTTGGGAGGACCAAAAGTAGATTTTTTCAGAGTTTGGAATATTTGTATACACCTAATGAAATACCTTAGGGATGGTACCCAAGAGTAAACGTGAAATACATTTATGTTTCATATATACCTTATGCATATAGCCTGAAGATAATTCTACACAATGTTTTACTTTTTTTTTTTTTGCCTGGGGTTGGGGGATGCAGTGGGGCACAGAGTCTTGATCTGTCGCCCAGACTGGAGTGAAGTGGTGTGATCTCAGCTCACTGCAACCTCTGCCTCCCAGGTTCAGGCAATCCCCTGCCCCAGCCTCCCAAGTAGCTGGGACTACAGGTGCGTGCAGCCACACCAGGCTAATTTTTGTATTTTTAGTAGAGATGGTTTCACCATGTTGGCCAGGCTGGTCTTGAACTCCTGACCTCAGGTGATCCACTTGCCTCAGCCTCCCAAAGTGCTGGGGTTACAGGCGTGAGTCATCACATCTGGCCTGTACAATGTTTTACAAAAATGTTTTGCATGTAACAAAGTTTTAACTGTGTTTCCACCACAGCCTGTCACATGAGGTCAGGTGTGGACCTTTCCCGTTGTGGTATCATGCGGGTGCTCAAAAAGTTTCAAATTGTACAGCATTTTGGATTTCAGATTTTCAAGTTAGTGTTGATCAACCCTCCTTGACATATAATAGGGCTACATGATAATGTCTCTTGTTTAACTTAAACATTATTAATAAGATTTGACAGTTTCAGATGCAGCAGGTGTACAAGGAAACATAACTGCAGAAGTAGATGAAGGTATGTTGCCAAAAATTATGAATTAAATTTAAATCATGGATTTCTGAAATAAATATAAATAGTGAATGGGTTGCTTGGTTAACAAATACCACATTAAATACTTTTTCTTATACACATTACTGAAAGATGTGAAAACAAACATTCATAATGAAAAGTATACTTATGCCTCATTAGTTTATCATCTTCAATAGCTTTAAAAAAAGTCCTAAGAAGTCTGTGTGTATCCCTTTTTTTTCTGGCTCTACACTTGTTCCATCTCTATGGAACTGTCAGCTTGCACGCTGAAACTGTTCTCAGAAAACAAAGGCATCATCAACTTCTCAAGGTTATGGTAGTGATTTAAGGCCAAGAGATGCTAGACTCATGTATCAAGCAATTACAGTTCATAAGCAGTCACTTGACCAGTCATATTTTAAGAGAGAGAGAGAGTGTGTGTATGTGTGAGTGTGTGTGTGTGTGTGTGTGTGTATGTGTTTTATGTAGACTTGGTTTCTGGACTCTGTTCTGTTCTATTGATCTCTTTATCTTTATGCCAAAATCACACTGTTATGATTTTTGTAGCTTTGTAATAATTCTTCAAACTGGATTGTATTTTTCCTCTAAATTTATTCTTTTGTTTTTTTCAGAGTTACTGCACATTTCTGTGTCATCTACATGCCATGAGAGTCTTAAAATCAATTGTCAATTTCTACAAAATACCTGCTTGGATTTGGACTGTGATTGCATTATGTCATGGTAAAGAATCTTAATAATGATGACTCTCTCAACTTGTGAATAAGGTATTTTCTTAGATCTTCTTTGATTTTTCTCAACAATACTTTTTAGTTATTATTGTACAGATATTTTGCATAGTGTCAGATATATTCCCAAGAATTTTATATTTTAATGCTATTATAAATAGTATTATTTTTAAAATTTCAATTCCTAGCAGTTTATTTCTAACATATAGAATTACGATTGATTTTTATATATTGATCATGTATCCTGCAATGTGGCAAAACTCATTGGTGCCAGTAACGTTGTAATTGGTTTCACTTGGTTTTCCACATAGATGATTATGTCTGTGAATAAGGATAGTTTTACCTATTTCTTTTCAGTCTAGATGCCTTTTGTTTTCCTCCATTTCTTCCTTCCTCCCTTCTTTCTTCCTTTTTTTCTTCCTTCCTTCCTTCCTTCTCCCAACTCCCTTTTAAAAAGTGATTACAGTGGCTCGAATTTGCAGTACAGTGTTGAATAGAAGTGGTAAGAGCTGACATGCCTTCTCGATCTTCGGGGAAAGCATTCAGCCTTTCATCATTACATAGAATGTTAGCATTAGGTATTTTAAAGATGCCCTTTGACATGTCGAGGAAATTCTCTTGTATCTCCAGTTTGCTGAGGTTATTTTTTTAATGAAAAATGTTCAATTTTCTCAAATGCTTTTTCTGCATCTAATACATAATCATATGGTTTTTATGTTGTTAATGTAATTATAAGATTAATTGATTTGGGGGAGAAGGTTAAGTTGATATTTAATTTAAAATAATTTTTAAATGTAGTTTTTTCTTGAATTTTTTAGTTCAAATCTTGTATTCTGTTTAAAATGCTCTAAACTTTGTCAATTCTTTTTGAAAGTTCTGGTGAAATATACATAACATAAAATTTAGCATTTTAACAATTTTTAACTCCATAGTTCAGTGGCATTAAGTACATTCACAATGTCATACAACAATCACTACTATCCATTTCTAGAATTTTTTCATCATCCCTAATAGAAACTCTGTACCCATTAAATATCTTCCTATAATCCTTCTCTTCATCCCTAGTAACCTGTATTCTACTTTCTGTCTCTATGAATTTACCTATGCTGGGTATATTATATAAGTGAAATCATAAAACATTGGCTTTTTGTGTCTGGGTTATTTCACTTAGCATAATGTTTTCAAGGCTCATCTATATCATACAGCATGTATCAGTAGTTTATTTCCTCTTATTTGCAATTAATTTTCTATTGCAGAGAAATACCACATTTTATTTAACAGTTGATGGACATTTCGATTGTTTCCAGGTTTTAACTATTATGAATAACGTACTGTGGACACATATGTGGACATATGTTCCTCTTGGGTAAATACTCAAGTGGGAATCGAGGTCAAATAGTAACTGTGTTTAATCTCAAGGAACTGTCAGGCTGTTATTCAACACAGCTGTACAATTTTACATTTCCACCAGCAGTGTATGAGGGTTCCAATTTCTTCACATCTTTTCCAGTATTTATTTTTCATCTTTTTTATTATAGGCATTCTAGTGGTGTGAAGTGGTACCTCATTGTGGTTTTGATTTGCCTTTCCCTTTGATGTTGACCATCCTTTCATGTGGTTACTGGCCATTGTCTATGTTCTTAGATGAAAAACCTGGTCGTTATCCTTTGACCATGTTTTAATTGATTGCCTTTTTGTAGTTGATTTGTAAGAGTTCTTTATATATTCTGAACAAGAATGTATTTTTTTACACTTTTTTCATAAACTTTGTTCTAAATCTTGTATTCTTTATTGTTTCTGTTTTAAAATTTTGTTTTATCAGCCTCTTTTCTCAAGAATTTACTATATATATTAGTATCATATTTCTGTATTCCAATCTTGTTTTCATGATTTGCTTCCTTGCCCCAAAGAAAAAAATATATTCTCATTACCCAAATAATTTCCCACTTTACTCACACCCACTATTTTTCTATAATCCACATTCTCTCCTAGGGCAAAAGATTGGGAAGATTTACCTTACTGAGGAAACTTCCTTTATATTGTTCAGGAATAGCTTTAATGAATTTTACATACTTGGAGACATCAGGAGAAAGCATGTATGTCACTGCTTTCCTCAGGAGCACTGGCTCATATGCCTTGAAAGGATTTAGTAGACCTTTAATAAATGGCATAAGATACCAACAGCTGCCATGTCATTAAGCATCACATTTACTTATCAAGAAGGAAATAATTTAGAATTTACCTGTCAAAATCTATTACAAAGATGGCACATATTTGACTAAAATTGCAGTGTTTGTCCCTATTGACATAACTATAGTCCCTGCCTTTCTCATCTGTTTTCCCTTTTTTTTTATTATTATACTTTAAGTTTTAGGGTACATGTGCACAACGTGCAGGTTTGTTACATATGTATACATGCGCCATGTTGGTGTGCTGCACCCATTAACTCGTCATTTACATTAGGTATATCTCCTAATGCTATCCCTCCCACCTACTCCCACCCCATAACAGGCCCCAGTGTGTGATGTTCCCCTTCCTGTGTCCAGGTGTTCTCATTGTTCAGTTCCCACCTATGAGTGAGAACATGCGGTGTTTGGTTTTTTGTCCTTGCGATAGTTTGCTGAGAATGATGGTTTCCAGCTTCATCCATGTCCCTACAAAGGACATGAACTCATCCTTTTTTATGGCTGCATAGTATTCCATGGTGTATATGTGCCACATTTTCTTAAACCAGTCTATCATTGATGGACATTTTGGTTTGTTCCAAGTCTTTACTATTGTGAATAGTGCCACAATAAACATACGTGTGCATGTCTTTATAGCAGCATGATTTATAATCCTTTGGGTATATACCCAGTAATAGGATGGCTAGGTCAAATGGTATTTCTAGTTCCAGATCCCTGAGGAATCGCCACACTGACTTCCACAATAGTTAAACTAATTTACAGTCCCACCAACAGTGTAAAAGTGTTCCTATTTTTCCACATCCTCTCCAGCACCTGTTGTTTCCTGACTTTTTTTTTTTATACTTTAAGTTTTAGGGTACATGTGCACAACGTGCAGGTGTGTTACATATGTATACGTGTGCCATGTTGGTGTGCTGCACCCATTAACTCGTCATTTAACATTAGGTATATCTCCTAATGCTATCCCTCCCCCCTCCCCCCACCCCACAACAGTCCCCAGAGTGTGATGTTCCCCTTCCTGTGTCCATGTGTTCTCATTGTTCAATTCCCACCTATGAGTGAGAACATGCGGTGTTTGGTTTTTTGTCCTTGCAATAGTTTGCTGAGAATGACGGTTTCCAGCTTCATCCATGTCCCTACATAGGACATGAACTCATCATTTTTTATGGCTGCATAGTATTCCATGGTGTATATATGCCACATTTTCTTAATCCAGTCTATCATTGTTGGACACTTGGGTTTGTTCCAAGTCTTTGCTATTGTGAATAGTGCCGCAATAAACATACGTGTGCGTGTGTCTTTATAGCAGCATGATTTATCGTCCTTTGGGTATATACCCAGTAATGGGATGGCTGGGTCAAATGTTATTTCTAGTTCTAGATCCCTGAGGAATCGCCACACTGACTTCCACAATGGTTGAACTAGTTTACAGTCCCACCAACAGTGTAAAAGTGTTCCTATTTCTCCACATCCTCTCCAGCACCTGTTGTTTCCTGACTTTTTAATGATCGCCATTCTAACTGGTGTGAGATGGTATCTCATTGTGGTTTTGATTTGCATTTCTCTGATGGCCAGTGATTATGAGCATTTTTTCATGTGTTTTTTGGCTGCATAAATGTCTTCTTTTGAGAAGTGTCTGTTCATATCCTTTGCCCACTTTTTGATGGGGTTGTTTGTTTTTTTCTTGTAATTTTGTTTGAGTTCTTTGTAGATTCTGGATATTAGCCCTTTGTCAGATCAGTAGATTTCAAATATTTTCTCCCATTCTGTAGGTTGCCTGTTCACTCTGATGGTGGTTTCTTTTGCTATGCAGAAGCTCTTTAGTTTAATTAGATCCCATTTGTCAATTTAGGCTTTTGTTGCCATTGCTTTTGGTGTTTTAGTCATGAAGTCCTTGCCCATGCCTATGTCCTGAATGGTATTGCCTAGGTTTTCTTCTAGGGTTTTTATGGTTTTAGGTCTAACATTTAAGTCTTTAATCCATCTTGAATTAATTTTTGTATAAGGTGTAAGGAAGGGATCCAGTTTCAGCTTTCTACATATGGCTAGCCAGTTTTCCCAGCACCATTTATTAAATAGGGAATCCTTTCCCCATTGCTTGTTTTTGTCCGGTTTGTCAAAGATCAGATAGTTGTAGATATGTGGCATTATTTCTGAGAGCTCTGTTCTTTTCCATTGGTCTATATCTCTGTTTTGGTACCAGTACCATGCTGTTTTGGTTACTGTAGCCTTGTAGCATAGTTTGAAGTCAGGTGGCCTGATGCCTCCAGCTTTGTTCTTTAGGCTTAGGATTGACTTGGCGATGCGGGCTCTTTTTTGGTTCCATATGAACTTTAAGGTAGTTTTTTCCAATTCTGTGAAGAAAGTCATTGGTAGCTTGATGGGGATGGCATTGAATCTATAAATTACCTTGGGCAGTATGGCCATTTTCACCATATTGATTCTTCGTACCCATCAGCATGGAATGTTCTTCCATTTGTTTGTATCCTCTTTTATTTCGTTGAGCAGTGGTTTGTAGTTTGTTCTCCTTGAAGAGGTCCTTCACATCCCTTGTAAGTTGTATTCCTAGGTATTTTATTCTCTTTGAAGCAATTGTGAATGGAAGTACACTCATGATTTGGTTCTCTGTTTGTCTGTTGTTGGTGTATAAGAATGCCTGTGATTTTTGTACATTGATTTTGTATCCTGAGACTTTGCTGAAGTTGCTTATCAGCTTAAGGAGATTTTGGGCTGAGATGATGGGGTTTTCTAGATATACAATCATGTCATCTGCAAACAGGGACAATTTGACTCCCTCTTTCCTAATTGAATGCCCTTTATTTCCTTCTCCTGCCTGATTGCCCTGGCCAGAACTTCCAACACTATGTTGAATAGGAGTGGTAAGAGAGGGCATCCCTGTCTTGTGCCAGTTTTGAAAGGGAATGCTTCCAGTTTTTGCCCATTCAGTATGATATTGGCTGTGGGTTTGTCATACATAGCTCTTATTATTTTGAGATATGTCCCATCAATATGTAATTTATTGAGAATTTTTAGCATGAAGGGTTGTTGAATTTTCTCAAAGGCCTTTTCTGCATCTATTGAGATAATCATGTGGTTTTTGTCTTTGGTTCTGTTTATATGCTGGATTATGTTTATTGATTTTCATATGTTGAACCAGCCTTGCATCCCAGGGATGAAGCCCACTTGATCATGGTGGATAAGCTTTTTGATGTGTTGCTGGATTCGGTTTGCCACTATTTTATTGAAGATTTTTGCATCAATGTTCATCAAGGATATTGGTCTAAAATTCTCTTTTTTGGTTGTGTCTCTGCCAGGCTTTGGTATCAGGATGATGCTGGCCTCATAAAATGAGTTAGGGAGGATTCCCTCTTTTTCTATTGGTTGCAATAGTTTCAGAAGGAATGATACCAGCTCCTCCTTGTACCTCTGGTAGAATTCGGCTGTGAATCCATCTGGTTCTGGACTTTTTTTGGTTGGTAAGCTATTAATTATTGCCTCAATTTCAGAGCCTGCTATTGGTCTATTCAGAGATTCAACTTCCTGGTTTAGTCTTGGGAGAGTGTATGTGTTGAGGAATTTATCTATTTCTTCTTGATTTTCTAGTTTATTTGCAGTGAGGTGTTTATAGTATTCTCTGATGGTAGTTTGTATTTCTGTGGGATCGGTGGTGATATCCCCTTTGTCATTTTTTATTGCATCTATTTGATTCTTCTGTCTTTTCTTCTTTATTAGTCTTGCTAGCGGTCTATCAATTTTGTTGATCTTTTCAAAAAACCAGCTCCTGGATTCATTGATTTTTTGAAGGGTTTTTTGTGTCTCTATCTCCTTCAGTTCTGCTCTGATCTTAGTTATTTCTTGCCTTCTGCTAGCTTTTGAATGTGTTTGCTCTTGCTTCTCTAGTTCTTTTAATTGTGATGTTAGGGTGTCAATTTTAGATCTTTCCTGCTTTCTCTTGTGGGCATTTAGTGCTATAAATTTCCCTCTACACACTGCTTTAAATGTGTCCCAGAGATTCTGGTATGTTGTGTCTTTGTTCTCCTTGGTTTCAAAGAACATCTTTATTTCTGTCTTCATTTCGTTATGTACCCAGTAGTCATTCAGGAGCAGGTTGTTCAGTTTCCATGTAGTTGAGCGGTTTTGAGTGAGTTTCTCAATTCTGAGTTCTAGTTTGATTGCACTGTGGTCTGAGAGACAGTTTGTTATAATTTCTGTTCTTTTACATTTGCTGAGGAGTGTTTTACTTCCAACGATGTGGTCAATTTTGGAATAGGTGTGGTGTGGTGCTGGAAAGAATGTATATTCTGTTGATTTGGGGTGGAGAGTTCTGTAGATGTCTATTAGGTCCACTTGGTGCAGAGCTGAGTTCAATTCCTGGATGTCCTTGTTAACTTTCTGTCTCGTTGATCTGTCTAATGTTGACAGTGGGGTGTTAAAGTCTCCTATTATTAATGTGTGGGAGTCTAAGTCTGTTTGTAGGTCACTCAGGACTTGCTTTATGAATCTGGGTGCTCCTGTATTGGGTGCATACATATTTAGGATAGTTAGTTCTTGTTGTATTGATCCCTTTACCATTATGTAATGGCCATCTTTGTCTTTTTTGATTTTTGTTGGTTTAAAGTCTGTTTTATCAGAGAGTAGGATTGCAACCCCTCCCTTTTTTTGTTTTCCATTTGCTTTGAAGATCTTCCTCCATCTCTTTATTTTGAGCCTATGTGTGTCTCTGCACGTGAGATGGGTTTCCTGAATACAGCACACTGATGGTTCTTGACTCTTTATCCAATTTGCCAGTCTGTGCCTTTTAATTGGAGCATTTAGCCCATTTACATTTAAGGTTAGTATTGTTATGTGTGAATTTGATCCTGTCATTATGATGTTAGCTGGTTATTTTGCTCGTTAGTTGATGCAGTTTCTTCCTAGCCTTGATGGTCTTTACAATTTGGCATGTTTTTGCAGTGGCTGGTACCGGTTGTTCCTTTCCATGTTTCGTGCTTCCTTCAGGAGCTCTTTTAGGGCAGGCCTGGTGGTGACAAAATCTCTCAGCATTTGCTTGTCTGTAAAGTATTTTATTTCTCCTTCACTTATGAAACTTAGTTTGGCTGGATATGAAATTCTGGGTTGAAAATTCTTTTCTTTAAGAATGTTGAAGCTGGGCACGGTGGCTCATGCCTGTAATCACAGCACTTTGGGAGGTTGAGGAGGGCGGATCACGAGGTCAGGAGATCGAGACCATCCTGGCTAACATGGTGAAACCCCGTCTCTACTAAAAATACTGAAAAAATGAGCCGGACGTGGTGGCAGGCACCTGTAGTCCCAGCTACTTGGGAGGCTGAGCTAGGAGAATGGTGTGAACCCGGGAGGCAGAGCTTGCAGTGAGCCAAGACCACGCCACTGCACTCCAGCCTGGGCAACAGAGTAAGACTCCATCTCAAAAAAAAAAAGAATGTTGAGTATTGGCCCCCACTCTCTTCTGGCTTGTAGAGTTTCTGCTGAGAGATCAGCTGTTAGTCTGATGGGCTTCCCTTTGTGGGTAACCCGACCTTTCTCTCTGGCTGCCCTTAACATTTTTTCCTTCATTTCAACTTTGGTGAATCTGACAATTATGCGTCTTGGAGTTGCTCTTCTCGAGGAGTATCTTTGTGGCATTCTCTGTATTTCCTGAATTTTAATGTTGGCCTGCCTTGCTAGATTGGGGAAGTTCTCCGGGATAATATCCTGCAGAGTGTTTTCCAACTTGGTTCCATTCTCCCTGTCACTTTCAGGTACACCAATGATATGTAGATTTGGTCTTTTCACATAGTCCCATATTTCTTGGAGGCTTTGTTCGTTTCTTTTTATTCTTTTTTCTCTAAACTTTTCTTCACGCTTCATATCATTCATTTCGTCTTCCATCACTGATACCCTTTCTTCCAGTTGATTGCATCGGTTACTGAGGCTTGTGCATTCATCACGTAGTTCTCGTGCCTTGGTTTTCAGCTCCATCAGGTCCTTTAAAGACTTCTCTGCATTGGTTATTCTAGTTATCCATTCATCTAATTTTTTTTCAAAGTTTTTAACTTCTTTGCCATTGGTTCAAACTTCCTCCTGTAGCTCGGAGTAGTTTGATCTTCTGAAGCCTTCCTCTCTCAACTCGTCAAAGTCAATCTGTGTCCAGCTTTGTTCCATTGCTGGTGAGGAGCTGCGTTCCTTTGGAGGAGAAGAGGCACTCTGATTTTTAAAGTTTCCGGTTTTTCTGCTCTGTTTTTTCCCCATCTTTGTGGTTTTATCTACCTTTGGTCTTTGACGATGGTGACGTACAGATGGGTTGTTGGTGTAGATGTCCTTTCTGTTTGTTAGTTTTCCTTCTAACAGTCAGGACCCTCAGCTGCAGGTCTGTTGGAGTTTACTGGAGGTCCACTCCAGACCCTGTTTGCCTGGGTATCAGCAGCGGTGGCTGCACAACAGCAGATATTGGTGAATCGCAAATGCTGCTGCCTGATCGTTCCTCTGGAAGTTTTGTCTCAGAGGAGTACCCGGCCGTGTGAGGTGTCAGTCCGCCCCTAGTTGGGGGTGCCTCCCAGTTAGGCTACTAGAGTGTCAGGGACCCACTTGAGGAGGCAGTCTGCCCGTTCTCAGATCTCAAATCTCAAGCTGCCTGCTGGGAGAACCACTTCTCTCTTCAAAGCTGCCAGACAGGGACATTTAAGACTGCAGAGGTTATTGCTGTCTTTTTTTTGTCTGTGCCCAGCCCCCAGAGGTGGAGCCTACAGAGGCAGGCAGGCCTCCTTGAATTGTGGTGGGCTCCACCCAGTTCGAGCTTCCTGGCTGCTTTGTTTACCTACTCAAGACTGAGCAATGGCGGGCGCCCCTCCGCCAGCCTCGCTGCCGCCTTGCAGTTTGATCTCAGACTGCTGTGCTAGCAATGAGCGAGGCTCTGTGGGCGTAGGACTCTCCGAGCCATGTGTGGGATATAATCTCCTGGTGTGCCGTTTGTTAAGCCCGTTGGACAAGCGCAGTATTAGGGTGGGAGTGACCTGATTTTCAAGGTGCTGTCTGTCACCCCTTTCTTTGACTAGGAAAGGGAATTCCCTGACCCCTTGCACTTCCCGGGTGAGGTGATGCCTCGCCCTGCTTCAGCTCACACACGGTGCACTGCACCCACTGTCTGGCACTACCCCATGAGATGAACCCGGTACCTCAGTTGGAAATGCAAAAATCACCCGTCTTCTGTGTCGCTCACACTGGGAGCTGTAGACTTTGTGAAACTCTTGTATTGTGTTACTCAACTCCGTCAGGCCTCTTAGTGGTGGTGGTGTTTTTTTTTCCTATGGTGGCTATTTCATCCTTCAGCTCCTGTATTATTCTATTGTGACTCTCGGTTTCCTTGCATTAGGTATTGCCATCTTCCTGAATCTCAACGGTCCTCATTCCTGCCCATAGTCTGAATTCTATTTCTATCATGTCAGCCAGCTCTGTCTGGTTAAGAACTCTTCTTGGAGAACTGTTGTGGTCCTTAGGAGGACGTATGGCACTCTGGCCATTTGAGTTACCAGAGTTCTCGCGTTGGTTCTTTCTCATCTCTGCATGTGGGTGTTCCTTTAACTTCAGTGCAGACTCAGTACAGTCAATAGACTTCTTTTCTGGATGTTTTCACAGAACTGACACTTTATTCGGGTCTTGATTTGAAGCTGACTTCTTGTCTTTGGTTTCAGATGGGAGTATGTTAGCAAGGTACTTTTGGTGTTGAGGTTCTAGGGTGTGATCCAGTAGGTGGCGCTTAGGAATATTGGTCAGTTGGTAAACTCTTGCTCGTTTGTGTGGCTCCTCTATGTTGAACCACACTTGCAGCCCTGTTCCTTCCCAGTACTCTGAAAGTATGGGTTCCTCTCCCCCTTGAGTGCTGGCTGTAGATTGTGGCTTGGCACTCCTGGGCTGCCCACTGCAGCTCGGGGGCGATCTCAGTGTTTATGTTCCTTCCCCAACTTGGAGGCACAGAGAAAGGGACCTTAGTAGTGGCTGTGGCCAAGGGTCTTTCGCGTGTCTCCTGGGGGCTCCACCCATAGAGATGCAGGTCAGCATTCACTCAGTGCAATCAGCCCAGGTTGGAGTGTCTGTGCTGTGGGCCCAAGCCGGGGGTTCCCTGTCTGGTAGTGAGCAGAGGGGAGCATGTGGGGCCCATGGGAGATGGACTGGCCTCCTCTCCTTGGGTCAACTGCAGCTCGTTGGAGGTGTGGATCAAGGACATAGGGTCTTTGCTCCTTCACTAGTCCAAGGGTAGCAAGGGCAGTTCCACTGCAGAGGCAGTGGCAGAGAGGCTTTCAGTTGCCCCTGGAGGCTGTGTCAATGGAGTTGCCGAGCTGCCACTGGCTCCATAGGTCTGGCGAGGGGTGGCTAGAGGACCTGCCAGGTGAGGAGTTTCGGGAATGGGCACCCATGTAACAGTGTGGCCACTTTCTGTAGGGCTGCTGCAGTATGCTGAGGGCCTGCTCCAGTCCCTAGTCACCTTGGATTTTTCAGCACCTGGAGGTATGAAGGTTGCAAAACAGCAAAGATGGTGGCCTGCCCCTCCCACTGGAAGCCCTGTCCCAGGGAGGTATGGAGCTGTTGACGGCCTGAATGCATCTGTAGGAGGTAGCTGGAGAGACCTCGGTTGACAGGTCCCGCTGAGTGAGGAGAAGCCTCACTCAGAAAAGTATTGGGGCCACTTTTCTTTTTTCCTTTTTTTTTTGAGAGAGTCTCACTCTGCCACCCAGGCTGGAGTGTAGTGGCACAATCTGGGCTCACTGCAACCTCTGCCTGCTAGGTTCAAGCAATTCTCCTGCCTCAGCCTCCCGAGTAGCTGGGACTACAGGTGCACGCCACCACGCCTGGCTAACTTTTTGTACTTTTAGTCAAGAGGCCGTGTCACCATGCTGGCCAGGCTGATCTCCAACTGCTGACCTCATGATCTGCCCACCTCAGCCTCCCAAAGTGCTGGGATTACCGGCGTAAGCAATTGTGCCTGTTTTTAGAAAACAGCACTACGTTTTTTTGAAAAACCAGTCTGTGCATCGTTCTGTTGAGCAGCTGTGTTGTGCTGTGCTGTGCTGTGCTGTGCTGTGCTGTGCTGTGCTGTGCTGGGGGTCTGCTTCCGTCCCCGATCTCCTCGTTCACTTCTGAGCCCGAAGGCTGGAAGGGCTAAGTTGCCCAAATAGAAGAGATGGTGGCCTACCGCACTCCCTGGGAGCTCCATCTCAAGGAGATTTGGGACGTCTGTCAGCCAGAGAACACTGGCAAGGGTGGCTGGACACCCCAGTTGAAAGCTCCCACCCAGTGAAGAGGAACGGGATCAGGGACCCACTTGAAAAAGCAGTCTGGCCACGTTTTCGTAGAGCAGCCCCCAGTTGGCCCTTTTAAGCGGGTCCCTGATCCCGGTGTTTTCCACCTGACAGAGATCTGAAACCTCCCCAGGATGAACCTCCAAGAAGGAGAGGCAGGCCGCCATCTTTGCTGTTGGGGCAACTTAGCCATTGCATCCTGCAGGCTTTAGAGGGTTCAAGCCGATCGGGGGTGGCAGTGCCAGCCTAGCCCAGCCACACGCCATCCTCACTGAGCGGGACCTCCCGACTGGAGTCTCCAGGCACTCTTGCCAGTGCTCTCCAGCTGACAGAGGTTTGAGGCCTCCCTGCGACAGAGCTCCTAAGGGGAGGGGCAACCTGCCATCTTTGCAGTTTTGGTGGCTGGGCGGATCCAGCTTTCTGGCTTGGAAGTGAACCCCGTGACCAGGAATGGGAGCGTACCCCCAGCACAGCACAGCTGCTCGATGAAAAGATGGCCAGACTGCCTACTTTTTTTTTAAGCATTGAGAGATGGACTGGCCTCCTCTTTCTGGGTCAACTGCAGCCTGCTGGAGGTGTGGATAAGGCAGGTAGGGTCTTTGCTGCTTCATTAGTCCAAAGGTAGCAAGGGTAGTTCCACTGTAGAGGCAGTGGCAGAGAGGCTTTCAGTTGCTCCTGGAGGCTCTGTTCAGGGCATTGCAGGGCTGCTACTGGCTTGGCATCTCTGGTGGGAGATTGCTGGAAGCCCAGGCCCAGAGGACCAGCCCCCTGAAAAGATACGGTAATGGGCATCCACGTGACACTCTGGAGACTTTCCTGTAGGGCTGCTGCAGTATGCTGGGGGCCCAATCCTGTCCCTAGCCAGCTCGGATCTTCCAGTATCTAGAGGTAACACGAGTGAAGGCTGTGAAACAGCAAAGATGGCGGCCTGCCCCTCCCTCCAAGAGGTCTGTCCCTGAGAGGTATGGACCTGTTGGTGGCCCAAACACACCTGTAGGAGGTGGCTGGAGACCACAGTTGGGAGGCCCTGCCCAGTGAGGAGGAACAAGATCGGGGCCCCCTTTAAAAAGCAGTCTGGCCTCGTTTTTGTAGACCAGCTGCGCTGTGCTAAGGGTCCGCGCTTCAGCCCCCAGTCACCTAGAACACTCCAAAGCCCACAAGCTGGAATGGCTAAGCCACCCAAATGGCAAAGGTAGCAGCCTGCCTCTGCCTCTGAGAGCTTCATCCCAGGGAGGTTGGAAACCTCTGTTGGCTGGCAGACACTGGCAGGGGTAGTTGAAGACCCCTGCCAGGAAGTCTCACACATTAAGGAGGAACAAGATCGGCAGCCCACTTTAAAAAAGCAGTCTGGGCTGGGCACGGTGGCTCACCCCTGTAATCCCACCACTTTGGGAGGCCGAGGAGGGCGGATCGTTTGAGATCAGGAGTTCGAGGCCAGCTGGGCAACATGGTGAGAACCCGTCTCTACTAAAACTCCAAAAATTAGCTGGGCATGCTGGCCTATGCCTGTAGTCCCAGCTGCTCGGAAGGCTGAGGCTGGAGAATTGCTTGAACCCAGGAGGCGGAGGTTGTGGTGAGCCGAGATTGCACCATGTTTTTGTAGAACAGCTGTGTCGTGCTGTGCTGTGCTGTGCTGTGCTGGGGGACCACTTCTGCCCCAGGTTGGCCTGCACTCTCTGAAGGCCAAAGGCTGGAATGGCTAAGTCACCCAAGTGGCAAAGATGTTGGCCTGCCTCTCCTTCTGGGAGGTCCCACTGCTCTGCTACCGCCCCCCACCACATGGGCTTGGAATCTCCAAAGCTCGAAAAAATGCAATGGCTAAGCTGCCCAAACAACAAAGATGTCAGCCCATTTCTCCTTCTGGTATGTTCAGAAAGGTTTCAGATCTCTGTTGGCCAGAGAATACCACGACTGGGGACCCACTAAAAATAGTCAACGAGGGGCTGTTTTGCAAATACATGGCCAGGCTGCTTTTTTTAAGCCCATAGAGAGGTGGATGTGGATGGGGTCCCCCAGCACATCACAGCTGCCCTGTGAAATGAGGCCAGACTGCTTTTATAAGCAGGTCCCTGTTTCTGTGTCTCTTCACTGGGAGGGAGCTCTCAACTGGGGTCTTCAGCTACTCTTGCCAGTGGTCTCCAGCTAACACAGATTTGACTCCTCCCTAGGATGGGGCTCCCAGAGGGAGAGGCGGGCCATCTTTGCCACTTGGGTGGCTTAGCCATTCCAGCCTTTGGCCTTCAGAGTGTGCAGACCAACCTGCGGCAGAAGTGTTCCTCTAGTACAGCACAGCAGAGCTGTTCTACAAAAACTTGGCCAGGCTGCTTTCTTAAGCATGTCCTGGATCCCGTTTCTCATCACAGGGCCAGGCTGCTTTCTTAAGCGTGTCCTGGATCCCGTTTCTCTTCACTTTGTAGGACCTCCCAAATGGGGTCTCCAGCCACCCGCACCAGTGTTCCTTGGCCGACAGACATCTTAAACCTTGCTCTGTGGGACCTCTCAGAAAGAGGGGCAGGCCACATCTTTGCCATTTGGGCGACTTAGCCATTCCAGCCTTCGGCCTTCAGAGACTGCAGGCCAACCTGCGGTAGAAGTGGTAGCACAGCACAGCACAGCACAGCGCAGCACGGCTGTTCTATGAAAACATGGCCAGGCTTCTTTCTTAAGAGTGTCCTGGATCCTGTTTCTCCTGACTTTGTGGGACCTCCCAACCGGGGTCTCCAGCCACTTCCACTGGTATTCCTTGGCCGGCAGACATCTTAAACCTCACTCTGTGGGACTTTCCAGGAGGAGGATCAGGCCGCCATCTTTGCTGTTGGGATGACTTAGCCATTTCGGCCTTCAGTCTTTGGAGAGTCAGAGGCATCTGGAGGCTGGAAGAGACCCCCAGCACAGCACACTTGCTTTATGAAAATGGGGCCAGACTTTTTTGGGGGGGCGTGTGTGTGTTTTGAGATAGAATCTCCTTCTGTTTCCCAGGCTGGAGTGCAGTGGCACAATCTCGGCTCACCGCAACCTCCGCCTCCTGGGTTCAAGCAATTCTCCAGCCTCAGCCTTCCGAGCAGCTGGGACTACAGGCATAGGCCAGCATGCCCAGCTAATTTTTGGAGTTTTAGTAGAGACGGGTTCTCACCATGTTGCCCAGCTGGCCTCGAACTCCTGATCTCAAACGATCCGCCCTCCTCGGC
Source organism: Homo sapiens (assembly GCF_000001405.40). Taxonomy (NCBI): domain Eukaryota; kingdom Metazoa; phylum Chordata; class Mammalia; order Primates; family Hominidae; genus Homo; species Homo sapiens. Next base: position 12,146,700 of record NC_000018.10, read on the forward strand.
CTCCCAAAGTGGTGGGATTACAGGGGTGAGCCACCGTGCCCAGCCCAGACTGCTTTTTTAAAGTGGGCTGCCGATCCTGTTCCTCCTTAATGTGTGAGACTTCCTGGCAGGGGTCTTCAACTACCCCTGCCAGTGTCTGCCAGCCAACAGAGGTTTCCAACCTCCCTGGGATGAAGCTCTCAGAGGCAGAGGCAGGCTGCTACCTTTGCCATTTGGGTGGCTTAGCCATTCCAGCTTGTGGGCTTTGGAGTGTTCTAGGTGACTGGGGGCTGAAGCGCGGACCCTTAGCACAGCGCAGCTGGTCTACAAAAACGAGGCCAGACTGCTTTTTAAAGGGGGCCCCGATCTTGTTCCTCCTCACTGGGCAGGGCCTCCCAACTGTGGTCTCCAGCCACCTCCTACAGGTGTGTTTGGGCCACCAACAGGTCCATACCTCTCAGGGACAGACCTCTTGGAGGGAGGGGCAGGCCGCCATCTTTGCTGTTTCACAGCCTTCACTCGTGTTACCTCTAGATACTGGAAGATCCGAGCTGGCTAGGGACAGGATTGGGCCCCCAGCATACTGCAGCAGCCCTACAGGAAAGTCTCCAGAGTGTCACGTGGATGCCCATTACCGTATCTTTTCAGGGGGCTGGTCCTCTGGGCCTGGGCTTCCAGCAATCTCCCACCAGAGATGCCAAGCCAGTAGCAGCCCTGCAATGCCCTGAACAGAGCCTCCAGGAGCAACTGAAAGCCTCTCTGCCACTGCCTCTACAGTGGAACTACCCTTGCTACCTTTGGACTAATGAAGCAGCAAAGACCCTACCTGCCTTATCCACACCTCCAGCAGGCTGCAGTTGACCCAGAAAGAGGAGGCCAGTCCATCTCTCAATGCTTAAAAAAAAAGTAGGCAGTCTGGCCATCTTTTCATCGAGCAGCTGTGCTGTGCTGGGGGTACGCTCCCATTCCTGGTCACGGGGTTCACTTCCAAGCCAGAAAGCTGGATCCGCCCAGCCACCAAAACTGCAAAGATGGCAGGTTGCCCCTCCCCTTAGGAGCTCTGTCGCAGGGAGGCCTCAAACCTCTGTCAGCTGGAGAGCACTGGCAAGAGTGCCTGGAGACTCCAGTCGGGAGGTCCCGCTCAGTGAGGATGGCGTGTGGCTGGGCTAGGCTGGCACTGCCACCCCCGATCGGCTTGAACCCTCTAAAGCCTGCAGGATGCAATGGCTAAGTTGCCCCAACAGCAAAGATGGCGGCCTGCCTCTCCTTCTTGGAGGTTCATCCTGGGGAGGTTTCAGATCTCTGTCAGGTGGAAAACACCGGGATCAGGGACCCGCTTAAAAGGGCCAACTGGGGGCTGCTCTACGAAAACGTGGCCAGACTGCTTTTTCAAGTGGGTCCCTGATCCCGTTCCTCTTCACTGGGTGGGAGCTTTCAACTGGGGTGTCCAGCCACCCTTGCCAGTGTTCTCTGGCTGACAGACGTCCCAAATCTCCTTGAGATGGAGCTCCCAGGGAGTGCGGTAGGCCACCATCTCTTCTATTTGGGCAACTTAGCCCTTCCAGCCTTCGGGCTCAGAAGTGAACGAGGAGATCGGGGACGGAAGCAGACCCCCAGCACAGCACAGCACAGCACAGCACAGCACAGCACAGCACAGCACAACACAGCTGCTCAACAGAACGATGCACAGACTGGTTTTTCAAAAAAACGTAGTGCTGTTTTCTAAAAACAGGCACAATTGCTTACGCCGGTAATCCCAGCACTTTGGGAGGCTGAGGTGGGCAGATCATGAGGTCAGCAGTTGGAGATCAGCCTGGCCAGCATGGTGACACGGCCTCTTGACTAAAAGTACAAAAAGTTAGCCAGGCGTGGTGGCGTGCACCTGTAGTCCCAGCTACTCGGGAGGCTGAGGCAGGAGAATTGCTTGAACCTAGCAGGCAGAGGTTGCAGTGAGCCCAGATTGTGCCACTACACTCCAGCCTGGGTGGCAGAGTGAGACTCTCTCAAAAAAAAAAGGAAAAAAGAAAAGTGGCCCCAATACTTTTCTGAGTGAGGCTTCTCCTCACTCAGCGGGACCTGTCAACCGAGGTCTCTCCAGCTACCTCCTACAGATGCATTCAGGCCGTCAACAGCTCCATACCTCCCTGGGACAGGGCTTCCAGTGGGAGGGGCAGGCCACCATCTTTGCTGTTTTGCAACCTTCATACCTCCAGGTGCTGAAAAATCCAAGGTGACTAGGGACTGGAGCAGGCCCTCAGCATACTGCAGCAGCCCTACAGAAAGTGGCCACACTGTTACATGGGTGCCCATTCCCGAAACTCCTCACCTGGCAGGTCCTCTAGCCACCCCTCGCCAGACCTATGGAGCCAGTGGCAGCTCGGCAACTCCATTGACACAGCCTCCAGGGGCAACTGAAAGCCTCTCTGCCACTGCCTCTGCAGTGGAACTGCCCTTGCTACCCTTGGACTAGTGAAGGAGCAAAGACCCTATGTCCTTGATCCACACCTCCAACGAGCTGCAGTTGACCCAAGGAGAGGAGGCCAGTCCATCTCCCATGGGCCCCACATGCTCCCCTCTGCTCACTACCAGACAGGGAACCCCCGGCTTGGGCCCACAGCACAGACACTCCAACCTGGGCTGATTGCACTGAGTGAATGCTGACCTGCATCTCTATGGGTGGAGCCCCCAGGAGACACGCGAAAGACCCTTGGCCACAGCCACTACTAAGGTCCCTTTCTCTGTGCCTCCAAGTTGGGGAAGGAACATAAACACTGAGATCGCCCCCGAGCTGCAGTGGGCAGCCCAGGAGTGCCAAGCCACAATCTACAGCCAGCACTCAAGGGGGAGAGGAACCCATACTTTCAGAGTACTGGGAAGGAACAGGGCTGCAAGTGTGGTTCAACATAGAGGAGCCACACAAACGAGCAAGAGTTTACCAACTGACCAATATTCCTAAGCGCCACCTACTGGATCACACCCTAGAACCTCAACACCAAAAGTACCTTGCTAACATACTCCCATCTGAAACCAAAGACAAGAAGTCAGCTTCAAATCAAGACCCGAATAAAGTGTCAGTTCTGTGAAAACATCCAGAAAAGAAGTCTATTGACTGTACTGAGTCTGCACTGAAGTTAAAGGAACACCCACATGCAGAGATGAGAAAGAACCAACGCGAGAACTCTGGTAACTCAAATGGCCAGAGTGCCATACGTCCTCCTAAGGACCACAACAGTTCTCCAAGAAGAGTTCTTAACCAGACAGAGCTGGCTGACATGATAGAAATAGAATTCAGACTATGGGCAGGAATGAGGACCGTTGAGATTCAGGAAGATGGCAATACCTAATGCAAGGAAACCGAGAATCACAATAGAATAATACAGGAGCTGAAGGATGAAATAGCCACCATAGGAAAAAAAAACACCACCACCACTAAGAGGCCTGACGGAGTTGAGTAACACAATACAAGAATTTCACAATGCAATTGCAAGTATTAACAGGAGAATAAATCTAGCTGAGAAAAGAATTTCAGAGCTTGAAGACTGGCTCTCTGAAATGAGACAGTCAGACAAAAAATTATAAAAACAACCAAAAGACATGAACAAAACCTCTGAAAAGTATGGGACTATATAAAGAGGCCAAGTCTATTTATCATTGGCATCCCTGAAAGGGACAGAGAGAAAGCCAACAACTTGGAAAACCTATTTCAGTATATTGTCTATGACAACTTCCCCAAACTTGCTAGAGAATCAAACAAATTCAGGAAATACAGAGAACTCCTGCAAGATTTTACACACGAATACCATCCCCAAGACATATAATCATCAGATTTTCCAAGGTCCAAATGAAAGAAAGAATGTTAAAGGCAGCAAGAGGGAAAGGGCAGGTCACCTACAAAGGGAACCCCATCAGGCTAACAGTAGACATCTTAGCTGAAACCCTGCAAGCCAGAAGAGATTGGGGGCCTATATTTGACATTCTTAAAGAAAAAAATCCTTTAACCAAGAATTTCATATCCAGCCAAAGTAAACTTCCTCAGTGAAGGAGAAATAAGATCCTATTCAGACAAGCAAAAGTTGAGGGAGTTTGTTATCACCAGACCTGCCTTACAAGAGATCTTGAAAGGAGCACTAAATATAGAAAGACCACCACCAGCTAGTACAAAAATGCACTTAAATACACAGACCACTGACACTATAAAGCAAGCCAGCATAACAGTTGGCTAACAACACAACATCAGAATCAAATCCACAAATATCAACACTAACTTTATATGTAAATGGGTGAAATACCCTTCACTAAAAAGGCACCGTGTGGCAAGGTGCATATAAAACAAGAACCAATCATATGCTGTCTTCAAGAAACGTGTCTAACACATAATGACACCCATAGGCTCAAAATAAAGGGATGGAGGAAAATCTACCAAGCAAATGGAAAACAGAAAAAAGCAGGGCTTGCGATCCTAATTTCAGACAAAACAGATTTCAAACCAACAAAGATCAAAAAAGACAAAGAAGGGCATTAAATAATGGTAAAGTGTTGAATTCAACAAGAAGACCTAACTATTCTGAATATGTATGCATCCAGCACATGAGCACCTAGGTTCATAAAGCGAGTTCTTAGAGATCTACAAAGAGACATAGACTCCCTCAAAATAATAGTGGGAGACTTTAACGCTCCATTGACGTTAGATCACTGAGGGAGAAAATTAACAAAGGTATATGGGACCTGAAGTCAACACTGGACCAAGTGGGTCTGATAGACCTCTACGTAATTCTGTCCCTGAAAACAACAGAATATGCATTCTCTCATCACCACATGCCACATGCTCTGAAATCAACCCCATAATTGGATATAAAACAATCCTTAGCTAATGAAAAGAACTGAAATCATACTAAACATACTCTTGAACCACAACACAATAAAAATTAGTGTTAGAAAGATATCAAATTAACGACCTAACATCACAATTGAAATAATTAGAGAAGCAAGAATAAATCAACCTCACAGCTCGCAGAAGACAAGAAATAACCAACGTCAGAGCTTAACTGAAGAAGGAAATTGAGACTCAGAAAATTATCCAAAAGTTCAACAAATCCAGGGGTTGATTTTTTGAAAAATTTAATAAGATAGATAGACCACTAGCTAGACTAATAGAGAAGAGAGACAATCCAAATAAACACCATTAGAAATGATGAAGGCAATGTGACCACTGATCCCACAGAAATACAAGTAACATGAGTAACTACTAAAAATGCTTCTATGCACACAAACTAGAAAACCTTCTTAGAAGAGATAGGTAAATTTTTCTACACATACACCCTCCCAAGACTGAATCAAGAAGTAATTGAATGTTTTAACAGACCAATGATGAGCTCCAAAGTTGAATAGGAATAAATAAGCTACCAAAAAAAAAAAAAGGCCCAGGACCCGATGGATTCACAGCCAGATTCGACCAGATGCACAAAAAAGAGCTGATACCATTTCTGCTGAAATGCTTCCAAAAAAAAAAAAAAAAAAAAAAAACTGAGGAGGAGGGACTCCTCCCAAACACATTCTATGAGGCCAGCATTCTCCTGATACCGAAACCTGCAGAAACACAACCAGAAAATAAAGCTTCAGGCTGTTATCCTTGATTAACTTCAATGCATAAATCCTCAACAAAATCCTTGAAAACTGAATCCATTAGCATATCAAAAAGCTAATCCACCACGATCAAGTAGGCTTCATCCCTGGGATGCAAAGTTGGTTTAACCTATGCAAATCAATAAATGTGATTAATCACATAAACAGAACCAAAGACAAAAACCACAATTATCTCAATATTTGCAGAAAAGTCTTTCTACAAAATTCCACACCCTTCATGTTAAAAACTCTCAATGAACTGATGTTGAAGGAACATGTCTTGAAATAATAAGAGCTATTCATGACAAATCTGCAGCCAAGATCATACTGAATGGGCAAAAGCTGGGGGCATTCCCCTCAAAAACCAGCACAAGACAAGGATACCCTCTCTCACCACTCATATTCAACACAGTATTGGAAGCCCTCACCAGAGCAATCAAACAAATAAATAAAGGGCATCCAAACAGGAAGAGAGGAAGCCAAACTATCCCTGTTTGCAAGACAGCATTATTCTATCTTTAGAAAACCCCATAGTTGAAGCCGAGATCGTGCCATTGCCCTCCAAGCTGGGTGACAGAGCAAGATTCCATTTCCAAAGAAAAGAAAACCCCATAGTCTCAGCCAAAAATCTCCTTAAGCTGATAAACAACTTTAGCAGTCTGAGTACACAAAATCAGTGTACAAAAATAACTAGCACTCTTATACATCAACAACAGTCAAGATGAGAACGAAATCAGGAATTCAATCCCATTCACAATGCCCACACAGATAAATATTTAGGAATATAGCTAACAAAGGAGGCGAAAGAGCTCTACAAGGAGAACTACAAACTGCTGCTTAAAGAAATCAGAGATGACACAGACAAATGTAAAAGCTAAAAAACTTTCATGCTCATGGATAGGAAGAAGCAATATCATTAAAATGGCCATACTGCCCAAAGCAATTTGTACACTCAATGCTATTTATATTTAACTACTAATGATATTCTTTGCAGAACTAGAAAAAACGGGCCAGGCACAGTGGCTCATGCCTGTAATCCCAGCACTTTGGGAGGCCAAAGTGGGGTGAATCACTTAAGGTCAGGAGTTCAAGACCAGCCTGGCCAACACAGTGAAATCCCATCTCTACTAAAAATACAAAAATTAGCCAGGTGTGGTGGTGCACACCTGTAACCCCAGCTACTCAGGAGGCTGAAGCAAGAGAATCGCTTGAACCTGTGAGGCTGAGGTTTCAGTGAGCCAGGATCACATCACTGCACTCCAGCCTGGGTGACAGAGCGAGACTCTGCCTGGGAAAAAAAAAAAAAAAAAGAAAGAAAGAAAAAAATGATTTTAAAGTTCATATGGAATCAGAAAAGCTGGAATAACCAAGGCAATCCTAAGCAAAAAGAACAAAGCTGGAGGCATTAGGTTACCCGACTTCAAACTATACTACAGGGCTACAGTAATCAAAACAGACATATATACTAAGGGAACTGAAGAGAGAACCCAAAAATAAGGTTACACACCTTCAACTATTTGTTCTTTGACAAAGCTAACAGAAACAAGCACTGGGGGAAAGATTCCCTATTCAGTAAATGTCTGTTGAATAACTGGCTAGCCATATGCAAAAGATTGAAGCTGGACCCTTTTTTACACCATACATACAAGTCAACTCAAGATGGATTAAACTCTTAGAAGTAAAACCAAAAACTATAAAAATCCCGGAAGACAACCTAGGCAATACCATCCCAGACATTGGAATGGCCAAAGATTTTATGAGAAAGACAAAAAGCAATCACAGTCAAATCAAACATTGACAAATGGGGTCTAATTAAAATTAAGAGCTTCTGCATGGCAAGAGAAACTATCAACAGAACAAACAGCCTACAAAATGGGAGAAAATATTTGCAAACTATGAATCTGACAAAGCTCTAATATCCAGCATCTATAAGGAGCTTAAACAAATTTACAAGAGAGAACAAGCCCATTAAAAAGTTGGCAAAGGACATGAACAGACACTTTCCAAAAGAAGACCTACATGCAGCCAACAGGCATATAAGAAAAACCCAGTATCACTGATGATCAGAGAAATGCAAATCAAATCCACAATGAGATACCATCACCCACTAGTCAGAATGGCTGTTATAAGAAAGTCAGGAAACAACAGATGCTGGCAAGGTTGTGGAGAAAAGGGAACACATACATTGTTGGTGGGAGTGTTAATTAGTTCCACCATTGTGGAAAGCCGTATGGTGAGTCCTCAGAAAGCTAAAAGCAGAACTACCATTCCACCCTAAAAGCAGAACTAGCATTCCACCCAGCAATCCCATTACTGTGTACGTACCCAGAGAAATATAAAGCATTCTACCATAAAGCCACATGCATGTGAATGTTCATTGCATCACTATTCGCAATAGCAAAGACATGGAATCAACCTAAATGCCCAGCAGTGACCGATTGGCCAAAGAAAATGTGGTACATATACACCACAGAATACTATGCAACCATAAAAAAGAATAAGGTCATGTCTTTTGTGGGAACATGGATGAAGCTGGAGGCCATTATCCTTAACAAACTAATGCAGGAACAGAAAACTGAATACCACATGTTCTCACTTATAAGTGGGAGCCTAATGATGAGAACTCATGAACGCAGAGAAGGGAACAGCAGACACTAAGGTCTGCTTGAGAGTGGAAGGTGGGAGGAGGGAGAGGAGTAGAAAAGATAACTATCAGGTACTAGGCTTAATACCTGGGTAATGAAATATGTACAAGAAACCCCTGTGACACAAGTTTACCTGTGTAACAAACCTTCACATGTACCCTGGAACCTAAAATAGATGTTAACAACAACAAAAGAAAATGTAACTGTCTGAAGTGTAACTCTCAGTCCTGGACTAAGATGTACCAGAAATGTAACTTATTTTCCCATAACAATTTTTATTCTAGTGCTTATTCTGGCTTGAAAACTTAATATAAATTTGTTTTATGAGAATTTAATATGAGTAAATGTGAGTCTCCACATCCTTTTCCTTTAAATAGTGGCTAAATCACTGGGGACTTGCATGGTGCCAGGAACTTGCAGGAGGCCACATCTTGGCTTTATTGCCTGGTTCTCAATCCCAAGCCTACATAGTTTATTGTGAAAGATTCCTTCTTCCTGTTTCCATTGACTTTTTTATTTTCTGACTCCTGTGGTTCTAGACTGCCATGGAGCACACATGAAGTTCCTGTGGACACGGGCTTCCTTGTCCCCATGGGCCACTACTGTTGAGGCTGTCAATGACCTATCTGCCTGGGCTTGGGGGATCTGAGCCAGGCCTAGGTGTACAAAGTTCCCCTTTCTTTATTCTCTTTATTCCTTTCCTCTCTTAATCTCAATGATAATCTCTTAGAGCCATTTTCTTTATAATGATTTCCCCACAAGGAGCTCCTAGTATATTCTACCTAATGTCTTTAGGTGTTAGGAAATACCAAAGCAGAACCTAGCTGGCCACTTCCATTTTCTACACTGTCATCCCTCCTAAGACTGAACCCTGGAAAGGGTACTTCCTTCAGATAGACATTGGGGAGATAGAAAGGGGGAAATAGTGGGAGGAAGAAAAAGTCAGTTGGTGATATGGCTTAGGTATTTGTCCCCTTTAAATTTCATGATGAAATGTGATCGCCAGTGTTGGAGATTTGCCTTTCTGTGGTAATGAGTGAGTTCTCACTCTGTTAGTTCAGGCCAGAGCTGATTGTTTAAAGGAGCCTGATACTACCTTCTCTCTCTCTCTCTTTCTCTCTCTCTCTCTCCTTCCCCCCTCCCTCTCCCTCCCTTTCTCTCCTTCCCTCCTCTCTCACCATGTGACACACCCGCCTGCTCCCCCTTTGCCTTCCACCATAATTGGAAGCTTCCTGAGGCCTGACTAGAAGCAGATGTTGGTGCCACGCCTCCGGTGCAGTTTGCAGAACCATAAACCAAATACATTTCTTTTCTTTATAAATTACCCAATCTCAGGTATTTTTCTGTAGCAACATGAGAAGAACTAACACAATAGGTATTTCAAAAATATTCTCCAACTCCATAATCCATTAGACCTCTCCCTGTCAAAAGGAGTATCCCACATGTCATGGACTGGTAGATCCTCATATTCTTCATGGTTTTGTTTCTGCTTGCTTGCTTCTGTGAAATCTGTTTTTTAATCTATGGATTAGATCCACTACTGAGTCAGGACGTTGATTTAGTGGGTAAAGAACAGTATTTTTAAAAAGGAATATACTAGAATAGAATAGGAAAACTTATAGAGCATCACATAATATAAGTCTAGATATTACTTTGAAGCTTGCATTTTATACACATCTGTGTGTGTTCTAAGCTGTGAGGAGATGCATCTCTTACTGTTGGCTCTAATCAAAGTTTTAAAAACACCATTTTAGGGCATTTTTAGCTGTCACTGAATTTGCTATACCATTTAGTTCTCTCTTGAATATTTTTGTTTTCATAAAAAATATCCTATATTAATTTTTAAAAACATGGTGTACGTGGGTTGTAACTTTGAGTCATTGCTTGATTGAAAATGTCACATTTTTGTCTTCATAGGGTAGAAAAGTATTTTCCCTCTAAATTTTAAAGGCATAGTTTTGCTGATAAGATATATGATAACTTCCTCTCTCACTCTCTCGCTCTCTCTCGCTCGCTGTCTCTCATTTTTTTAAGAGACAGCATCTCACTATGTTGCCCAGGCAAGCAATCTGCTTGCCTCGGCCCCGCAAAGTGCTGAGATTAAAGGCAAGAGCCACTGTGCCCAGCCCAAGATAACTTTATAGGCAAACTTTTTTCTCCCTCTCCAGAAGCTTTCTGAAGTTCTACTTTGGGATGCTGAAATCTGTCTAGGGTATGTCTGATAAAGATATTTTGCTTGTTCTGCTGGGCACTTATTTCAACAAGCATTTTTAAAAATCACTTTTCAGACTTTTTATACAGTAAAATTTATTCTTTCTAGAATATGGTTCTATGGGTTTTGATAAACACCTGTAGTCAAGTAACCACGACCATGATCAAAATGTAGAACATTTCATCACTCAGAGTGACCCCTTTGTGATGAACCAGGCCCTATCCTCGCCCCTGGCCCATGTAAATTACTAATTTCAACAGATTTTATTTTTACTTCTTCAGTAGGTCTTTGATTATTTTTGATTTCCATTTTTTGCCTTGCCAATTTTGTTCTTTGGTGAACTAGACTGTGTTGTAATATTTAACATAATATGATGTAATATCCTTTGAATGTTTTCTGTTCATGAATTATCTGTTTGAAGGTTTCTCATCCGTGAATTATCTGTTTCTCCTAGGGCTAGTGTGTTCGCTTGTGCTCAGATTCTGCCTCGCTTTCTATTTACATCTTTGTCCTTTCCTTTCTTGCTGTTGGATTTCCTTAAATGACTGGGTGGTCATTGGCTGTCTGTTCATTTTTATGGACAAGGAGGAGGCTGAATAGTATAGGTGGCCAAATGGGTTTCCACTGCAGCTGGAAAGGTCTGATTCCTGAGCAGGTCTTAAAGGTCTTGGCTGGGATGGGCAACTATGGGCTTCTACAAGTGCTGCCAGTGGCCAGGGATGTCAACAGACCAGCTTCCCTGTGGTGCGTAGGTGGGAGTGGCTAGGGTGAACCCCTTATGTTCTTGGAACAAACAAACAAAAGCAGGGAGGCTGTATTTTGGGGTCATGAGCTTTAGAACATCTTACCCTTGGGTAGTGTTGGCTCCCCCTTCCAGCGTCAGGTTTGGAGATCCACAAGTCACCTCCAGGCCTGCCTTCCTCATCTCAGGCCACAAGACAAGGTGTGTCCCCACAATAGGCAGGTGGCTCACTCTATTCAGAGACAGGCCTAGGTCTATGCTGGGGTATAAATACCTCTCCTGCCAGAGGAACGTGCTTTGTTTAGAGGTAGTAAATGAGAAGGCAAGGGACCTGAGTAGCCAGCTGATGCTGATCACACCTCTTTGAATAGCCTGGTCATTGTGGCTTTGGTGACATTTCCAGAGTCCCCTTCTGTCTGGTATTTTTGGCTGTTGTGTTCTTTCATCATTGTGTTTCTGTCTGTTAACTATCAGCTAAGGTATCTTCCTTTTGTCTCTACCATCAATGCTTTTATTATTTTAAACAATCTCTTCCTCTGTATGTGCAACCTGAAAAGATATTGCAAATAGGATTACTTTTGCAAATTGTTAATACCCTACAAAATTGCTTTAGAAATTTTTTATTTTTATTTTTTATTTTTTTTGAGACGGAGTCTCGCTGTGTCGCCCTGGCTGGAGTGCAGTGGTGCCATCTCGGCTCACCGCAAGCTCTGCCTCCCGGGTTCACGCCATTCTCCTGCCTCAGCCTCCCGTAGCTGGGATCACAGGCGCCCACCATCATGCCTGGCTAATTTTTTTTTTTTTTTTTGTATTTTTAGTAGAGATGGGGTTTCACCGTGTTAGCCAGCGTGGTCTCGATCTCCTGACCTCGTGATCCACCGGCCTTGGCCTCCCAAAGTGCTGGGATTACAGGCGTGAGCCACCGCGCCCGGCCAGAAATTTTTTATTTAACACACATTTAAAAATATTTCAGCTGGGCTTCGAGTGGGAGGTGCTTCGTTTGCCATTTGAGTTGGAAGTGAATATATATGATTTTAAAGGTAATAAGTGTATTTCTTTTAAAATATGGGGCCTAGTTCAGACCTTCCACAAAATTCTTCCTATGCTATTAACCTGTGATGGAAAAAGTTTAAAGCTGGACATCTTTCTCCTCATGCAAGACACTGAACACAGCAGAAGTATAACGACCTATTGAGTTTAATTTAATTATATAATAAATGACCAGGAAAACGTGTATTTAAAGAAGAGTGCATATATTTTGTAGTTAGACCCTGCTTTGAGGTATCTAGGGAAGAAAAGTGATTTGAGTTGCTTGGAAGAGGTGAGGAGAATAGTCAGGGACACAGTAGTTGGCATTGTTCATGATATTTAGTTCATTTTCTTTAACACATACTGGTATAAAAGATACTGATTTGGGGGTAATTTTCTCCCCTGCCTTCATTCTGTTCTATCCTGAAAAATCATATTTAAATGAATTTAATGTACAAAATTTAGTACTTAACAAATTGACATGCATTAGACAGTTTCTCCCTCTCCCCAAGGCTAGCTTTCTAGTTCCATAGTGGAGACCAATAGTTAGATTTTGGTCTGTTGACACTGCTTTTATGTACAGAAAGTTAGGAAATAACTAATCTGCAAATTGTCCAATAAGTAGAGTCTATAGGTTACAAAGAGATTTGTCCTGTGGTTCAGGATGTTTGGTAGCAGTTGCCTGGATATCTGTGTTGAGAAGAATGTTGTATCTTTTCTGGACTCTGCAGAGAAACGTGATGAGTAATGTCTGCCCTGAGGACATTAGACAGCACATGAGCTAAGCATAGATCATTATGCCAGTGGTAGTGGTGGTTCTTATAATTATTATTATTAGTTACTAGTTTCTCAGAGTTTATTTAGCTTATTATTTTTTACCATAAGTGTATCTGTGAGACTATAATGTTTTTATGGAAAATATATAACTGAATAAAACACTACATTTTTAGTTTTGTGTAGGTCTTTTTTAAGAAATAGAATTATTTTATGCTTTCACCCACTCTTTAGGTTTTAATTATTTTTAATCACCTTGCACACTTACTATAGGTACAATATTTATTACTACCTTTAACAAAGGAATGGAACGTGATCTTTCTTGTGTTTCAAATATTCTGTTTTCTTATAAACTTAGTTTTGATATTTTTCAGGCTATAATCATGTCTTAGATACTTGAGTCCCAAATCTGCCTGTGTTCCTTTTGACTGTAATTAATAGTGCCGTTTGGTGTTCTGGGGTACAAATCATAGGGCTGCTCAATGTCACACATTTCCTTGTTTGTATATTCCCTTGATCAATGTCATCAACAGCGTAAGGACTAGAGCCTTTACCATAAGCTCATATTCATATTTTTCTTAAACAATGTGTGTGTGTGCATGTACATGTGTAGGTGAGTGTTAATTTCTCACCTTTTAAACCATAATTCAAAATCTAGGTGACATGTTCCAATAGCTGATAAGCATTTCATAGTATGGTAGGTCAGGTTTACCATGTAATGTCTTTGATAATGCCTCCTTTTATATGAGAGAAGTTTCAATGGAGTCCTGCTGAGGAAGTAAATCAACAGGGGGCAAGTAGTTTGACCCTTCCAGCCAGAGAGAGAATTTGGTAAGTTTTTAGACAGGTTACTGACTGCCCTTTAGAGGTTCTGTAACTCCTTTCAGCTGGGGCTTGTATTTCATGTGTGAGAGGGCTACATTATCATAATCCATTTTTTGTTTTTATGTTATCTATCAGCAGCTCTTATAAGGCTGCTTTCTGAAGGGTATTCCCCATTTACTTGCTGTAATTCACCTTCTTTATTTCTTTAATCATGAAATTGATGTTTTGCAACCAGAGGGAGGCATTATATGTAAGTTGTTTGTGGAGGTGATACAGGGAAGAAAATTAGTGGTAAAATTAAGAACAAAAAATGGCGGTGGAAGGAAATTCATGAATAGACATCGCCTCAGTGCCATAGGAAGATGTGCTCAAGAAGCGTGTTAGACCCGAAGATCCTGGAAGAATGTCAGGCTCATGATAATTATAATTATGATATGTCTGTGGCTGATGCTGAAAAGTGCTCATGACACACTAACAAGTTTTTACTTAAGTGATTCTATTTGGTAGAAAATACCCAGATTTACCCTAACATGTAAAAAAGGTACTATCTTAAAATGTGTCTACCTATTAAACAGTGATTCCTCAGGCAGTCCTCAAACTGAAATCAGTGGAAATGTGTAAAATTGTTGATGCACTCATGTTACCATCTGAGTCTTAAAACATTTGACGTATTTTTTTATTTATACAATTTTACACACCTGAAAAGATAATGCAAATAGGATTACTTTTGCAAATTGTTAATACCTTACAAAATTTCTTGGAAATTTTTATTTAAATTTTTAAACATCCTTTTTTATTCAAGGGAAAAAATTCCAGCCTATCTCATTCTCTCATATAATACGCCATTTTCCTTAACAGTTCTTTTTCTAAATTTTTATTTTGTGAGTACATAGTAGGTATATATATTTGTTGAGTACATGACATATTTTGGTACAGGCGTGCAATGCATAATAGCATGGAGAATGGGGTATCCATCTTCTCAAGCATTCATCTTTTGTGTTACAAACCATCCAATTATAGTCTTACAGTCCTTTTAAAATGTACAGTTATTATGGACTATAGTCACCCTGTTGTGCTACCAAACACTAGGTCTTATTCATGCTTTCTATTTTTTGTGCCCATTAACCAACTCCCATCTCCACCTCCTTGCCACTACCCTTCCCAACCTCTGGCAACCATCCTTCTACTCTCTATCTCCACAAGTGTAATCGTTTTGAATTTTAGATCCCACAAATAAGTGAGAACATCAATGTTTTTCTTTGCCTGGCCTATTCCAATTAACATAATGACCTCCAGTTCCATCCATGTTGTTGCAGATGACAGGATCTCACTCTCTTCTGTGGCTGAATATACACAACTCCATTGTGTATATGTACCACATGTTTTTATCCATTCATCTGTTGATGGACACTTAGGTTGCTTCCACATCTTGGCTATTGTGAACAGTGCTGCAACAAACATGGGAATGCAGACATCTCTGAGAATCTAATGTCCTTTCTTTGGGGTATATACCTAGCAATGGGATTGCTGGATCATATGGAAGATCTAGTTTTTTTGAGGAACCTCCAAACTGTGCTCCATGGTAGTTTTATTAATTTATGTTTCCACCAACAGTGTAGAGGGTTCCCTTTTCTCCATATGCTCAACAGCATTTGTTATTGCCTGTTCTTTGGATAAAAGCCATTTTAACTGGGGTGAGATGATATCTCACTGTAGTTTTGAATTGCATTTCTCTGATGATCAGTGATGTTGAACTTCTTTGTATGCCTGTTTGGCATTTATATGTCTTCTTTTGAGGAAATGTCTGTTCAAATCTTCTGCCTATTTTTAAGTTGGATTATTAGATTTTTTTTCCTATAGTGTTTTTTGAGCTCCATATATACTCTGGTTATTAATGTTTTGTCAGATGGGTAGCTTGCAGATATTTTCTCCCATTCTGTCAGTTATCTGTTCACTTTGTTGTTTCCTTTGTTGTGCAGAAGCTTTTTGACTTGATGCCAGCCCATTTGTTCATGTTTGCTTTGGTTCCCTGTGCTTTTGGGGCATTGCTCAAAAAAATCTTTGCCCAATCCAATGTCCTAGAGAGTTTCCCTGTGTTCTTGTAGTAGTTTCATAATTTGAGGTCTTAGATTTATGTCTGATCCATTTTGATTTGATTTTTGTATATGGCAAGAGACAGGGGTCTAGTTTCATGCTTCTGCATATCGACATCTAGTTTTGCCAAAGCCATTCATTGAAGAGACTGTCTTTTTCCTTGGTGTATGTTCTTAGCACCTTTGTTGAAAATAAGTTTACTGTAGGTGTGTAGATTTGTTTCTGGGTCTTTACTCTGTTGCATTGGTCTATGTGTCTGTTTTTATGCCAGTACAATTCTCTCTTGGTTATTATAGCTCTGTTGCATAGTTTGAGGTCAGGAAATGTGATTCTTCCAGTTTTGTTCTGTTTACTTAGGATAGCTTTGGCTGTTCTGGGTCTTTTGTGGCTCCATGTAAATTTTAGAATTGTTTTTTCTTTTACTGTGAAGAATGTCATTGGTATTTTGAGAGGGATTGCATTGAATCTGTAGATTGCTTTGGGTAGTGTGGACATTTTAACAACATTGTCTCTTCCAATTCAAGAACATTAAATATGTTTCCATTTTTTGTGTCCTCTTATTATCAGTGTTTCATAGTTTTCATTATAGAGATCTTTCACTTCTGTGTTTAACTCCTAGGTATGTAATTTTATTTGTGGCTATTGAAAATGAGATTACCTTTTTGGTTTCTTTTTCAGATTGTTTGCTGTCAGCCTATAGAAATGCTACGGAGTTTTGTATATTGATTTTGCACCCTGCAACTTAAATCAATTTGTTTGTCAGTTCTAATAGGTTTTTGTTTGTGTGTGAAGTCTTTAGGTTTTTCCAAAGACAAGATCATATCATCTACAAATAAGGATAATTTGACTTCTTCCTTTCCAATTTGGATGCACTTTATTTCTTTCTTTTGTCTGATTGTTCTAGCGAGAACTTCCAGTAGTATCTTGAATAACTGTTGTGAAAGTGGGCATCTCTGCCATGTTCCACATCTTAGAGGAAAGGTTTTCAGTTTTTCTTCATTTAGTATGATACTAGCTGTGGGTCTGTTATACATGGTTTTTATTATGTTGATGTAGGTTCCTTTTATACCCAGTTTTTTGAGGGCTTTTATCATGAAGGGATGCTGAAGGGAACTTCACCAGATGCTTTCTCAGCATCAATTGAAATGATCATATGGTTTTTGTCTTTCATCCTGTTGATATGATGTATCACACTGATTGATTTGCATATGTTGAACCATCCTTGCATCCCTGGGATAAATTTCACTTGGTCATGATGAATGATTTTTTTAATATATTGTCGAATTCTGGTATCTAATAGTTTGTTAAATTTTTTATATCTATGTATATCACAGGTATTGTCCTATAGTTTTGTTTCTTTGACACCTCTTTGCTTTTTGTATCAGTTTAATACTGGCCTTCTAGAATGAGTTTGGAAGTATTCCCTCCTCTATTATTTGAAGTGGTTTGAGTAGGATTGGTATTAATTCTTTAAATGTTTAGTAGAATTCAGCAGTGAAGCCATTGGGCCTGGGCTTTTCTTTACTGGGAGACTTTTTATTATGGCTTTGATCCCATTACTTGTTATTGGTAGGTTGTAGATATTTTTTCATGATTCAATCTTTGTAGATTGTATGTGCTTAGGAATTTATCCACTTCCCCTACATTTTCCAAGTTAGCAGCGTATAGTTGCTCATGGTAGCCACTAACAATCTTTAAGTTTCTGTAGTATTAGTTGTAATGTCTTTTTTTTCGTCTCTGATTTTATTTCCCTGGGTCTTCTCCCTTTTTTTCTTTGTTAGTCTAGCTAAAGGTTGTCAATTTTGTTTATCCTTTCAGAAAAACAACTTTTTGTTTAATCTTTTGTATTCTTATTTCAAATTCATTAATGTGTGTTCTGATCATTTTTATATCTTCCACTAATTTCAAATTTGGTTTGCTCTGGATTTTCCAGTTCTTTAAGATGCATTATTGTGTTGTTTATTTGAAGTTTTTCTTCTTTCTTGATGTAGGCAATTATAGCTATAAACTTCTCTCTAGTACTGCTTTTGCTGTATCCCATAGGTTTTAATATGTTATGTTTTTATTATCACAAGTTTCTAGAAGTTTTTCAGTTTCCTTCTTAATTTCTTCATTGACCCACTGGTTCTTCAGGAACATATTGTTTAATTTCCATTTGTAAATATCTATTAGGTCCATTTATTTTGTAGTCCAGACTAGGTCTGATTTTTCTTTGTCAATTTTCTTTCTGGGACATATGTTCAATGCTGAAAGTGGGATGTTGAAGTTCCCAGCTATTATTGTATTTAGGTCTATCTTTTTAGCTGTAATAATATTTGCTTTATATATCTGGGTGCTCCAGTGGAGGGTGCATATGTACTTAGAACCATTGTATCCTCTTGCTGAATTGACCCCTTTATCATTATATAATGACTTTTTTCTCTTACAATTTTTGTTTTGAAATCTATTTTGTCTGATATAAGTATAGCTATTCCTGCGCTTTTTTGGTTTCCTTTGCCATGGAATATTTTTTTCCATTCATTTATTTTTGGCCTATGTGTATCTTTATAGATAAAGTGTGCTTCTTGTAGGCAACAGATCACTGGGTCTTGCTTGTTCATCCATTAGGCAACTCTGTGTCTTTTTATTGGAGAATTTAGTCCATTTCCATTCAATGTTATTATTGATATGTAAACACACCTAGCATTTTGTTATTTGTTTTCTAGTTGTTTTCAAGTCTTCTTTTCTTCCTCCCTATCTTCCTTTTAGTAAAAGTGATTTTCTCTGGCGGTATAATTTCTTGCTTTTTTTGTGTGTGTATCCATTGTGTTTTTCAATATGAGGTTATTATGAGGTTTGCAGATACTATCTTAAAACCCATTAAACTGATGACAACATAATTGCATAAACAAACACACAAAAAAACTAATAAAAACTCTACACTGTAACATTATCTCCCAAGTTTTTAACTTTTTATTGCCTCTCTTTATGTCTTATTGTACTGTGTATGTCTTGAGAAGTTGTGGTTATTGATTTTGTTTGGTTCATTTAGTCTTTCTACTTAAGATAAGAGTAGTTTCACACCACAATTAACAGTGTTACACTATTCTGGGGGTTTTGTGTGTTTACTATTAGCAGTGAGTTTTGGTCCTTCTGATGATTTCTTATTGCTGATTAATGTCCTTTCCTTTCAGATTGAAGAACTCCCTTTAGCTTTTTTTTGTAGGGCAGGTCTGGTGCTAATGAAATTCCTCAGTTTTTGTTTCTCCTTCATGATTGAAGGATATTTTTGCCAGATATACTATTCTAGAGTAAAAGTTGTTTTTCTTCAGTACTCTAAATATGTCATACCATTCTCTCCTGGCCTGTAAGGTTTGCACTGAAAGCTTTCCATCTGCTGTCAGGTATATTGTAGCTCCATTGTATGTTATTTGCTTCTTTTCTCGTGTTGCTTTTAAGATCCTTTCTTTATTCTTGACCTTCA
This sequence comes from Homo sapiens, assembly GCF_000001405.40. Classification (NCBI taxonomy): domain Eukaryota; kingdom Metazoa; phylum Chordata; class Mammalia; order Primates; family Hominidae; genus Homo; species Homo sapiens. The sequence continues at coordinate 12,166,085 of NC_000018.10, forward strand.
AGAGTTTGGTTATTAAATGCCTGGAGGTAGTCTGTTTTGGATTAAATCTGCTTGGTGTTCTATAACCTTTCTGTACTTGGATGTTGATATCTTTTCCCAGGTTTCGGAAGTTCTCAGATATTATTCTTTTGAATAAACTTTCTACCCTATCTGTTTCTCTGCCTCCTACTGAAGACCAATAATTCTTAGATTTGCCCTTTTGAGGCTATTTTCTGTATCTTGTATGTGTGCTTTATTCTTTTTAATTTTTTGACTTAACTGGTTGTATTTTCAAACATCCTATCATGAAGCCCACTGATCCTTTCTTCTGCTTTATCAGTTCTGCTATTAAGAGACTCTTATACATTCTTCAGTATGTCAATTTTTCAGCTCCAGAATTTCTGCTTCTTTTTAATAATTTTAATATCATTGTTAAATTTATCTAATAAAATTCTGAATTGCTTCTCTGTGTTACCTTGAATTTTTTTTTAGTTTCCTCGAAACACCCACTTTGAATTCTCAGTCTGAAAAGTCACATATCTCTGTTTTTCCAGGATTGGTCCTTGGTGCCTTATTTAGTTCATTTGGTGAGGTCATTTTTTTCCTAAATGGTCTTGATACTTGTAGCTGTTTATCATTGTTTGGGCATTGAAGAGTTAAGTATTTATTTATTTGTTATACTTTAAGTTCTAGGGTACATGTGCCCAATGTGCAGGTTTGTTACATACGTATACCTGTGCTGTGTTGGTTTGCTGCATCCATTAACTCATCATTTACATTAGGTATTTCTGCTAATGCTATCCCTCCCCCAACCCCCACCCCATGACAGGCCCCAGTGTGTGATGTTCCCTGCCCTGTGTCCAGGTGTTCTCATTGTTCAGTTCCCACCTATGAGTGAGAACAGGTGGTGTTTGGTTTTCTGTCCTTGCAATAGTTTGCTCAGAATGATGGTTTCCAGCTTCATCCATGCCACCACAAAGGACATGAACTCATCTTTTTGTATGGCTGCATAGCATTCCACGGTGTACATGTGCCACATTATTTTTTTAGGTTATACTAAGTTTTTTAAATTTTATTTTTTCTTTATTATACTTTAAGTTCTAGGGTACATGTGCACAATATGCAGGTTTGTTACGTATGTATACATGTGCCGTGTTGGTTTGCTGCACCCATTAGCTCATCATTTACATTAAGTATTTCTCCTAATGGTATCCCTCCCCCATTCCCCCACCCCGTGACAAGCCCTGGTGTGTGATGTTCCCTGCCCTGTGTCCAAGCGTTCTCATTGTTCAGTTCCCACCTATGAGTGAGAACATGTGGTGTTTGGTTTTCTGTCCTTGTGATAGTTTGCTCAGAATGATGATTTCCGGCTTCATCCATGTCGCTACAAAGGACATGAACTCATCCTTTTTTATGGCTGCATAGTATTCCATGGTGTATATGTGCCACATTTTCTTAATCCAGTCTATCATTGATGGACATTTGGGTTGGTTCCAAGTCTTTACTATTGTGAATAGTGCCACAATAAACACATGTGTGCATGTGTCTTTATAGGAACATGATTTATAATCCTTTGCGTATATACCCAGTAATAGGATCACTAGGTCAAATGGTATTTCTAGTTCTAGATCCTTGAGGAATCGCCACACCGTCTTCCACAATGGTTGAACTAGTTTACACTCCCAAAAGTGTAAAAGCATTCCTATTTCTCCATATCCTCTCCAGCATCTGTTGTTTCCTGACTTTAAGGATTGCCATTCTAACTGGTGTGAGATGGTATCTCATTGTGGTTTTGATTTGCATTTCTCTGATGGCCAGTCATGATGAGCATTTTTTCATGTGTCTATTGGCTGCATAAATGTCTTCTTTTGAGAACTATCTATTCATATGCTTTGCCCACTTTTTGATGGGGTTGTTTGATTTTTTTTTCTTGTAAATTTGTTTGAGTTCTTTGTAGGTTCTGGATATTAGCCCTTTGTCCAATGGGTAGATTGCAAAAATTTTCTCCCATTCTGTAGGTTGCCTGTTCACTCTGATGGTAGTTTCTTTTGCTGTGGAGAAGCTCTTTAGTTTAATTAGATCCCATTTGTCAATTTTGGCTTTTGTTGCCATTGCTTTTGGTGTTTTAGTCATGAAGTCCTTGCCCATTCCTATGTCCTGAATGGTATTGCCTAGGTTTTCTTCTAGGGTTTTTATGGTTTTAGGTCTAACATTTAAGTCTTTAATCCATCTTGAATTAATTTTTGTATAAGGTGTAAGGAAGGGATCCAGTTTCAGCTTTCTACATATGGCTAGCCAGTTTTCCCAGCACCATTTATTAAATAGGGAATCCTTTCCCCATTGCTTGTTTTTGTCAGGTTTGTCAAAGATCAGATAGTTGTAGATATGTGGCATTATTTCTGAGACCTCTGTTCTTTTCCATTGATCTATATCTCTGTTTTGGTACCATTACCATGCTGTTCTGATTACTGTAGCCTTGTAGTATAGTTTGAAGTCAGGTAGCATGATGCCTTCAGCTTTGTTCTTTAGGCTTAGGATTGTCTTGGCAATGAAGGCTCTTCTTTCATTCCATGTGGACTTTAAAGTAGTTTTTTCCAATTCTGTGAAGAAAGTCATTGGTAGCTTGATGGGGATGGCATTGAATCTATAAATTACCTTGGGCAGTATGGCCATTTTCACGATATTGATTCTTCCTAACCATGAGCGTGGGAAGTTCTTCCATTTGTTTGTGTCCTCTTTTATTTCGTTGAGCAGTTGTTTGTAGTTCTCCTTGAAGAGGTCCTTCACATCCCTTGTAAACTGGATTCCTAGGTATTTTATTCTCTTTGAAGCAACTGTGAATGGAAGTACACTCATGATTTGGCTCTGTTTGTCTGTTACTGGTGTATAAGAATGCCTGTGATTTTTATACATTGATTTTGTATCCTGAGACTTTGCTGAAGTTGCTTATCAGCTTAAGGAGATTTTGGGCTGAGACGACGAGGTTTTCTAAGTATACGATCATGTCATCTGCAAACAGGGACAATTTGACTTCCTCTTTTCCTAATTGAATATCTCTTATTTCTTTATCTTGCCTGATTGCCCTGGCCAGGACTTCCAACACTATGTTGAATAGGAATGGTGAGAGAGGGCATCCCTGTCTTGTGCGTTTTCAAAGGGAATGTTTCCAGTTTTTGCCCTTTCGGTATGATATTGGCTGTGGGTTTATCATAGATAGCTCTTATTATTTTGAGATATGTGCCATCAATACCTAGTTTATTGAGAGTTTTTAGCATGAAGGGCTGTTGAATTTTGTTGAAGGCCTTTTCTGCATCTATTGAGATAATCATGTGGTTTTTGTCTTTGGTTCTGTTTATGTGATGGATTACATTTATTGATTTGCGTATGTTGAACCAGCCTTGCATCCCAGGGATGAAGCCAACTTGATCTTGGTGGATAAACTTTTTGATGTGCTGCTGGTTTCTGTTTGCCAGTATTTTCTTGAGGATTTTTTGCATCAATGTTCAACAGAGATATTGGTCTAAAATTCTCTTTTTTTGTTGTGTCTCTGCCAGGCTTTGGTATCAGGATGATGCTGGTCTCATAAAATGAGTTAGGGAGGATTCCCTCTTTTTCTATTGATAGGGGTAGTTTCAGAAGGAAGGGTACCAGATCCTTTTTGTACCTCTGGTAGAATTCGGCTGTGAATCCGTCTGGTCCTGGACTTTTTTTGGTTGGTAGGCTATTATTGCCTCAGTTTCAGAGCCTGTTATTGGTCTATTCAGCAATTCAACTTCTTCCTGGTTTAGTCTTGGGAGGGTGTATGTGTCCAGGAATTTATCCATTTCTTCTAGATTTTCTAGTTTATTTGCATAGAGGTGTTTATAGTATTCTCTGATGGTAGTTTGTATTTCTGTGGGATCAGTGGTGATATCCCCTTTATCATTTTTTATTGCATCTATTTGATTCTTCTGTCTTTTCTTCTTTATTAGTCTTGCTAGAGGACTATCAGTTTTGTTGGTCTTTTCAAAAAACTAGCTCCTGGATTCATTGATTTTTTGAAGGGTTTTTTGTATCTCTATCTCCTTCAGCTCTGCTCTGATCTTAGTTATTTCTTGCCTTCTGCTAGCTTTTGAATGTGTTTGTTCTTGCTTCTCTAGTTCTTTTAATTGTGATGTTAGGGTGTCAATTTTAGATCTTTCCTGCTTTCTCTTGTGGGCATTTAGTGCCATAAATTTCCCTCTACACACTGCTTTGAATGTGTCCCAGAGGTTCTGGTATGTTGTGTCTTTGTTCTCATTGGTTTCAAAGAACATCTTTATTTCTGTCTTCATTTCGTTATGTATCCAGTAGTCATTCAGAAGCAGGTTGTTCAGTTTCGATGTAGTTGTGTGGTTTTGAGTGAGTTTCTTAATCCTGAGTTCTAATTTTATTGCACTGTGGTCTGAGAGACAGTTTGTTATAATTTCTGTGCTTTTGCATTTGCTGAGGAGTGTTTTACTTCCAACTATGTGGTCAATTTTGGAGTAAGTGCAATGTGGTGCTGAGAAGAATGTATATTCTGTTGATTTGGGGTGGAGAGTTCTGTAGATGTCTATTAGGTCTCCTTGTTGCAGAGCTGAGTTCAAGTCCTGGATATCCTTGTTAACCTTCTGTCTCGTTGATCTGTCTAAAGTTGACAGTGGTGTGTTAAAGTCTCCCATTATTATTGTGTGAGAGTCTAAGTCTCTTTGTAGGTCTCTAAGGACTTGCCTTATGAATCTGGGTGCTCTTGTATTGGGTGCACATATATTTAGAATAGTTAGCTCTTCTTGTTGAATTGATCCCTTTACCATTATGTAATGGCCTTCTTTGTCTCTTTTGATCTTTGTTGGTTTAAAGTCTGTTTTATCAGAGACTAGGATTGCAACCCCTGCTTTTTTTTTTTTTTTGCTTTCTATTTCCTTGGTAGATCATCCTCCATCCCTTTATTTTGAGCGTATGTGTGTCTCTGCACGTGAGATGAGTCTTCTGAATACAGCACACTGATGGGTCTTCATTCTTTATGCAATTTGCCAGTCTGTGTCTTTTAATTGGAGCATTTAGCCCATTTACATTTAAGGTTAATATTGTTATATGTGAATTTGATCCTGTCATTATGATGTTAGCTGGTTATTTTGCCCGTTAGTTGATGCAGTTTCTTCCTAGCATCGATGGTCTTTTTACTTTGGCATGTTTTTGCAGTGGCTGGTACCGGTTGTTCCTTTCCATGTTTAGTGCTTCCTTCAGGAGCTCTTGTAAGGCAGGCCTGGTAGTGACAAAATCTCTCAGCATTTGCTTCTCTGTAAAGGATTTTATTTCTCCTTCACTTATGAAACTTAGTTTGGCTGGATATGAAATTCTGGGTTGAAAATTCTTTTCTTCAAGAACGTTGAATATTGGCCCCCACTCTCTTCTGGCTTGTAGGGTTTCTGCCGAGAGATCCGCTGTTAGTGTGATGGGCTTCCCTTTGTGGGTCAACCCAACCTTTCTCTCTGGCTGCTCTCAGCCTTTTTTCCTTCATTTTAACCTTGGTGAATCTGACAATTATGTGTCTTGGGGTTGCTCTTCTCGAGGAGTATCTTTGTGATGTTTTCTGTATTTCCTGAATTTGAATGTTGGCCTATCTTGCTAGGTTGGGGAAGTTCTCCTGGGTAATATCCTGCAGAGTGTTTTCCAACTTGGTTCCATTCTCCCTGTCACTTTCAGGTACACCACTCAGACGTAGATTTGGTCTTTTCACATAGTCCCTTATTTCTTGGAGGCTTTGTTCATTTCTTTTTACCCTTTTTTCTCTAAACTTCTCGCTTCATTTCATTAATTTGATCTTCAATCACTGATACCCTTTCTTCCACTTGATCGAATTGGCCACTGAAGCTTGTGCATGTATCACGTGGTTCTCATGCCATGGTTTTCAGCTCCATCAGGTCATTTACGGTCTTCTCTGTGATGTTTATTCTAGTTAGCCATTCATCTAATCTTTTTTCAAGGTTTTTAGCTTCTCTGGGATGGGTTTGAACATCCTCCTTTAGCTCAGAGAAGTTTCTTATTACTGATCATCTGAAGCCTTCTTCTCTCAACTCGTCAAAGTCATTCTCCGTCCAACTTTGTTCCCTTGCTGGCGAGGAGCTGTGTTCCTTTGGAGGAGAAGAGGCACTCTGATTTTTAGAATTTTCAGCTTTTCTGCTCTGGTTTCTCCCCATCTTTGTGGTTTTATCTACCTTTGGTGTTCGATGATGGTGATGTACAGATGGGGTTTTGGTGTGGATGTCCTTTCTCTTTGTTGGTTTTCCTTCTAACAGTCAGGTCCCTCAGCTGCAGGTCTGTTGGAGTTTGCTGGAGGTCCACTCCAGACCCTGTTTGCCTGGGTATCACTAGTGGAGGCTTGCAGAACAGCAATGTTGCTTCCTGATCCTTCCTCTGGAAGCTTCATCTCAGAGGGCCACCCTGCCATATGAGGTGTCAGTCGGCCCCTACTGGGAGGTGCCTCTCAATTAGGCTACTCGGGGGTCAGGGACCCACTTGAGGAGGCAGTCTGTCCGTTCTCAGATCCGTGCTGGGAGAACCACTACTCTCTTCAAAGCTGTTAGACAGGGATGTTTAAGTTTCTGCTGCCTTTTGTTCAGCTATGCTCTGTCCCCAGAGGTGGAGTCTACAGAGGCAGGCAGGCCTCCTTGAGCTGCAGTGGGCTCCACCCAGGTCAAACTTCCCAGCGGCTTTATTTACCCACTCAAGCCTCAGCAATGGCAGACTCCCCTCCCCCAACCTCACTGCCACCTTGCAGTTTGATCTCAGACTGCTGTGCTAGCAGTGAGTGAGGCTCCATGGGCGTGGGACCCTCTGAGCCATGCATGGGATATAATTTGCTGGTGTGCCATTTGCTAAGACCATAGGAAAAGCGCAGTATTAGGGTGGGAGTATCCCAGTTTTCCAAGTACCATCTGTCATGGCTTCCCTTGGCTAGGAAAGAGAATTCTCTGACTGCTTGTGCTTCCTGGGTGACCCAATGCCCCACCCTGCTTTGGTTCATGCTCCATGGGCTGCACCCACTGTCCGACAAGCCCCAGTGAGATGAACCCGGTACCTCAGTTGGAAATGCAGAAATCACCTGTCTTCTGCATTGCTCACGCTGGGAGCTGTAGACTGGAGCTGTTCCTATTCAGCCATCTTGGAACCTCCCGCCAACAATGTCTTTTTGTCCTTTTTGATCTATGTTGGCTTAAAGTCTGTTTTGTCTGAAACTCAGATTGCAACCCTTGCTTTTTTCTGTTTTCCATTTGCTTGGTCGATTTTTCTCCATCCCTTTATTTTGAGCCTATGTGTGTCATTGCATGTGAAATCTGTCTCTTGAAGGCAGCATGCCAATGGGTCTTGCTTTTTTATCCAGCTTGCCACTCTGTGCCTTTTAAGTAGGGCATTTAGCCCATTTATATTGAAGGTTAGTATTAATATGTGTGAATTTAATCCTGTCGTCATGATGTTAGCTGGTTATTTTGCAGACTTGTTTATGTGGTTGCTTTATAATGCCACTGGCCTGTGTATGTCAGTGTGTTTTTGTAGTGGCTGGTAACAATCTTTTCATATTGAGTGCTCTTATCAGGAGCTCTTGCAAGGCAGGTCTGGTGGTGACAAATTCTCACAGCATTTGCTTATCTGAAAAGGATCTTATTTCTCCTTTATTTATGAAGCTTAGTTTGGCTGGTTATGAAATTCTGGGTTGGAAATTCTTTTCTTTAAAAATGTTGAATATTGGCCTTCACATCTCTTTGGCTTGTAGGGGTTCTGGCTGAAAGGCCTGTCATTAGTCTGATGGATTTCCCTTTGTAGGTGAGCTGACCTTTCTCTCTAGCTGCCTTTAACATTTTTCCTTTCATTTCAACCTTGGAGAGTATCTGATAATTATGTGTCTTTGGGGTGGTCTTCCTATGGGGTATCTTACTGGCATTCTGTACATTTCCTATATTTGAATGTTGGCTTCTCTAGCTAGGTTGGGGAAGTTCTCATGGATAATATCCTGAAATATGTATTCCAAGTTGCTTCCATTCTCTTCATCTCTTTCAGGGACACGAATGAGGCATAGATTTGGTCTCTTTATGTAATCCCATATTTCTCAGAGGTTTTGTTCATTCCTTTTTATTCTTGTTTTTCTTTCTGTTCTTGTCTGACTGTTTTATTTCAGAAAGCCAGTCTTCAAGCTATGAGATACTTTCCTCCACTTGGTCTGTTCTGCTATTAATACTTGGGATTGCGTTATGAAATTCTTTTAATGTGCCTTTCAGCTCTATCAGGTCAGTTACATTCTTTTCTATACTGACTATTTTGTCTGTCAGCTCGTGCGTTGTTTTATTGTGATCCCTAGAGTCCTTGGATTAGGTTTCAACATACTCCCGTAGCTCAGTGATTTTCATTTCTATCCATAGTCTGAGTTCTGCTTCTGTCATTTCAGCTGTTTCAGCCTAGTTCAGAACCCTTGTTGGAGAGGTAATGAGGTCATTTGGAGGAAAGAAGGCACTCTGACTTTTTGAGTTGCCGTGGTTCTTTCACTGGTGTTTTCTCATCTTTGTGGGCTTACTTTCCTTCAATCTTTGAGGTTGCTGACCTTTGAATTTTCTTCTTTTATCCTAGTTGATGACCTTAAGGGTTTGAGTGTGGTATAAGGTGGTTTCAGCCCACTGGCTTCATTTCTGGAAGATTTTATGGGCCCAATGTTCAGCTCCCAACTCCTGAACTACCTGTGCTAACTCTGGGGAATTTGTATTGGGCCCAGACTTTGTTCTCTGGCTCCTTGAGGTTAAGAATTCACTGCTCTGGGGGGTGTAAGGTGCTTGCAGAACGTTGGTCACTACACTCCAATGGGTGGTGCCAGCCAAAGAGTTTTATAGTGCAGTGACAGCAGGATTCTCATTTGCATGTGCCAGCAGCAGCAGTAGCAGCAGCATAGTGGGGTGCACACTCATCAACTGCAGCAGGGTGCTGTTGGGTGCCAGTGTGCCTGCCCCGCTGTGGGCATTCACCACAGTGGCAGAGGCAACACAGCTCAGGGAAGGGTAGGGGGCTGCTGCTGGCGACTGTGTATGTGGTTGCATTGGTGATGGTGTTGCCTTGGGAGCACTGGCGGGCTCAGGTCTGTGCCTTCTCTGTATTGCATGAGCAGTAGTGGTCACTCAGGGCAGGAGAGGATCTGCTGTTCTCTGTACCTAGTTTCACTCCCACGGCAGTGTTGTCACAAGGGCAGGGTAGGGCACTGGTGGTGGGAGTGGAGCTCGCTGGCTGTGTGCCCACCAAGGCTTTTTCTAAATGGTGGTCAGCAGCGGGAGGGCGGCTGACTGCACTCTTGCTGCAGCAGTGACAGGGTGGGGTGTATGCACACATGCATGTGGGTCGGACAAGGAAAGCAAAACCCGTCCCCACAGACATGCTCCAGCCAAGCGATGTGGGGAGTTGCTGTGGGCCCAAGGGAAGCTATAGTTTGAGGAGGGAGTATGCAGGCTGGTGCTTTGCCATGGGGGCCTCCCTGTGCTGGAGCCCTCTTCTAGTCAGGCAGGGTCCACCAGCACAGAAGCTATGACCCAAGGCTGCCCTGCAAGCAGGCATGACCAGGCTGGGGCCCCAGGACTTTCAGATTGTAAAGTCAAATGGTGAGAATAATTTATTTTCCTGAAAAGATGACTTAAAATTAGTGGAATGGGCAGCAAGTGAAGTTCATTAGCATCTAAATAGAATTTGTTTTTGCCTTGCATGGAGGAAACTTAGGCACACATAGTGAGGGAGTTTCAAATTGTATTCTCCCCCAATAGTTCACTTTTCAATCTCAGGATGCTCTTTAATTAAAAATTAAACAGGATTTTAGGCCAGGCACGGTGGCTCACACCTGTAATCCCTGCACTTTGGGAGGCCGAGGTGGATGAATCACTTGAGGTCAGGAGTTCAAGACTAGCCAGGCCAACATGGTGAAACCCTGTCTCTACTAAAAATAGAAAAATTGGCCGGGCATGGTGGCGCATGCCTGTAATCCCAGCTACTCGGAAGACTGAAGCAGAAGAATCACTTGAACCTGGGAGGCAGAGGTTGCAGTGAGCTGAGACTGTGCTACTGCACTCTAGCCTGGGTGACAGAGTGAGACTCCTTCTCAAAAACGAAAAAAAATTAAACAGGATTTTAAATTAAACCTAAATGGCAGGACAAGGTGTCCTCCAGAGCATGCACCCAAATTGAGTAAACCGCCAAGAGATCTCTCAATGGACTAAACTTTCTGTAACATGTTTGAGAGTGCATTCTAATCATAATTGTAAAAAAGTAGTTAAAATCTATGTTTGAAAATTAAAATTAAACATAGAACCCTGAAAATCTCTATGCAACTTTATCCCACAGAAATTTTGAAAAACAAAACAGAGCACACTCCGTTGTTATTATAGCTTTAAAATATAGCAGAAATAGTGGCTACATTTTTGAAAGTTCAGTAAAGTTCAACTTTCCGAGCCAGAGCTTGCAAAGAGCATAGTTGAGAAGTAGCCCCCAGAAGGGTGTGGCTAACACAGCCTCTGACTTCAGAGTCAGGAGAGCAAAAGGCCTTGCCTACTGCAACTTATTCATGTGAATCAATAACTCTTGTGTTTACCAACATTTTAAACAAACTTGACCATCTAGAGAAGAGTGGGCAGAAATAGTGCTGTGAGGATTGATCTTCCTGTGGTTGTAAAAGCACAATGATCTTGTATAATTTAGTCTATCCTGCCTTTGTAAACTTTGAAAGCATGACGTCTTTATATCAGGATCTAATAATAGCTATTATGATGACTCTTCATTGTCATGAAAAAATATAATTAGGTTTTCATATGGTCTAAGAAGGTAGGAAAACGATGTAAAGATTTGTGAAGGATGTTAACTAAAATAGTTAAAATGAGTCCAGCCATTATGAGCTTAACTCAGGTACCTGGAACATTGGCTTATATGGAACATTAAATTTCTGAAAAAAGCTCAAAAAATGGGACATGCATGTACATATTCCTACCATGAATCTGACTCCACAGGGCTACAAAATATTTAACCTTCATTTCAGGAGTGCTAGTGTGCTTCAGGTAGGTTTCATACAGTTTATTTGTCCTGACAAAAAATCACCCTATCAGCCTTCTCATGAGCATCCAGTGACAGAGATGTGGAAAAGAACCTTCTGTGGGGAGAGTAAAGTTTGAAACAGTGAGGAACAGAGGATGATGTTCGAGAAGCCACAGGAGGAGACACCAGTGGACACCAGCAAGGAGAGGAGCCAGGGAGAAGGAAATGGGGAAGACATTCCTCAAGGAGCAGCTCTGAGCTCCGCGGCTTTGGGGGCCATGGAGTCACAAGAGCTTAAGATGTCCCTTCAGCACCAGCTGGGCATGGGCAATAGTGAGAGGAGAGGGTGGCAGCTATGACATCAGTGTTTGTGTCTTTACCTGCACATGGGGAGAAAATTCCATCTGTTTCCCATAAGTAGGGCCATCTTTGAACAGAAGAGGCAGTTGTGTGTTTCCACAAATGTGGCGACATACATTGTAGGACACGCCAAGACTTTGCTGTAGCCCAGCCATAGGCTCTTAGACTTTGGCGGGTTGTTCTCTTCCCCCTATCCCTTCATTTCTTCTGTCCACCAAAATGTATTGAGTTCATCCTGGGAGCCAGACACTGGTAGGTGCTGGGGATATAGGCAGGAATGTGCTTTCATGAGAGACAAGAAAGCCTGACCTTGCTGCCACAGAAATTTCATTGCACTGTGAGACAGAGATGTGCCAATAGAAAGATCCACATAAGAAGCATAAGAAGAAGCATAAGAAGAGCATAAGAAGCATTAGAACGGGCATGAAAGTTCATCCTCGGAGCCAGACACTGGTAGGTGCTGGGGATATAGGCAGGAATGTGCTTTCATGAGAGACAAGAAAGCCTGACCTTGCTGCCACAGAAATTTCATTGCACTGTGAGACAGAGATGTGCCAATAGAAAGATCCACATAAGAAGCATAAGAAGAAGCATAAGAAGAGCATAAGAAGCATTAGAACGGGCATGAAAGTCCATCCAGGGGACACTTTTTACCCAAATTTGAGAGGCCAGGAGAGCTTCCTGGAGAAAGTGACATGTAAGGCAAGACCTGAAAGACAAACCCAATTACCTGGAGAGGTGAGGAAGGAAGAGGGACAGGTGTTCCAAGAAAGGCAGATAGCATATTGAGGGGAGCAGTGGGAAAGAGAAGGGGAACTCCAGGAACTGAAGTGATCCCCACCACCAGAGCATGGAGTGTGAGTGAAAAGTCTGCAGAGGGCTGGTGACCGGGACCTCTGAACACGGGAGGCCAGACAGTATTCTAAGATCAACGGGAAACCATTGCAAAGTTTCACCCAGAGGAGTAATGTGATCAGATTTGCATCTTAGAACAGTTGTTTTGGCACTTCTGACTGGAAGGGCAAGAATGGCCAGTGTTGTTGTTACCTGAAGGGTAAATGTGGCCCACAATATGAAATGCAGTGAAGAAGGAGACATATGCATATATGTAAGTAAATATAATCGAGGTATATTTAGCAGACAGAATCAATAGACTTGATGAGTGATGGACTGGATGTGTGAGGAGTCTAGATCACTTCCAAGTTGCTGATTTGGGCAACTCAGTACTAATCAATGAAAAAGAAGATCCACAGGGAGGAACTTGTCTAAGGGGTGAGGTGGGGCTGAACAGCTGCGTTTGAGACTGGAGAAGTGTGTGCTGGGCATGGGATGCACAAGTGGAAATGCCTTTGGGTCTGCAGCTCAGACGTGGGCATGACCAGCATAGAGATAGAGAGGCCCCAGGCTGCCAGGTGAGTGTGATCCCCAGGTGATGGTGTCAGCTGAGAAGGGAAGGAAGCCCCTGTGAGGACACTGAAGTGGCGAGGGCAGACAACAAGGAGTCCACAGGAGACAGGAAAGGAAGAACTAGAGGGAGGAGCCAAGCCAGGCATGTGTGGTGACATAGGAACCGAGGGAGAGGACATCTCAAGATTGAGGGGACGCTGCACAACAGGAGGACTGTGTGGTTTTTGGCCACATCCACAGGAAGTCACAACAGGCAAGGAAAAGAAACTGGCAATCAGACATGGAGTTGAGGAGTGAATCAGAGAGGAGATGGGCAGGGACAGCAGGGTGAGGCCTCTTTCTGAGGAAGTTTGGCTAAAGGATAGATCAGCTGGGACACATGCTGGAAGGGTGTATGGGGTGGAGGGAGGAACGGTGGAGGGCAGGAGAGCCTTGAGCCTGAGAGAAGAGTCTCCTAGAATAGAGAAGCCGAGGTTAAAATTGTGGGAGAGAGTGGGGATAACTGAGTGACAGATAATCAGGAGAACAAAAGGAGCTCCAGAATCATGACAGAGAGATGACCTTTGCCAAGAGCACAGCCCCCTCCCCTGTGACAGAGGGGTAGGACAAAACAATTGGTGTTCAAGTGTTGGTTTAACTATGTCCTTTAAAACATTTCTCCACAGACACTGCCCAAAGCAGCCCTTCACTACAGTGGCAGATACACCTGCAAATCTTCGCCTAAAACAGTGACCTGACCAAGCTAACTGCTGCTGCCTGGAACACTGTCCTTACTTTAGAAATGTCGACCAGATTGTAGGATACCCAAACAACCTTTTCAAGCAGAAAGCAAACAGATTAAGAAAGTAGCCAGATGAGTTAGCGAGCCCAACAGTGACTTTTGTTTCTTTTTTTCCCTGTTCCCTTTTCTTTTCATGATAGGAAAGGCTGGACAGGGATGCGTTGCAAAAGCAGTGATCTAGCTTATCTTGCCACCACCCAGGATGGCCCAGGATGTGGGTTCTCCTTGAATGAATGTTTGGCAGTCTGGCAGCCTGACATGGTCTGCCTCCTTCTTTGGTCTGAGCTTGCCCACTGCTTAGAAAGGGCCATGGGCAGTTCTGTCAGGGAGTTTTCCCAACATTGAGAAGGTGACATTTCTACTCCCCGTTGCAGTCTGCACCTCTGACCTGTGGTCAGCAGACAGGACAGAGGCACTCAGTAGACAGAGCTCAGAGGACAGCACTCAGTCCCGGCGGAAGGTTCAATGTCCAGCTTTGCACCCACCCCATGTGACCACAAGCAGGCTCCATGACCTTGTGGGTCAGTTTCCTCACCCTGTTCAGGAGGAATTGTACTACCATCCTGTTAGGAAATTTGTGAGGATCACTGCGTTACTCATGTAAGGTCTTTGGAAAGTGTCATGTTATTGTTTATTAACTGCTTGTTGGTGGCCTGGCTGAGCCACATCCTTTATGAAAACCAGAACCCCTCAGCAGGTGTGGATGTCTGTGCAGCCTGAGACCCTTGTGTGAACAGCCTTCTGGCAGCTGTTTTTTCCCCTTGCCACAATCAGTGCCTCCCTGTCCCCAGGCGTTGCTTTCTCTGCTGGGTGCTGGGTGCTCCACTGTTTTCCTACACCTCAGTTGTCTACAGGTGTATGTCTGTTCTGGAATCTAACTGAGGTGGCATCGATAGCAGTTCTGCTGTGGCACTGCCCTTCTTCTTAGGTTGTCTTTTGAGAGCAAGAGAGGTCCCTTCACATACCCCAAGAACTTACCTGCATTTGCCCACATAGTCTCCATTTAGAAAATGGGAAAAGTCACGTCTGCCTACCTGCCAATGGGGTAAGAGGTAAGTTTCTTGTTGAAATCTGAGCAGAAAAATATGACCAATTCTATACCCATTGAAGACATGTATGAGAAATTAAAACAATTCTTTTTTTTTTATACTTTAAGTTTTAGTGTACATGTGCACAACGTGCAGGTTTGTTACATATATATACATGTGCCATGTTGGTGTGCTGCACCCATTAACTCGTCATTTAACATTAGGTATATCTCCTAATGCTATCCCTCCCCCCCCACCTCACAACAGGCCCCAGTGTGTGATGTTCCCCTTCCTGTGTCCATGTGTTCTTATTGTTCAATTCCCACCTATGAGTGAGAACATGTGGTGTAAAACAATTATTTATGGACTGTACCTCATATAAATTCCTAGAATTAAGTTCTAAAAAAAAATTCAAGGAGGACATAATAATTTTCTATAAATTAGAAAATTCTATACTGTGCAATTAAATAAAATGGCAGCATAGCTTTGAAACTAAAATCAGATAAGGTAAATTGAAGTATGTGATGAATAAAAATACCATAAATTGTGACCAATATGATTTCAAAATATGATATGGTAGATTAACATTGAAAATGCAATAAATAAATTAGCCACCATAAGAGGTTAATAGAGGAAAAATATGATTATTGCAATAGATACGGAAATTCATGGAATAACATTCACCATATATTTACAGGACAACTACCTTATAAACTTTAAATGACTTATTGCAACCATCTGAATTAATGTTGCTTAAACAGCATGTATCTTGGCTGCTTAAAAACCAGATAAGAATTTCCATAACATTAATTTATTTATAACACCATATTGGGTGTGAACCTATCATAAAGTTCACCCAACTATAAAGGTACACAATTGATGATTTATTAAATTGACACTGTGTGTAGCCATCACCATGATCTAACTTAAAAATGTTTGTTTCTCTGGGGGAGAAGCCAAGATGGCCGAATAGGAACAGCTCTGGTCTACAGCTCCCAGCATGAGCGACACAGAAGACGGGGGATTTCTGCATTTCCATCTGAGGTACCAGGTTCATCTCACTAGGGAGTGCCAGACAGTGGGCGCAGGACAGTGGGTGCAGCACACCGTGTGCGAGCCAAAGCAGGGTGAGTCATTGCCTCACTCGGGAAGCACAAGGGGTCAGGGAGTTCCCTTTCCTGGTCAAGGAAAGGAGTGACAGACGGCACCTGGAAAATCGGGTCACTCCCACCCAAATACTGTGCTTTTCTGACGGGCTTAGGAAACGGCACACCAGGAGATTATATCCCGCACATGGCTCGGAGGGTCCTATGCCCACGGAGTTTCGCTGATTGCTAGCACAGCAGCCTGAGATCAAACTGCAAGGCGGCAGCAAGGCTGGGGGAGGGGCGCCCGCCATTGCCCAGGCTTGCTTAGGTAAAGCAGCCAGGAAGCTCAAACTGGGTGCAGCCCACCACAACTCAAGGATGCCTGCCTGCCTCTGTAGGCTCCACCTCTGGGGGCAGGGCACAGACAAACAAAAAGACAGCAGTAACTTCTGCAGACTTAAATGTCCCTGTCTGACAGCTTTGAAGAGAGCAGTGGTTCTCCCAGCACACAGCTGGAGATCTGAGAACAGGCAGACTGCCTCCTCAAGTGGGTCCCTGACCCCTGACCCCCGAGCAGCCTAACTGGGAGGCACCCCCCAGTAGGGGCAGGCTGACATCTCACACGGCCGGGTACTCCTCAGAGACAAAACTTCCAGAGGAACGATCAGACAGCAGCATTCGCGGTTCACGAAAATCCGCTGTTCTGCAGACACCGCCACTGATACCCAGGCAAACAGGGTCTGGAGTGGACCTCTAGCAAACTCCAACAGACCTGCAGCTGAGGGTCCTGTCTGTTAGAAGGAAAACTAACAAACAGAAAGGACATCCACACCAAAAACCCATCTGTACGTCACCATCATCAAAGACCAAAAGTAGACAAAACCACAAAGATGGGGAAAAACAGAGCAGAAAAACTGGAAACTCTAAAAAGCAGAGCGCCTCTCCTCCTCCAAAGGAACGCAGTTCCTCACCAGCAACGGAACAAAGCTGGACGGAGGATGACTTTGACGAGGTGAGAGAAGAAGGCTTCAGATGATCAAACTACTCCGAGCTACAGGAGGAAATTCAAACCAAAGGCAAAGAAGTTGAAAACTTTGAAAAAAATTTAGACGAATGTATAACTAGAATAACCAATACAGAGAAGTGCTTAAAGGAGCTGATGGAGCTGAAAGCCAAGGCTCGAGAACTACGTGAAGAATGCAGAAGCCTCAGGAGCCGATGCGATCAACTGGAAGAAAGGGTTTCAGTGATGGAAGATGAAATGAATGAAATGAAGCGAGAAGGGAAGTTTAGAGAAAAAAGAATAAAAAGAAACGAACAAAGCCTTCAAGAAATATAGGGACTATGTGAAAAGACCAAATCTACGTCTGATTGGTGTACCTGAAAGTGACGGGGAGAATGGAACCAAGTTGGAAAACACTCTGCAGGATATTATCCAGGAGAACTTCCCCAACCTAGCAAGGCAGGCCAACATTCAGATTCAGGAAATACAGAGAATGCCACAAAGATACTCCTTGAGAAGAGCAACACCAAGATGCATAATCGTCAGATTCACCAAAGTTGAAATGAAGGAAAGAATGTTAAGGGCAGCCAGAGAGAAAGGTCGGGTTACCCACAAAGGGAAGCCCATCAGACTAACAGCTGATCTCTCGGCAGAAACTCTACAAGCCAGAAGAGATTGGGGGCCAATATTCAAGCTTCTTAAAGAAAAGATTTTTCAATCCAGAATTTCATATCCAGCCAAACTAAGTTTCATAAGTGAAGGAGAAATAAAATACTTTACAGACAAGCAAATGCTGAGAGATTTTGTCACCACCAGGCCTGCCCTAAAAGAGCTCCTGAAGGAAGCACTAAACATGGAAATGAACAACCGGTACCAGCCGCTGCAAAATCATGCCAAAATGTAAAGACCATCGCGACTAGGAAGAAACTGCATCAACTAACGAGCAAAATAACCAGCTAACATCATAATGACAGGATCAAATTCACACATAACAATATTAACTTTAAATGTAAATGGACTAAATGCTCCAATTAAAAGACACAGACTGGCAAATTGGATAAAGAGTCAAGACCCATCAGTGTGTTGTATTCAGGAAACCCATCTCACGTGCAGAGACACACATAGGCTCAAAATAAAAGGATGGAGGAAGATCTACCAAGCAAACGGAAAACAAAAAAAGGCAGGGGTTGCAATCCTAGTCTCTGATAAAACAGACTTTAAACCAGCAAAGATCAAAAGAGACAAAGAAGGCCATTACATAATGGTAAAGGGATCAATTCAACAACAAGAGCTAACTATCCTAGATATACATGCACCCAATACAGGAGCACCCAGATTCATAAAGCAAGTCCTGAGTGACCTACAAACAGACTTAGACTCCCACACAATAATAATGGGAGACTTTAACACCCCACTGTCAACATTAGACAGATCAATGAGACAGAAAGTTAACAAGGATATGCAGGAATTGAACCCAGCTCTGCACCAAGCAGACCTAATAGACATCTACAGAACTCTCCACCCCAAATCAACAGAATATACATTCTTTTCAGCACCACACCACACCTATTCCAAAATTGACCACATAGTTGGAAGTAAAGCTCTCCTCAGCAAATGTAAAAGAACAGAAATTATAACAAACTGTCTCTCAGACCACAGTGCAAACAAACTAGAACTCAGGTTTAAAAAACTCACTCAAAACCGCTCAACTACATGGAAACTGAACAACCTGCTCCTGAGTGACTACTGGGTACATAACGAAATGAAGACAGAAATAAAGATGTTCTTTGAAACCAACGAGAACAAAGACACAACATACCAGAATCTCTGGGACACATTCAAAGCAGTGTGTAGAGGGAAATTTATAGCACTAAATTCCCACAAGAGAAAGCAGGAAAGATCTAAAATTGACACCCTAACATCACAATTAAAAGAACTAGAGAAGCAAGAGCAAACACATTCAAAAGCTAGCAGAAGGCAAGAAATAAAATCAGAGAAGAACTGAAGGAAATAGAGACAAAAAAAACCCTTTAAAAAATTAATGAATCCAGGAGCTGGTTTTTTGAAAAGATCAACAAAATTGATAGACCGCTAGCAAGACTAATAAAGAAAAAAAGAGAGAAGAATCAAATAGATGCAATAAAAAATGATAAAGGGGATATCACCACCGATCCCACAGAAATACAAACTACCGTCAGAGAATACTACAAACACCTCTACGCAAATAAACTAGAAAATCTAGAAGAAATGGATAAATTCCTCGACACGTACACTCTCCCAAGACTAAACCAGGAAGAAGCTGAATCTCTGAAGTGACCAATAACAGGATCTGAAATTGTGGCAATAATCAGTACCTTACCAAACAAAAAGAGTCCAGGACCAGATGGATTCACAGCCAAATTCTACCAGAGGTACAAGGAGGAACTGGTACCATTCCTTCTGAAACTATTCCAATCAATAGAAAAAGAGGGAATCCTCCCTAACTCATTTTATGAGGCCAGCATCATCCTGATACCAAAGCCTGGCAGAGACACAACAAAAAAAGAGAATTTTAGACCAATATCGTTGATGAACATTGATGCAAAAATCCTCAATAAAATACTGGCAAACCAAATCCAGCAGCACATCAAAAAGCTTATCCACCATGATCAAGTGGGCTTCATCCCTGGGATGCAAAGCTGGTTCAATATACGTAAATCAATAAATGTAATCCAGCATATAAACAGAACCAAAGACAAAAACCACATAATTATCTCAATAGATGCAGAAAAGGCCTTTGACAAAATTCAACAACCTTTCATGCTAAAAACTCTCAATAAATTAGGTATTGATGGGACGTATCTCAAAATAATAAGAGCTATGTATGACAAACCCACAGCCAATATCATACTGAATGGGCAAAAACTGGAAGCATTCCCTTTGAAAACTGGCACAAGACAGGGATGCCCTCTCTTACCACTCTTATTCAACATAGTGTTGGAAGTTCTGGCCAGGGCAATTAGGCAGGAGAAGGAAATAAAGGGTATTCAATTAGGAAAAGAGGAAGTCAAATTGTCCCTGTTTGCAGACGACATGATTGTATATCTAGAAAACCCCATTGTCTCAGCCCAAAATCTCCTTAAGCTGATAAGCAACTTCAGCAAAGTCTCAGGATACAAAATCAGTGTACAAAAATCACATTCTTATACACCAATAACAAACAGAGAGCCAAATCATGAGTGAACTCCCATTCACAATTGCTTCAAAGAGAATAAAATACTTAGGAATCCAACTTACAAGGGACGTGAAGGGCCTCTTCAAGGAGAACTACAAACCACTGCCCAATGAATTAAAGAGGATACAAACAAATGGAAGAACATTCCATGCTCATGGGTAGGAAGAATCAATATCGTGAAAATGGCCATACTGTCCAAAGTAATTTATAGATTCAATGCCATCCCCATCAAGCTACCAGTGACTTTCTTCACAGAATTGGAAAAAACTACTTTAAAGTTCATATGGAACCAAAAAAGAACCCACATCGCCAAGTCAATCTTAAGCCAAAAGAACAAAGCTGGAGGCATCATGCTACCTGACTTCAAACTATACTACAAGGCTACAGTAACCAAAACAGCATGGTACTGGTACCAAAACAGAGATATAGATCAATGGAACAGAACAGAGCCCTCAGAAATAACGCCACATATCTGCAACTATCTGATCTTTGACAAACCTGAGAAAAACAAGCAGTGGGGAAAGGATTCCCTATTTAATAAATGGTGCTGGGAAAACCGGCTAGCCATATGTAGAAAGCTGAAACTGGATCCCTTCCTTACGCCTTATACAAAAATTAATTCAAGATGGATTAAAGACTTAAACGTTAGATCTAAAACCATAAAAACCCTAGAAGAAAACCTAGGCGTTACTATTCAGGACATAGGCATGGGCAAGGACTTCATGTCTAAAACACCAAAAGCAATGGCAACAAAAGACAAAATTGACAAATGGGATCTAATTAAACTAAAGAGCTTCTGCACAGCAAAAGAAACTACCATCAGAGTGAACAGGCCACCTACAGAATGGGAGAAAATTTTCGCAACCTACTCACCTGACAAAGGGCTAATATCCAGAATCTACAATGAACTCAAACAAATTTACAAGAAAAAAACAAACAACCACATCAAAAAGTGAGCAAAGGATATGAACAGACACTTCTCAAAAGAAGACATTTATGCAGCCAAAAGACACATGAAAAAATGCTCATCATCACTGGCCATCAGAGAAATGCAAGTCAAAACCACAATGAGATACCATCTCACAACAGTTAGAATGGACATCATTAAAAAGTCAGGAAACAACAGGTGCTGGAGAGGATGTGGAGAAATAGGAACACTTTTACACTGTTGGTGGGACTGTAAACTAGTTCAACCATTGTGGAAGTCAGTGTGGCGATTCCTCAAGGATCTAGAACTAGAAATACCATTTGACCCAGCCATCCCATTACTGGGTGTATACCCAAAGGACTATAAATCATGCTGCTATAAAGACACATGCACACGTATGTTTATTGTGGCACTATTCACAATAGCAAAGATTTGGAACCAACCCAAATGTTCAACAAGGATAGACTGGATTAAGAAAATGTGGCAAATATACACCATGGAATACTATGCAGCCATAAAAAACGTTGAGTTCATGTCCTTTGTAGGGACATGGATGAAATTGGAAATCATCATTCTCAGTAAACTATCGCAAGGACAAAAAACCAAACACCGCATGTTCTCACTCATAGATGGGAATTGAACAATGAGAACACATGGACACAGGAAGGGGAACATCACACTCTGGGGACTGTGGTGGGGTGGGGGGAGGGGGGAGGGATAGCATTAGGAGATATACCTAATGCTAAATGACGAGTTAATGGGTGCAGCACACCAGCATGGCACATGTATACATATGTAACTAACCTGCACATTGTGCACATGTACCCTAAAACTTAAAGTATAATAAAAAAAAAAAGTTACTCTCACTGAAGTTCTCTCTTGCCCATTTCAATCCCTACTCCCATCTCCAGCCCTAAGCAATACTGCTCTGATATTCTGTCTGTATAAATTTCCCATCTGTGTAATAGAAATGGAATCATACAATATATTATATTGAGGTCTGACTTTAATCATTTAGTTACTATTTTTGAAGTTAATTGATGCTTTAGCTTGTGCCGGTCATGTGTTTTCCTTTTCATTGCTTCATAGTCCATTGTGTGGATATATAAACAGTGTTTATTCATTCATCAGTTGATGGACATTTAATTATTTCTGTTTTTTGTATTATGAATAATGCTGCTTTGAGCATTCATAATACAGTCATGTAATGTATAATAACATTTTGGTCAATGATGGATAGCATGTATGATGGCAGTCCCATAAGATTATGATAGAGTTTAAAAATTCCTATCACCTAGTGTCTTGTAGCTGTCACAAGTGTGTAGCGTAACACATTAGACAGGCATCAGTGATGATGCCGATGGAAAGGAATCTACTGGTTTTCCAGTTATGTTAAAGTACTGTATAGAACATACAACTATGTGCAGTATATAATACTTGGTAGTGAAAATAAATGACTATGTTCCTGGTTTATGTATTTACTGTGCTATACTTTCTATAATTATTTGAGAATATATTCTATCTGCGTATTAAAACAAACCACTTACCTGTAAAACAGCCTCAAGTAGGCCTTTGAGGATGTATGCTAGAAGGTGTTGTTATCGTAAGAGATGACAGCACCATGTGTGTTTCTGCCCCTTCCAGTGGGACAAGATGTGGATTCAGAAGGCAGTGACATTGATGATCCTAATCCTGTGTAGGTCTAGGCTGATGTGTGTGTCTGAGCCTCAGCTGTTAACAAAAAAAGTTTAAAATTTAAAACTTAAATTTTAAAATAGAAAAAATATAGAATAATATTTTAAAAATTTGCACAGCTGTACAATATGTTTATGTTTTAAGGTAAGTGGTATTACAAAATAGTTGTTTTTAAAATTGTTTAAGTTTATAAATTTTAAATGTTACAGTAGGCTAAGGTTAATTGTTGAGTAAATAAAAATAGATTTCTATAAATTTAGGGTAGTCTAAAGATACAATGTTCATAAAGTCTATAGTAGTGTACAGTAAGGTCCTAGGCCTTCACATTCACTCACCATTCACTCACCGAATCATCCAGAGCAACGTCCAGTCCTTTAAGCTCTGTTCATGGTAAAGTGCCCTATACAGATGTACTAATTTTTATATTTTATACCATATTTTATTGTAGCTTTTCTATATTTAGATTTTAGATATATAAATGCTTACCGTTTTGTTACCTTTGCCTGCAGTATTCAGTACAGTTACATGTTGTACAGTTTGAAGCCCAGAGCAATTGGCTGTATCATACAGCCTAGGTGTATAGGGGGCTATGCCATCCAGGTTTATGTAAGTGCACTCTATGATGTCTGCGTAATTACTACATCACTTAACGATGCATTTCTCAGAACACATCACTGTCGTTAAGAGACACATGTCTGTACAAATGACTTTGGAGAATATGCTTTCAGTTCACTTGGAGCATTCCTGGGTGTGGATTTGCTGGACCAAATGGTAAGTTCAAATTTAATTTTTTTTAAGAAACAAGAAAGCTATCTTCTAAATTAGCTGTGCCAATGTACATTTCTACCGTGCTGCATAGTACCAATTTCATACAGTGTATGAAATTGGTACACTGTATGGTAAGCCCTAGCATGTAAGAAATGAATAAAGTAACACATATAAAGATTAGTATAAAGCAAATGAGATTATTATTGTTGTTATTGTCTTTGTCAGATTCTCAGAATAATTAAGAATATATTTTTATATAAATGTGCTTGGCAACATAGCTGAAAACAGCGTTAGTAGTTATATACTTTTATCAGTAACAAAGACATAAATTTTCCGGGAGAAAAACACTTGTAATAACAATGTCAGAATTAACATACAAATTCTGCAAAACATTTTTGGCAGTTTAATTGGGGCAGTGTTTTGTAGACAAATGAACAACTTAAGTAAGGGGAATCAACAAAACTTGGGTTTCAAAAGTTATCTGGGTTTAGAGTGTGAAACTTCGTCGGAGGACACACACCTTGCGTGAATGAGATGCCTCGGTGTGTGTGGACATGTTGGAGGTACAGCATAATGGTGGCTTCCTCCAGAAAGGGACATTTGGGGGAGCACCAATGGCTCCTGTCTCACAGTGGATTCATTCCACCTAGACAACACAGCCTGATGTGGCATGGACATGAATGGAGGTCAAATGGGCAGTAGCTGAGAGGATCAGCCCTGACAAGGGCCAGGGTGAAAGACCTGGGAGTCTCTTCAGGTGCAAAGTCTTCAGTTGAAAAAAGGAGGTGGTCACAGGAGATACTGAGCTGGATCAATAAAGTGCAGGAGAGAGAGTTGTTGGCCCTGGGGAGCGAGTAGTATGGACTCTTAAGTTTTCTCCTCCTTCCATTAATTTCTCTTCCAGTGCAGACTTCAGTCTTAGACTTCCCAGCTGCCTTGAGGGATTGGATGAGCCTTGGCCAGCTCTTGAAGGTAAAGGAAAGCACCTAGCAAGATTGGCATCTGGGCTTGGCTGTGCATGTTTTCTATTCTGGGAAAATATACATAACACAATATTTATTTGAACCTTTTAACCAATGTGTGCACTCAGTGGCATTCAATATATTCACAGTGTTGCATAACCAACACTACTATCTACACCTGAAATTTTGATTATTTCTAACGAAACCTTGAAGACAGTAAGCAATATACTTCCTTTCCCCCTATTTCCAGCCCATGGTAATTTCTTTTTCTTTTCTTTTTTTTTTAGGAAACAATAAAATCACTTTAATGTGCTACTTTTCATTTTGAAGTCATTACAGTATCATTTGCAAAACTCAACAAGGAAAGATGCCTGTGGATGGCCGTGTTCTGGGAGTCACTGTGATGAGGTGCTGCCTGCTTTCGCCCAACCTGATCTGGGGCTCAGACAGCTAACAGGCCCGAGTGGCTAGGAGGTTTGCAGGGAACCAGGTTTCGCTGTGATGAAAGCACCTTGCTGTGGGCTGGGAGGTGGGAGTGCAGGGCAGCCTGGGCCCCCCTGACCCCATACTCAGATCGGCAAGTGCCCAGTGGAGGCCACATGGCCCCAGCACCAACCAATGTAGGGTCTGTGGGTCCCAGCATTTCCACATCCTGAAAAGTGAGACGTGAACTGTTTCCTAGGCAAGTTCTCTTCCACCGTGTTCTGGATGAGGTCTGTGAGCTCCTTCCAGTTTCACAAAGAATGTGCAGAAGGTGGAAAGAGTGAGGGACGCAGGCCCAGCTGCAGCTGCACTCAGACCCCTCAGTCATAAAGTCCGGGTGAGGGGCTGAGTAGGCGCTGACAGGAGAACAGCCCCTGTTCCTCTTCCCTAGCCAGGTTCTCACACGTCCCTGAGGAACTAGAGAGGAACGCCTCTGGGAAGCCCAGCCAGAGCCAACCGGAAGGGCCTTTTGGTGAAGTCTGACATCCTACATTAGTTTCTCTGGACCTGGGTAAGAACCGGCCC
Organism: Homo sapiens; assembly: GCF_000001405.40. Classification (NCBI taxonomy): domain Eukaryota; kingdom Metazoa; phylum Chordata; class Mammalia; order Primates; family Hominidae; genus Homo; species Homo sapiens. The sequence goes on from NC_000018.10 coordinate 12,191,358, forward strand.
CCAGGGGAAGGACTGTTTTGCCAGCACCAACTCTCCAGCTGGGCTGTTGGTTCCCATTGCCTCCCGTCATGGATACAGAAAATCAGCCAGGCTATTCCTAGTGTAGTAAATACAGAGCTGGCTGAGGCAGGGCCAGCTGAGGTGCAAACTGCATGGGGTTTGCTGTCAGTTCGCCAGCCATCTGTCCAGCAGGCCTCAGCTTCACAAACAGGAAAACAGAAGGAGTGCATCTACTCACTGGGTGTCACACTGCCCCTGCTCACAGCCACCACCTGCATCGAGGCAACCTGCAGGCGGGAGTTTGGTTCCAGGAGGTGTCTGTAAACTTCTGTCCTGGGGTGGGCCACTGCAGATGGCCTGTCCTTGCTTTCTCATCACCAAATCCCCGTTTTGGTGCTGACACATCCAGACGTTAAAATCGCTGATGTTTTCACAAGACCCACAAAGAGGGAGGGTCCAGGCACATTTTTTCTTTCCGTATCACCCTGGAGTGATGGGGAAATTTCCCCAAAAACCATGTGTACTGTGATTGCACATATTGGGGTGGGTATATTAGACTAGGGGGCCGCGGATGGGTGGGGAAAATCTTTCATGTGAGGTATTCCTCTAAGCAATTCTTGACAACTCTTTTCTCCTCCCTTCTGGAAGCTTCTGGCACTGGAGGTGGAGGCACGGCATGTCAGGGGTGCAGGTCAAGACCACACATGCTTGGCACAGTACGCAGAGCTTGGCTGGGCTGTGGGTGGGTGAGCATATGCGGGAGGGCCCTTGGCTTTGGCCACCGAATGCCCCTTGCTGGCTAGTCAGCCGGGACCACCCCTGCCCCTCCCACTCACACATTAGGCAAGCTCTTCACAGAACCTGCGTGTGTCCTCAGGCACCGTCATGGAGTAGCCCACGGTTCTGGAGTCTGTGAAGGTCTCATGGTCGTTGCCACCTGGTATGATTTTGTCTCCAAAGAAATAAATGGCCTTATAACTGTCATTTTTCACATGTCACAGGCAATACCTCTTGCCCCATCCATCAGGAAAGACATCAAAGCTGATCTGGCCTCCTACGAAAAACGTGAGGGCTTTTCCTGCAAACTCTTTCCTTGATCTGCTACAGCTTTTTCTCTTATATTTTCTTTTTTATTGAATTCGTAGAACTCAATGCATTCTTCTTGGCTGCAGCTTCTTCCAAATAGGGGACATGTTTAACATCCCATTTCAGAATTCAATGAAAGTACCCCTCTTCTTCAGGAGTTTAATTTTTGCATTGCAGCTCAGACAATAGTTGATTAAATCTTAGATTTGGACCTCACCCAGGTGACTTTGAATATTCCATTTACACGAGGATTTCCCATCTTTGTGTGCTACCAAGCCATTTTCTGGAAACGCGTAATCATATTTTTCAACCACAGCATTTCCCAGTTGCTCCTGCGCTTCCTCAAAGTCCAACCTGCCTACCACTCCGATTTTGATCTTCTGCCTCAATTTTTGTAGGAAGTCATCCATTTCTTTGGTAATTTTCTGCTGCAGGGTGGTCAGGGTCCCATCAACGTCCAAAAGGCAGAGCACTGGGCCGGGTGCTGCCATGTCCCCGGTTTCCAACTGCACCTTACAAGACTGGTTGGCAGCAGCCCATGGTAATTTCTATCCCATCTTCTGTGTCTATGCATTTGATTATTCTAGGCACTTGATTTTAGTAGAATCCTACAATATTCCTTTTGTGTCTGGCTTATTTCATTAGGCATAATGTTTTCAGTATCCATCCGCATTGTATCATATATCAAAATTGTTTTTTACAGATGGATGATGTACCATTACATGTATATACCACTTTGTTTTTATACATTCATTTGTTCACTGATAGTTGGATTTTTCCATCTTTTGGCCCTTGTGAATAGTGATGCTATCAACATTAGTGTACAAATATCTGTTTTGAGTTCTGTTTGCCATTCTTTTTGGTATATACCTACTACTAGAATTCCTGGGTCCAGTGGTAGTTCTATGTTTAACCTTTGGAGCAACTGCAAACTGTTTTTCACAGTGATTGCAACTTTATACGTTTCTACCAGCAATGTATCACAGTTACAATTTCTTGTTTTCCTTTAAACACTTATTTTAAATTATTTTCCTTTAAAAAAATTATCCAGCCGGGCATGGTGGCTCACGCCTGTAATCCCAGCACTTTGGGAGGGTGAGGCAGGTGGATCACAAGGTCAGGAGATCGAGACCATCCTGGCTAACGCAGTGAAACCCTGTCTCTACTAAAAAATAGAAAAAAAATTAGCCAGGCGTGGTGGCAGGCGCCTGTAGTCCCAGCTACTTGGGAGGCTGAGGCAGAAGAATGGCGTGAACCCAGGAGGCAGAGCTTGCAGTAAGCCAAGATCGTGCCACTGCACTCCAGCCTGGGTGATAAAGCAAGACTCTGTCTCAAAACAAAACAAAACAAAATTATCCTAAGGCCAGGCACAGTGGCTCACACCTGTAATCCCAACACTTTGGGAGGCTGAGGTGGGTGGATCACGAGGTCAGGAGTTCAAGACCAGCCTGGCCAAGATGCTGACACCCCGTCTCTACTAAATGTACAAAAATTAGCTGGGCGTGGTGGCACGCGCCTGTAATCCCAGCTACTTCGGAGGCTGAGGCAGGAGAATCGCTTAAACCTGAGTGCTAGAGGTTGCAGTGAGCCAAGATCAAGCCACTGCACTCCAGCCTGGGCAACACAGCAAGACTTCGTCTAAAAAAAAAGAAAATTATCCTAGTAGGTGTATATTGGAACCTGTTTGTGCTTTTCACTTGCATTTCCCCAATGACTAGTGATGCCGAGCAGCTTTTCCTCTGCTGGGTATACCTCCTTTAGAGACTTATATATTCAGGTACTTTGCCCATTTTTAGAATTGTCTTTTGTCTTTTGTTTGTTGTTGTTGTAGATTTTTAGGAGTTTTAGAATATATTCTAATTTTTAATTTCTTACAAGATGTATAATTTGCAAATATTTCTCCCTTTTTTTAGAACTTTAGATGTACAAACTTCCTTAATTTGTGTAAAATTGATTTTTTTCTATTTATTTATTATACTTTAAGTTCTGGGATAAAAATTGATTTTTTTAAGCATTGCCTTATTTTTAGTGTCTTATTCATTAAAAGGTTGCTAAATTCACTGCCATGAAACCTTATCCCAATATTTTCTTCTGAGAGTTTTATAATTTTAGCTCTTATATTTAGGTCTCTGACACATTTTGAATTAATTTTTTATATGGTGTAAAGTAAACATTCAGTTCATTTATCTGAATGAGAATGTGCAGTTTTACCAACATCATTTGCTGAAGAGGCTTTCCACTTTCCATTGTATATTTATGGCACTTTGTTGAAGATCACTTGGCTATATATGTATGCGTTTAATTCTGGGCTCTCTATCAGTCCCAGTGGTCCTTATGGGTGCCCTAATTCTAGGACCATACTTTTTAAGTATATGTAACTGTATTGTACATTTCAATCTCATAAACGTGTGTCCTCCAACACAATTCTTCTTTTACAATGTTATTGAATATTTGAGACCCCTGGAAAATTCATTCAAAATTGAGGGTTTTCTTATCCATTTTTGCAAACATGGTTGTCAGCAGTTTGACAGGGGTTGTGGTGCATCTGTACATCACTTTGTATAGTATTGCACTTGAATAATGTTTAGTCTTCCTGTCCATGAATACAGGATGCCTTTCTACTTATTTATATCCTCTTTACTTTATTTCAGCAATGTTTTGTTCTTATTGAGGTGTAAGTATTTTGCTTCCTCGGTTAGTTATCTTACTAAGTATGTAATCATTTTACATGTTATTATAAATGGAATTACATATGCAATTTTCTTATTGGACTGTTCATTGTTGGTGTATATTAACACAGCTGCCATTTGAGTGTCAGCCTTATACTCTGCAACTTTGAACTTGTTAACATTAATAGCATTCTTATAGATTATTTCATATTTTCTATATATAAAAAGGTAGAGAAGTTATTGGCTTCATATCTATTTTCTCAAGATATGAAATGTATATTGCTACTGTACAGTTAAATTCATACTCCCTACTGAATGATGTCCTTCCAAATGGCCTAGTTAGATTGTTCAAAAAATAATTTGTCTTCTTATTCCACAATTTATAGTTTTAGTTCTTTCTTCAAGATGATGTCTTTGTTTTTTTCCTTTTGGTAATACGTGGTATTTCTCATTCTGTTCTGCACAGCAAGGCTCCCTGTTAGCTAGTAACTGGAAGAATATGGCAATGTCTATTTTGTCTTTGCTTTAACATCATTAATGACCTTTTTAATTACTAATATCAGAAATTTGCAGTGAATCTGGAGTGGAGGAAATGTGCAGGGAAGCTTTTCACAAATGAAGGAAGCCTGACCTTCCTTTTAACATGGCTTCCTTCTTTTCCTGAGACGGAAATGTATACTGAGCTCATGACGTGTGGAGCCTGTTGCTTTTGCTTCTCCTCATATCATGAGTTTTCCCAAATATCTAATGATAATGTCTGTGTCTAGGTCCATTTATCTACCACAACATGATTCCTAAGCATATTTTTGTGTATTACGCAGAATTCTCTACTTACAGACATATCAATAATATACTTTCACCCAACCCATTGCCCTCCTCAGAGGTAAGAGATGCCCAAAATGGTTCTCCTGTCGCTTCATCCCGAGCACTGCTCCAAGGCTGGGCTGTGCTCATCTCTGTAGCTGGGCAGTGGGCTCAGGCAGAGCCACTTACATTTGGGAGGAATAAGTCATAAGAGATAATAGTGTATCATGAGTTTAGAACACCAAGATGATATAGCAGGTCACTCTCCTCTCCTGGTAAACTGGTGTTCATCCCATTGGACCAGGTATCTGTGGATTTTTTGTCAGGTTACTGGTTCATTTTGTAGACAGCACTCACTTTAAAAAAAATTTTTTTTGGAAGTAGCCACTGCATGGAATCAGGATGTCACCAAAAGCATTTTTGACACCTAGAGCTATCTGATTCCTTCAAAACCAAGTTTGGGCTAAGCTGAAGTGGTTATTTTTGGACAAAACAGGTCTGTGTTATGGAATCAGCCCTGACTTGGAAGCTTATCTCCTGGGTTTGAAAGCAGCTCTGAATCTTGCTAAGTTGTGAGACCTCAGGCAAGTCAGTTCACCTCTAATTGACCTTGCTGACCATACACAACACACACTTTACTTTTAGTACCCCATTCAACCCTCACTACAAACCTCACCTGAGTTGTGGTAGTTTACTGTCCAGACTCCTTAGATGGAGAAACTGAGGTGCTAAATGAATGTGCGCAAACTTGCAGGATCCTAAGTGAAGGAGACAAGATGTGAACCTAGACATGTGGCCCCAAGGCTGAAGCAGTGAGTCGCTGAACTGCAGTTATCATGCTGAGAGGGGTGGCTTTCAATCCTGCCATGAGTTATAAGCATAGGTGGCTCCCTCACTCATGTGTGTCCTAGATTTATGTGAGTCTGCAGACATCCCAGGCACTGGCTGTGATTACAGGGTGGCCACAGTAATCACATAGCTTAGGGCAGACATCAGTGAATGTAACTGTATCACTGGGCATAGCCATTGGTGTGGGCAGTACAGAGAGGGCCCAGATACTTCTCATGCCATGGCCAGGTCACAAGTTCTGGTCACTGGGAAGCAGCACTGAGAGACTTTCATGAACTTCTTTCAGTGCTGAGGACACTCCTCAGCAGTTGGCCCCAAACAGGTAAGATTGAAGAAATATTTTTGAAACAGTAGAGTGTATTATCACCAAAAGACCTAGGAGTGATCAAATCCTGCAAGCTACACATGAGGCAGAATGACAAATAAGGCAGCAAAGGGCCATTTGGTGATTAGTTCACCAAACTTGTTGCAACTGTTTGTACTGCAGAGTTAAAACATACCAGTATTCAACCCACATCTCCTCTCCTGAAATAAACTGTCCAACATTAGCTGGCCAGAACAAGCACAGATATTCTTCAAACTCAACTAATATGCATACATGACAAAGAAAAGGCGGTCTGGATGAAAAAATAGTGGGTTATTAATAATGGTTATTTTAAAGGATATAATTTCAGTGTTTCTAATTCTGTCATTGGTTATAACAAATGATTAGTGAATAAATACAATAGACTTTTGCCTGGAATTGAATCCAATCTGTCCATTAAACTTTGCTTTTATTCAAGTGCAAAATCCTAAAACACATAATAACTGCAGTGACAGCCAATGTGGATCCATTGACATAAAAATGGTCTTGGGACATAAATCTTACAAGCTAATATTGTTTTACGGGGTTTAGAAAACCATTTAGCTGGGTTTCAAAACCAGCAGTGTGAGTAATGGGATTCTCATCAAATTACAGCATGTACTTCAGTACTGTTTGTAGACTGACTTATTCTTGTTGCGTTAGGTTGCCATTAGCAAAATGCCAGGGACTCAGTTTCTCACTCCTTTCATGCTCCTCTTTCTTGCCTGTCTTTTCATGAGGAAAAATTTTCTAGTGCAGTCCAAGCTGTGCTTTTAACCGAACACATCCACACACACTGTCCTATTGTCTACATTCAGCAGAGCTCCCTGGATAAATCATGAACAGAAGCATCTATGACCGACAGTTGCTCTGTGTCCTTCTAGCCTCGCAGGAGTTTCCAGCTCATGAGGGCAGAGGAGATGAAGAGAGGCCGATCGACGTGAGGGTGAGGTTGCCTTGCTTTCCCTAAAATAGACATGTTCCTTTCTTGGTTGCTTTTTCAATTAACTTTACATGTGAAAAAAATAACAATGTGCATTATAGACATTAAATACTGTTTTCTGGGGTGGTGGAAGAAGATATTCTCAGCAACTGATATGTAATCCAAAATGACATTTACGTATGATGGCCTCAGGTTATAGACTGTATCCCTGGGGTCCTTGTTCTTGGAAGCAATGTCTTCTTGGATTAAGCATTTTGCACTTGCCGACCTAAATGGACCTAAGAGATACACCTTCTAGGAAAAGCTCATGTCTTTTCCAGTGTGCATCCTACCCTTGTTTTGGGGGCCTTGGAGTTGACTACAGTTTCTGATGCAGTTTTTAATGCTCTTTGAGAGAAACAGAGCCAGGTGCAAACAATCCACAGCTCAATGTGCCCCTCATATAGCTTTGTTTCTGTATTGCAGGTTGTGCAGGCGGCCCCTCTGAGGTGTGACTCCAGTAAGTACTCTGGAATTACTTGCTGAGAAAGAAAAGTCTGGATGCCAAGAAAGGTGTGACATCCTTGCTGGCTTCAATGTGAAGAGCCACCCTGATTCTGGGATTCTGATAGGAATAAGGGTAGTGGACTTTTTTTTTAAGTTCTCCAAGCAAAAATTATGACCAAATGTCTCCATCTGATGAAGCAGCTGCACTCCTATGGGGGCGCTGGGCTGTGCGCTTGCCTGGTGTCTTATGAGTCTGCATCGTGTGATATGATTGTGTGTGTTTTCGTATAGGGGAGGCTGTGTGTTTTCTCAGGAGAGATTTTCCATTTACACAGCACAATTGCCAGTCTCCACTTCTAAAAAGTAAAATCCACCCCTGTTCTACTCTCTCCATACATGACTCATTCACCCGTGCCAGAGCCACCTTTCATTCCCCTCACTGCTCAGGTGGAGAATCTGAAGGGCCAATGGGAGTGGCCCCAGCTTTTGAGCTCCTGAATGAAAAAGTCAAAACATGAGCTCAGGTGTGTGGCCCAATGCTGACAGTCACCTGCTGACATGCACTTATGCATCAGTCACAGGGTGTTCATCACCATGCAGGAGTCCAGCATTCATGTACAAGCCCTAAAGCACTGAGCCTGAGAGATCCCAGACTCTGCCCATCACCATAAAGTGACCTCCATGGTCACATAACCCAGAGCAGTTATAGGCACATCTTCCTACAGACCAGCATAGTCCTCAGTGTCAAAAGCACAAAGATCCCCGGATGTTTTGGGTCAGCTCACAGGTTCTAAGATGTGGGGGACCATATAGAACAGTTCTGAAGTTATTTTGCTCAGCAGCTGGCCAAAGCTTATAAGGATCAGTGATATATTTCAGTAGATTTAGTAATGTTCACAAGCCCTAAAATCCTCAAAACCTGCCAGCTAAAAATGGTGAAGAGAGACAGATAAGAACACTGCTCCACTCAGTGTGGTTTCCGTTGCCTCGTGGCAACTCTGTTATACATCTGGATTAAGGATCCTCAGCCTCAACCTAACCTTTCCTCCATGAGGAACCGTCTCACTGTTAACTGACTAGTGTAGCCTGCCTGGCCATTAGCCTACGTGAAATAAAGTTTTGCTTTAAAACAAGTGTAAATCTCATACAGCAGATAAGTGCAGTAGCAGCAGCATCTTGCAAGTTGTAAAGAAGACAGCGGCGATGTAGCTGGACTTGAAGCCAGACAGGAGGAATTAGGGAACTCTGTCACTGAATTACAGCACGCAGAGTTGAAAACCATTTGTAGACAATTTCGTGTTACAGTAGGTAGCCTTTAGCTAGTAAGCAAAGGTCTCTGTTTCTCATTTCTTTCCTGTTCATCTTCATTGTTGTCCTTCTTCCAAAACGGCAAACAGCCAAAGCAGAAGGCAATTTCAGTATTAATCTAACTAAGGTTTTGTGTAGTTTACTATCATCCAGGTAAGCAAATATAACTGCCTGCCTGCGTGCCTGCCTGTCCCCAATCCCTGCTCTGTGTTTTCATTTAATAAATATTTTGGTGTTCTACTTACCATGTGCTAGATTTTCTGGAAACCACAAAGAAAATGAGGTAGAGTCTTTATATTGAGAGCTGATAAGTTAGATTTAACATAACTGACAAAAATTAAAAATTGCAACTTTTATAAAAATACCTTATATATGTCTGAATACATACTGAATGTAAGGCAGTTGACAAAAATAATTACTCCTGCACTCATGGGCAGTTTCTCATGAACTTGTCAATTTCTATTTTTTCTACTTCCTCATTTCAGTAGATGATGCATATCTGAACCTGGAAACCGCTTCCCACTGTAGAGCGTGTCTGAGTCATGTCCCTTAGCTTCAGCAGAGCAGATCCAGCAGGCTCTGAGCTTGGCCTCTTTGCCTGGAGCGAGACCTCTAGGTAATGTCTCCAGAGAGGGTGGCACAAAGGATCCTGGATCTCCTGATCACAGCAGCCCAAGAGTGCCGTGCGTGCACCATGGCTCAAGAAGAAGACTTAAAAAGGGGAAAGTATGACTATTTCTAATCTGTAGTATTTCAGTATTTTTAATGTTTTGGTTATCTGTATGAAAAAGAATTTGCAATAAATAAAATAATTTGCCTAAAATTGAATCTATTTCACCAATAAAATTGGCTTTTAATCAAGTGATAAATCCTGTAAAATAGATAATAGATGCAGTACCAACATAGTTTGATTCTAGTAGTACACTGAGATAATCTTGAATACGTTAAGAAAGTCTTGTTTGTGTAGAAGAGTTTCAAATCATGTGAGTGATGAAGGGACCCTTCTGTTGAACCTTGGTGTGCATTTTAGGTCCATTTTGGGTTTACTCCTTTGTGCTGCTTCATGATGCCTTAGGACAAGGACAAGGCCTAGGCCTCCTTGTCTCAGTTCCCTCCTGCTCTCTCTGTTGCCCTCCTCCTTCCACCTGGAGCATGGCCCAGCATCAGGTTGGCGCATGCTGTGATCAGCTACCTCCATGCACCACACCAAGCAAAGCTCTCTGGGTGACACAGTTGCCACCACCAGGGCACTGACCCTTACTCTGTGTTCTCCTAGCTCCTCCTGAGGGTGCTGTAGGAGACATCTGCAAAAAAGAAGATGCTGGCAATGTAAGACACTTTTCTTGGTCTTAAACAGAAATGTTACTTTCCTGGCTGCTTTCCTTTCCAGTCAAATATACACATGGGAATCTGACAGGGTGCATTATCTATGATGTCCACAGTTCCCTTGCTGGGTGGTACTGGTTGGCAGCCTCTCACCAACCCACACCTGGCATACTGGGGCCTTGTAGATGGCAGCATTCCCTATCTACTGCAATGCAGAGGCCTTTCCCTCAGCAGCAGTTTTCCCCATGGATTAAGAGTTGTGGAAGTGGCTGGGTCCGGTGGCTCACACCTGTATTCCCAGCACTTTGGGAGGCCAAGACAGGCGGATCACCTGAGGTCAGGAGTTCAAAACTAGCCTGACAAACATGATGAAGCCCCGTCTCTACTAAAAATACAAAAGTTAGCTGGGCTTGGTGGCATGCGCCTGTAATCCAGATACTTGGGAGGCTGAAGAAGGAGAATCGCTTGAACCAGGGAGGTGGAGGTTTCAGTGAGCCGAGATCAAGCCACTGCGCTCCAGCCTGGACAGCGAGACTCCTTCAAAAAATAAAAATAAAAATAAAAAAGAGTTGTGAAACTGCCCATCTAAATAAACCTTAAAGGTAAATTCTGTTGGAAAAGTTCTTGTCTTTTCTGTAGGTGTACTTTGTGCTAGTTTTGGGGGACTTTGACCTTTGACTCTACCACTATACTTACAATTTTCTAAAGTTGCCAAGAGAATAACAGATATGTGTGACATGCGTGGCATCATCTAATCCTCCTAATGTGTTCTATAATTGCAGATGCCATCAACCTCAGAGGGGAGTATTTACCCTGAAATGGCTCACTTCCTGAGGAACAAACTTGCTGGATCTAGTGTACGGAAACCTGATTCTGGGTTCCTTTGGGAAGGAGCATTACGGGCCTGGTGAGAGCAAATGACTTTCCAGTAGAAAGCTATGGCCAGAGAGGCTGCAGGAATATCTGTGAACCCAGAGGAAAGACCAGGGAATCCTGTGTGAGGCAGTGGGGCTTCAGCGGGAGTAGGAGTGGGTAGCCTCTCTCAAATGACTTCTCCTGTTGTTTGTGTTTCTCCAGTGTGGGTGCTGGAGAGCATAACTGATGAGGAGGACTCTCCAGCTAGGGAACTGCTTTCCAGGTGGGACTCAGTGGGCAAGGGTTCCCAGGGCCCTTCAGGGTATTCCTGCTGCTTGGGAGGCTGAGGGAGGGGGCATAGAATCAAAAAGAAAAAGGAAATATGTGTAAAGTTTGGTTTGGTCTTTTTTTTTTTTTCTTTTTTTTTTTAATTATACTTTAAGTTTTAGGGTACATGTGCACACTGTGCAGGTTAGTTACATATGTATACATGTGCCATGCTGGTGCGCTGCACCCACTAACTCGTCATCTAGCCTTAGGTATATCTCCCAATGCTATCCCTCCCCGCTCCCCCCACCCCACCACAGTCCCCAGAGTGTGATATTCCCCTTCATGTGTCCATGTGATCTCATTGTTCAATTCCCACCTATGAGTGAGAATATGCGGTGTTTGGTTTTTTGTTCTTGTGATAGTTTACTGAGAATGATGATTTCCCATTTCATCCATGTCCCTACAAAGGACATGAACTCATCATTTTTTATGGCTGCATAGTATTCCATGGTGTATATGTGCCACATTTTCTTAATCCAGTCTATCATTGTTTGACATTTGGGTTGGTTCCAAGTCTTTGCTATTGTGAATAATGCCGCAATAAACATACGTGTGTATGTGTCTTTATAGCAGCATGATTTATAGTCATTTGGGTATATACCCAGTAATGGGATGGCTGGGTCAAATGGTATTTCTAGTTCTAGATCCCTGAGGAATCGCCACACTGACTTCCACAATGGTTGAACTAGTTTACAGTCCCACCAACAGTGTAAAAGTGTTCCTATTTCTCCACATCCTCTCCAGCACCTGTTGTTTCCTGACTTTTTAATGATTGCCATTCTAACTGGTGTGAGATGATATCTCATAGTGGTTTTGATTTGCGTTTCTCTGATGGCCAGTGATGATGAGCATTTTTTCATGTGTTTTTTGGCTGCATAAATGTCTTCTTTTCAGAAGTGTCTGTTCATGTCCTTCGCCCACTTTTTGATGTGGTTGTTTGTTTTTTTCTTGTAAATTTGTTTGAGTTCATTGTAGATTCTGGATATTAGCCCTTTGTCAGATGAGTAGGTTGCGAAAATTTTCTCCCATGTTGTAGGTTGCCTGTTCATTCTGATGGTAGTTTCTTTTGCTGTGCAGAAGCTCTTTAGTTTAATTAGATCCCATTTGTCAATTTTGGCTTTTGTTGCCATTGCTTTTGGTGTTTTGGACATGAAGTCCTTGCCCATGCCTATGTCCTGAATGGTAATGCCTAGGTTTTCTTCTAGGGTTTTTATGGTTTTAGGTCTAACGTTTAAATCTTTAATCCATCTTGAATTGATTTTTGTATAAGGTGTAAGGAAGGGACCCAGTTTCAGCTTTCTACATATGGCTAGCCAGTTTTCCCAGCACCATTTATTAAATAGGGAATCCTTTCCCCATTGCTTGTTTTTGTCAGGTTTGTCAAAGATCAGATAGTTGTAGGTATGTGGCGTTATTTCTGAGGGCTCTGTTCTGTTCCATTGATCTATATCTCTGTTTTGGTACCAGTACCATGCTGTTTTGGTTACTGTAGCCTTGTAGTATAGTTTGAAGTCAGGTAGTGTGATGCCTCCAGCTTTGTTCTTTTGGCTTAGGATTGACTTGGTGATGCGGGCTCTTTTTTGGTTCCATATGAACTTTAAAGTAGTTTTTTCCAATTCTGTGAAGAAAGTCACTGGTAGCTTGATGGGGATGGCATTGAATCTGTAAATTACCTTGGGCAGTATGGCCATTTTCACGATATTGATTCTTCCTACCCATGAGCATGGAATGTTCTTCCATTTGTTTGTATCCTCTTTTATTTCCTTGAGCAGTGGTTTGTAGTTCTCCTTGAAGAGGCCCTTCACATCCCTTGTAAGTTGGATTCCTAGGTATTTTATTCTCTTTGAAGCAATTGTGAATGGGAGTTCACTCATGATTTGGCTCTCTGTTTGTCTGTTGCTGGTGTATAAGAATGCTTGTGATTTTTGTACATTGATTTTGTATCCTGAGACTTTGCTGAAGTTGCTTATCAGCTTAAGGAGATTTTGGGCTGAGACAATGGGGTTTTCTAGATAAACAATCATGTCGTCTGCAAACAGGGACAATTTGACTTCCTCTTTTCCTAATTGAATACCCTTTATTTCCTTCTCCTGCCTGATTGCCCTGGCCAGAACTTCCAACACTATGTTGAATAGGAGCGGTGAGAGAGGGCATCCCTGTCTTGTGCCAGTTTTCAAAGGGAATGCTTCCAGTTTTTGCCCATTCAGTATGATATTGGCTGTGGGTTTGTCATAGATAGCTCTTATTATTTTGAAATACGTCCCATCAATACCTAATTTATTGAGAGTTTTTAGCATGAAGGGTTGTTGAATTTTGTCAAAGGCTTTTTCTGCATCTATTGAGATAATCATGTGGTTTTTGTCTTTGGCTCTGTTTATATGCTGGATTACATTTATTGATTTGCGTATATTGAACAAGCCTTGCATCCCAGGGATGAAGCCCACTTGATCATGGTGGATAAGCTTTTTGATGTGCTGCTGGATTCGTTTTGCCAGTATTTTATTGAGGATTTTTGCATCAATGTTCATCAAGGATATTGGTCTAAAATTCTCTTTTTTGGTTGTGTCTCTGCCCGGCTTTGGTATCAGGATGATGCTGGCCTCATAAAATGAGTTAGGGAGGATTCCCTCTTTTTCTATTGATTGGAATAGTTTCAGAAGGAATGGTACAAGTTCCTCCTTGTACCTCTGGTAGAATTTGGCTGTGAATCCATCTGGTCCTGGACTCTTTTTGGTTGGTAAACTATTGATTATTGCCCCAATTTCAGCTCCTGTTATTGGTCTATTCAGAGATTCAACTTCTTCCTGGTTTAGTCTTGGGAGAGTGTATGTGTCGAGGAATGTATCCATTTCTTCTAGATTTTCTAGTTTATTTGCATAGAGGTGTTTGTAGTATTCTCTGATGGTAGTTTGTATTTCTGTGGGATCAGTGGTGATATCCCCTTTATCATTTTTTATTGTGTCTATTTGATTCTTCTCTCTTTTTTTCTTTATTAGTCTTGCTAGCGGTCTATCAATTTTGTTGATCCTTTCAAAAAACCAGCTCCTGGATTCATTGATTTTTTGAAGGGTTTTTTGTGTCTCTATTTCCTTCAGTTCTGCTCTGATTTTAGTTATTTCTTGCCTTCTGCTAGCTTTTGAATGTGTTTGCTCTTGCTTTTCTAGTTCTTTTAATTGTGATGTTAGGGTGTCAATTTTGGATCTTTCCTGCTTTCTCTTGTGGGCATTCAGTGCTATAAATTTCCCTCTACACACTGCTTTGAACGCGTCCCAGAGATTCTGGTATGTTGTGTCTTTGTTCTCGTTGGTTTCAAAGAACATCTTCATTTCGTTATGTACCCAGTAGTCATTCAGGAGCAGGTTGTTCAGTTTCCATGTAGTTGAGCGGCTTTGAGTGAGATTCTTAATCCTGAGTTCTAGTTTGATTGCACTGTGGTCTGAGAGATAGTTTGTTATAATTTCTGTTCTTTCACATTTGCTGAGGAGAGCTTTACTTCCAACTATGTGGTCAATTTTGGAATAGGTGTGGTGTGGTGCTGAAAAAAATGTATATCCTGTTGATTTGGGGTGGAGAGTTATGTAGATGTCTATTAGATCCGCTTTGTACAGAGCTGAGTTCAATTCCTGGGTATCCTTGTTGACTTTCTGTCTCGTTGATCTGTCTAATGTTGACAGTGGGGTGTTAAAGTCTCCCATTATTAATGTGTGGGAGTCTAAGTCTCTTTGTAGGTCACTCAGGACTTGCTTTATGAATCTGGGTGCTCCTGTATTGGGTGCATATATATTTAGGATAGTTAGCTCCTCTTGTTGAATTGATCCCTTTACCATTATGTAATGGCCTTCTTTGTCTCTTTTGATCTTTGTTGGTTTAAAGTCTGTTTTATCAGAGACTAGGATTGCAACCCCTGCCTTTTTTTGTTTTCCATTTGCTTGGTAGATCTTCCTCCATCCTTTTATTTTGAGCCTATGTGTGTCTCTGCACGTGAGATGGGTTTCCTGAATACAGCACACTGACGGGTTTTGACTCTTTATCCAACTTGCCAGTCTGTGTCTTTTAATTGGAGCATTTAGTCCATTTACATTTAAAGTTAATATTGTTATGTGTGAATTTGATCCTGTCATTATGATGTTAGCTGGTTATTTTGCTCGTTAGTTGATGCAGTTTCTTCCTAGTCGCGATGGTCTTTACATTTTGGCATGATTTTGCAGCGGCTGGTACTGGTTGTTCCTTTCCATGTTTAGCGCTTCCTTCAGGAGCTCTTTTAGGGCAGGCCTGGTGGTGACAAAATCTCTCAGCATTTGCTTGTCTGTAAAGTATTTTATTTCTCCTTCACTTATGAAGCTTAGTTTGGCTGGATATGAAATTCTGGGTTGAAAATTCTTTTCTTTAAGAATGTTGAATATTGGCCCCCACTCTCTTCTGGCTTGTAGGGTTTCTGCCGAGAGATCCACTGTTAGTCTGATGGGCTTCCCTTTGAGGGTAACCCGACCTTTCTGGCTGCCCTTAACATTTTTTCCTTCATTTCAACTTTGGTGAATCTGACAATTATGTGTCTTGGAGTTGCTCTTCTCGAGGAGTATCTTTGTGGCGTTCTCTGTATTTCCTGAATCTGAACGTTGGCCTGCCTTGCTAGATTGGGGAAGTTCTCCTGGATAATATCCTGTAGAGTGTTTTCCAACTTGGTTCCATTCTCCGCATCACTTTCAGGTACACCAATCAGACGTAGATTTGGTCTTTTCACATAGTCCCATATTTCTTGGAGGCTTTGCTCATTTCTTTTTATCCTTTTTTCTCTAACCTTCCCTTCTCGTTTCATTTCATTCATTTTATCTTCCATTGCTGATACCCTTTCTTCCAGTTGATCGCATCGGCTCCTGAGGCTTCTGAATTCTTCACGTAGTTCTCGAGCCTTGGCTTTCAGCTCCATCAGCTCCTTTAAGCACTTCTCTGTATTGGTTATTCTAGTTATACATTCTTCTAAATTTTTTTCAAAGTTTTCAACTTCTTTGCCTTTGGTTTGAATGTCCTCCCGTAGCTCAGAGTAATTTGATTGTCTGAAGCCTTCTTCTCTCAGCTCGTCAAAGTCATTCTCCATCCAGCTTTGTTCCGTTGCTGGTGAGGAACTGCGTTCCTTTGGAGGAGGAGAGGCGCTCTGCGTTTTAGAGTTTCCAGTTTTTCTGTTCTGTTTTTTCCCCATCTTTGTGGTTTTATCTACTTTTGGTCTTTGATGATGGTGATGTACAGATGGGTTTTCGGTGTGGATGTCCTTTCTGTTTGTTAGTTTTCCTTCTAACAGACAGCACCCTCAGCTGCAGGTCTGTTGGAATACCCTGCCATGTGAGGTGTCAGTGTGCCCCTGCTGAGGGGTGCCTCCCAGTTAGGCTGCTCGGGGGTCAGGGGTCAGGGACCCACTTGAGGAGGCAGTCCACCCATTCTCAGATCTCCAGCTGCGTGCTGGGAGAACCACTGCTCTCTTCAAAGCTGTCAGACAGGGACATTTAAGTCTGCAGAGGTTACTGCTGTCTTTTTGTTTGTCTGTGCCCTGCCCCGAGAGGTGGAGCCTACAGAGGCAGGCAGGCCTCCTTGAGCTGTGGTGTGCTCCACCCAGTTCGAGCTTCCCAGCTGCTTTGTTTACCTAAGCAAGCCTGGGCAATGGCGGGCGCCCCTCCCCCAGCCTCGCTGCCGCCTTGCAGTTTGATCTCAGACTGCTGTGCTAGCAATCAGCGAGATTCTGTGGGCGTAGGACCCTCCGAGCCAGGTGTGGGATATAGTCTCGTGGTGCGCCGTTTTTTAAGCCGGTCTGAAAAGCGCAATATTCGGGTGGGAGTGACCCGATTTTCCAGGTGCGTCCGTCACCCCTTTCTTTGACTCGGAAAGGGAACTCCCTGACCCCTTGCGCTTCCCAGGTGAGGCAATGCCTCGCCCTGCTTCGGCTCGCGCCCGGTGCGCGCACCCACTGGCCTGCGCCCACTGTCTGGCACTCCCTAGTGAGATGAACCCGGTACCTCAGATGGAAATGCAGAAATCACCCGTCTTCTGCGTCGCTCACGCTGGGAGCTGTAGACCGGAGCTGTTCCTATTCGGCCATCTTGGCTCCTCCCCGCTGGTTTGGTCTTTTCCAAGTTTATTGGCGTAGTGGTGAGAACTGTCTCTATGGGCTTATGAGGGTGCCGCGTTGTTTAAAGATGATCTTTCCCAAAACACCTTTTCTGCCTCTGCATCTGCCAAACATCACAGCTTCTGCGTTGGATTAGTCAGCACTCCTTGATATTGTGCAAAAGAGGTTTAGGGTTCCCTCAACCTGTGGTGGAGGGAAGGTGAGGGCCACGCCTCTCACAGGCACATGCTTGAACCTGGAGACAAAGTACTCCTAAGGTTTGCCCAGGGCTGTAGGAAACCTTGATGATCATCCTCTGAATTTTTAGGACTTTTAAAAGCACATTCATGTTTCTGTCCTTGCTGTTGACTCCTGGTTCACCCAGGAGATCCTGGTTCACCCAGGGATCACCCAGGGTGGATGGCAGAGGTAATATTCACTCTGGGTTCACTGCTGGAGCTCCAGTGCCCTGGGAGGGGAGAGGAGAAGCCTGACCTTGAGCACAGCTCCAGCCTCCACTCCCCACTCCTATCGCAGGCTCTGGGCTGTGGTTTCATTTTCCCCAGTTCTCTAACTACTCAGGAAGCCCAGAGTTTCTCCCTAAAGAAAGGTGGCCCTGCACTCTTTCCTCTCCTCCAAAATTAGGCTTCAGTAATTGTCCTCTAAGTTGATATTTAGAACTTAAAATCTAGACTTCTTGGATCACCAAGAAATATGCAGGAAGTTCCACATGATCTCATGTGTGATAGCACGTAACTTAGTGCTACAGGTGACAGTTTTATTTTTGGAGGAGTCTTATTTTACATAGGGAAATAGAAAACTAAGTGGCCTCCCTTGAGGCAGCCCAAGGGCTCCACTGGACCCAGAACTCTGAGTTCTGATGCTGCCTATCATTTGCTTTTTCTCATGAGCTCCTGGACCACCTCATATCACCAGCACCCTCTACCCAAGGTCCTGGAGCCAACACTGGAGTAAAAGAGCACAAGAGAACTCCTTAGAGGTGGAAGGTAAGACAGCCCTGCTTTCTCCCTGAGATTTCTCTGCAAAAAGTGCAGATAAAAGTGAATTGGAACCCCTCAATGGGGTTCCATTGGAATTATCTACAGAGTTTTAGAGTGGGGAAGGATAGCAGAGAACATTTAATTCAACCTTTTCTCTTCCCAGATACAAAAATTGGGGTTATACCTTTAACCCCAATTAAAAAATAGTAGTTTCTTCATCATTACAGATATCCCTGTTTTTTTGTTTTTTGTTTGTTTGTTTTTTGTCTTTTGTTTTTGACGGAGTCTCGCTCTGTCACCCAGGCTGGAGTGCAGTGGTGTGATCTCGTCTCGGCTCACTGCAACTTCCACCTCCCAGGTTCAAGCGATTCCCCTGCCTCAGCCTCCCGAGTAGCTGGGACTACAGGCACATGCCACCATGCCCAGCTAATTTTTTATATTTTAGTAGAAATGGGGTTTCAACATGTTGGCCAGGGTGATCTTGATCTCCTGACCTCGAGATCCGCCCACCTCAGCCACCCAAAGTGCTGGGATTACAGGTGTGAGCCACTGCACCTGGCCCCTTACTGTCTCTTATTTCTTCCTCTCCTTATGCTCTCTGCCCTAAATGGGGTCCTCAGGACCGTCCATCAGTGTCTTCATAGAGAATGGAATTTGTACCTTCTCTGTGGGATAATGCATTGCCTCTACACAGTTCATGCATATTCTATGAAAGCAGTATCCAGCCATTAACACATTACTACAGTGTTTACCAATGGCATTCAGTAAGAGTTTGGACATGATGGACAAGGACAGACTCAGAAGGGACTAATTTCAAGAGGGTACTTTGTCAGGTCAGGCCAAGGGTCCCTGAGGGCAGTGGGGTGAAAGGCAGCAGCCAAAAAGGATGTTTGACATTTTCTCATTTTCCGTTCACAATTTTCAAATAGACCTATGTTGTCACAGGAATTTGTAAAACATCTCAAAATTAAATTTTAACACACGTATAGAAAGTAGGGAAAACACGAATGTACAGCTCAGTGATTCCTCACAAAATGAGCACCCATGCACCCCTAGTCAGGTCAGCATTCCAGACCCACTAGCCACCTTTGGGTCCCTTCTGAAGGTGACTGCTGTGACTTCTAATGCCCTGTTTAGACTTCTCCAGGTTTGGATAATTATGCATAGAAGAAGTCAATATGTATTGCTTGGTGTCTGGCTTCTTTGCTCACGTTGTTTTAGAGATTCAGTCATGTAGTTAAGCATAACCATAGCCCTTTCGTTTCCTCACCGTATAGTATTCCACTGCGGTCACATGTTGTAATTTATCCACTACTATTGATGGATATGAGGATTTTTTTATAATTTTGGCTATCACAAATAATGCTGCTTTGAGCATTTTTGTCAATGTTTTTGAATAATGCAGGCACCCATTTCTGTTGAGAAGATTGTGAGAAGGGTGCATATCTTTTATTTTCATTAATAACACCAAACTTTTTCCTAAATGGTTACATTAAATTATGCTCCTTTAACAGCCTATAAGAGTAGCCATTTCTCCAAATCCTTGTCAAGTTTTAGTTTTATCTCTCATTAAGAGTTGAATTACTCTGGTTAGTCTTTCATTTGAATAGCCTTTTATTTTTAAAATGTAACAAAGAAAAGAAACTTCATCTTATTCTAATTATGTTAATTTTCGTAATCAAATTCAGCACACCATCAGGCATCTCGAACAGATAAGTGGTGGTAGCTTACTTTTTCCTGAGCAATGCACACATTTTCCATTTACAAACATTAATATGACCGGGCACAGTGGCTCATGCCTGTAATCCCAGCACTTTGGGAGGCTGACGCAGGCAGATCACTTGAGGCCAGGAGTTTGAGACCAGCCTGGTCAACATGGCAAAACCCCATCTGTATGAAAAATATAAAAATCAGGTCCAATATGGCAGCACCCAGTGGCGGTGTGAACTGTGAGGAATTCACCGAGTTCCAGGAATTACTCAAGGTGATGAGGCCTATCGATGACAGAATAGTACATGAATTAAACACTGTGGTTCCAACAGCTTCCTTTGCAGGGAAAATTGATGCCAGCCAAACCTGTAAACAACTTTATGAGTCTTTGATGGCAGCTCATGCCAGTAGAGACAGAGTCCAAAAAAATTGTATAGCCCAGACTTCAGCAGTAGTAAAAAACCTCTGAGAAGAGAGAGAAAAGAATTTGGACGATTTAACGTTATTAAAGCAACTTAGAAAAGAGCAGACAAAGTTGAAATGGATGCAGTCAGAACTGAATGTTGAAGAAGTGGTAAATGACAGGAGCTGGAAGGTGTTTAATGAATGCTGCTGAATTCATTTCAAGCCTCCAAAGAATGAATAAAGAGAGATTCTTTTTTTTTTTTTTTTTTTTTTTTTTTTTAGGACTGGCGCATCTCATGAGAGCTAAGCATGACAGATATCAACAGGCGGGCTTCCTAGGATGATTTCTCAGCCAACAGTCCAAGACCTTTTGTTGATTTCAGCCCCACTTAGCCAAGACCTCAAGTATAAATTCTGATAATTATGGAGAAATCAACTGCTATTTTATACCGATTCTGTTAAAAAAAAAAAAGTTTTGTAACTATTAAAATAATTTTCTGAAAAAAAAAGAAAAATATAAAAATTAGCTGGATGTGGAGGCACATGCCTGTGGTTCCAGCTACCAGGGGGCTGAGGCATGAGAATTCTTGAACCCAGGAGGCAGAGGTTGCAGTGAGCCGAGATCATGCCACTGCACTCCAGTCTGGGTGACAGAGGAAGATTCTGTCTCTTAAAAAAAATTAATATATCAATCATTTTGAATTGTAATCTTTCTGTAATGCTTCCTTTTAACATTTACAAACAGAGGAAACTAAACTATTGAAATTTTGTGAAGTAGTAAAATTAAGATTTCAGCTGTGCCCCTTATCCTGCAATACTCATTTGTCAGTGCCTTTAGGACTCATGTCACATGGATTAAACTTAGAGTGAAACACAAAGCCAAAATTATGGCCAGGGGGTTGTTGACTCACATGACCTCTTCAGGAGGCAGTTTGGTTCTGCCAAGGTTAAAGATAGTGTAACTTTCTAGCCATCCTACTTCCAGGAATGCTTCACCAGATACAATCATGCATGAGTGCCAGGAGCGATGCAGAAAAAGCTGTTCACTGCAGCATGGTTTCAATAGCAAGATTACTTTATAGCTCTTAAATAATGAAATGGATTTACATTTGAAATGCAGAATGGTAGCTAAGATGCATTGACCAATGATATATGCAGAGCTACAGAAGACTTTGTATAAATATAATCATGCAGAAGCATGCATTCCTGGTGCTTGTTTGTATTTGCAGATACAGTGCAGGGATGATGTGCAAACAAAAATGCTGACTTGGTGTTTGGGAGTTCAGAGTGGAAGGGAAACTTCCTTTCAAACCCTTTCAGATATTTAGAATAATTTCTAACCATAAATATGTAATACATTTAGAAATCTAGGTTAATAAGAAAAGCTTACAGTTCCTGTTCTTCTCCTGGGCACATGTCTGGTGGACATGGGGCTGTCATAGTAAGTAATGTGTGCAAACTGAGAAAAATCCAAGAATGGGAGTCTGCTTTTTTCATCAAATAATTCTTAAGAGAAGTAGTGTGGTGGTTATTGCTCATTGATATATTACAAATATGTACTAGATAATAATTTCTGACATTTGAACTGTATTTACACATGTTGAATTGAAATACCTAGATAAAAATTGAAATACATAGATAAAATATTGTGACTAATATAGGCAAACAATTTTTTTTTGGCATTTTACAAACTGATTATCATTCCTCATGGCACAGGTTCATGTGATATCAAGTAGCTTGCTTTGTTTGGGAAAGGCAATGATGACTGCAAGAATCACTTCAAAAACTAAAGTGCAGTGGAGATTTCAACTGTGTTCTGTTTAGTATTTGAATATTTAATTGCATTCCCAGGTTATTTCTCATCCTAATAGTTCTCACCCACATCATGTGGGTCCCATTAGTACAGGTATCTCCGAATGCTCCACTCTTCCATTACATTGAGTCAATTGCTCATGACCTTGGGCCTCCAATTGGGGCTATTTTCCTGCTATCCATCTCCTGGTCTATAGTAAAAGAGCCAATGAGCAGATAAGTGAATACTGAAAAACATTTTCCCTGCTGGAGTGAGAAATAAATGGTTTCTTTCAATAGGGTAGTAAAATGCATCTTTCCCAACCTATTTATATGACTCAAAGCCCAGATGTGGTTAGCCTTAATTCCTGATTGTCATCAATGTGTGTAAATATGTAGCACATACATATTCTAGTCTCTATTTTTTATGAAATGTTTTTGTCTCCCATGGCACAGTGCAGAAGAACACAGGTGTTTGTGTCAGACAGCCAGGGTCCAATCCTGCTTCTGCTGTAGTGCAATGTAGGTAATATCTGGCCTGCATTTGGTTTATATGTAGGAACTCTGTCTTGGTTTAATGATTTTTAAATGCTACTAAATTCAGCTTCAGAGGAAGCTGTTTAGATTTGTAGAAAATGGAAACTTTAAAAAATTTTCTTCCCAGAAGCCAAGAACACTTGACTCATGTCAAGTCTACTTATTTATCCACCTGTCCATCTGTCTGTCCATCCACCCATCATCCAACCATGGAACTCAGTGCCAACTCCTGAGGTGGTAATGCATTACAGACTCTCCTGTTCTTTCTAGTCACATATTAAAGTGTTCATAAGTTGACCTTGATTGTGATAAGCATCAAGCCCACTTTCTCCAACACTGTGGATTGCTATCCCCCAACACCCCCTCCAGCTCAATCAGGCAGGCGGGCTCCTGCACTTCATAACAAGCTTACTAGAATATTTCCACCACCTACACAAGAGGGAAAAAAAGTTGTCTATTCTTTAATATTTTGTTTTAGCATGACATCTTTCATGAAAATTTCTCCAGTAGCCACTCCCAGAGCTTGTTTTTCCCCTAATATTTTAAAACCACTGAAAAGGTTTCACTATATGCCATGTCATCTGGCACAATACATTGATTGCCTTGTTTCCTTTGGTTTGGTTTTGGTTCTTCAGATTGACTTAAGGATTGGTACTTTCTACTCTGTTTATTGCATCTGTGCTCCTGAGGAAGATTAGCCTCTGGTTTTCCTCTAGGTCTGCTTTAGTGATGAGAAATCTGACACTTTAGAGGTGAAACACTCACCTAAGAGGACCAGGGAGTTAAGTCCATGTTTTATGCCAAAGCCCATTGTTTTCCAGCAGCCATGACATCATTTCTTACTGTATTGGTAAACACTTGGTAGAGACACTCACCTTTAAAATCTCCTGTGGTTGGTGGTTTCATGAGTATGTTGTGTGTTCCTGGCAAGGTATTGTACAGCACTGCCTATGAGGCATGGAGGAGTCTCACATGAAGGCCGCCTGCATCCTGGGGGAGTTCCTGAAGCTACTGCCCATGTTTCTCACAGGGAGGCCAGGGAAGATCAGCCCCATTCTGTACACAGGCAAGCCATGAACTGAGGACATCCCTTTCAGGGTATGAATTCTGAGGAATGTTTCTAAGGTGTAGAGAAACATGAAAAACTGGAAATCCATTATGTCTGGAGGTAAAAACAGAAGACCAGAGGGACAGAAGAGCTTGTGCAGTGGTCAGAGGCAGGGATATTTGGTGTGTTTGCTCCTCTGCTCACCTCGCTTTTCAACCTCCCTGCTGGATTTTTGAAGTCATTTGGGTCTGGGTGTCCCATTTTGGTGAGTGGCTTGGACTGGAGGAAGTCCATAGAGTATGGCAGAGGGTACTGAAGGCTGAGGTAGAATGAGGTAAATGGGAATTGGATAAGATGCACTGGCTGCATTTGGTGACATTTCTGCCTGAGTAGGTATTCAAATATGCACCGCCACTTCTTGGTCCCCCTGAGACAGCTGGAGAACTGAACTGACTTTCACTGCTCTGTAATCAGATTGTTTGTAGTAGTTTAATTTACTCATCAGGTGACAATAATTATTGAAAATATTCCTAAAATGAACTTTCTGCCATTATTATGAATAGCGAAGAAAATTGAAGCTTTCTTGGGAGATCAACAAAATGCTGACTTGGTTTCTATGTATGCCTCATGGGTCATAGCACCCAGCCACTAGCCAGTGCTTGCACCCTTTGCTGGCCCCAGGACTAGGAGGTCAGGGTAGCCTCTCTGATGAGCCTCTGACCTCCAGCCTCAGTAATGGCAGCACCCCTTCTCCATGGACTTCCACACCAAGGTCCAGAAGCAGGTGTCAGAGAGAGAGAGAGAGACCGAGCTCCTCCTCACAGGGGGTTGCCGAGGGCCCCCTGGGCTCTGCCTAGAATGCTCTTGGAGAAGTGCAGATGGAGAAGCGGATTAGAGGCTCCAGTGGTTGGGTCCAGTGAAACTAATCAGAGTGCTAGAGACAGGAGAAGACATTTAGGTTAATTTTATCTCTTTCCACATACAAAAACTAAGGCCCTATTTTTAAATGAAATTGTTTTTCTTCCTTTTAAGTGTCTCTAATTGTACCTGACTTTTGCTGACACTCTCGACGTTCAACCATATATTCACAAAACTTCATTCATGTTTGTCATGAGGGATGCATTTCTCACCTGCTCGGACAGGTGAATGCACCATCCAGATGTCCCTATATACATCACATGAAGGAGGTAACAGATGAGTCATCCACACACTAACACAGATGAGTTTATCAAACGCAGCCATTAAGGATGGGCCCATGTTACCAAGGGACAGAGTGGGGGAAGGTGCTCATTCCAAGAGGCTGCTGCAAGAGTTCAGTCAACCCAGGACACCTAGAGCCATCTGGGCCTGAAGCCAGGGGCTGGCAAGTGACAGAATGGACCACAGAGTCTTCTCTTTCTCCTTCCACATTTTCAATAGACCATATACTGTCATAGTATTTTGTGAAACATTTAAAAATCTAAAGTACAACCTACATACAGAAAACACATGAAACCTAAATACACAGCTCTGTAACTTATCACAAAGTGAGCACCCATGGAACTACAAGTCAGGTCAAAAACTAGAAGTTACCTGCACCCCAAAACTGTCCTTCTATCTCCTCCTTTCCAAAGCTAGCCACTACAACTTTGTGTGCTAGAGTTCGCTCTCTTTTAGTTTGTGCTTATTATAAATAGAATAACTCAGGATGTGTGTTCCTGATGGATGTGTGGCGGCTGATGACAGAACTACAAGGAGAGCAGTGCCATGCACTAAACCCTGATCTTGTTCTGGGCATTGGGCTAAAGCTTTCCGTGGCTCATTCCATTTAGTGGCTGGAAGTTGCAGAGGTTTCAGAAGCTCATCCAAGATTCTGGAGCCTCCATCTCCAGCCCTAATGCTGTCCGCCTTTTCACCCAGCCACCACCTGTTTCAGGAGAACACACAGAAGTGATGACCTTTTCTGGACAGGCAAGTAAATCCTGCTGTTTTTATTATTCACGGAAAAAACACTGGCTCATGGGAGGTGGGAAGGTGACAAACTCATTCTCCCTGGACCTCAGGAACCACAGATAGGATTATACTGACTACCAGTATTTTATTCCGTTAGTTCTACCTACATGAGTCCTGTAGTATTGAAATGCGTTAGGTTAGCATTTTTGGCCGATGTACTTTACATTCTGGGTTAGAGGTTTTTAAGATTCACCTGTGTAAGCTGACTTAGTTTTCTGTAAGTTTGTGAAAAAGTACAAAAATGGTGATCTCTTTTATCATACAAATAATTTCTTTTTAATAGAATGTTTTTTCTAATTAATGTATTAATGTACTCTTCATTCAACACATTCGCTTACATTTGAACTATTTTATGAATGAATGTTTAATTGCATAGGTGAAGATTACTAGTCACGGGCATTTTACTAACTGATTCTCATTAGGCATAGGTTCATGTGATTTCAAGGAGCTATGTTTTGTTTGGTAAAAGTAATAAAATAGCACAAGAATGAATGCAAGCACTGAAGCACGATGGAGGCGCCTGTCATGACTTGTCTATGATTTACATCACTCGTTATCTTTCCAGGTTGCTTATCATCCTGATAATTGTCATCAGCATTGTTTGGGTCCTTCTAGCACAGTTTCACAAAATGGGCAACTCTTCCATTAGGTAGAAATAATTCCATTTGAGCCTTTAATTGCATCTGTCTTCCAGCTTCTTCTTTTGGAAGAGTTAATTAAAGGGTAGATACATTAGAAATTTTTTTTCCACGTTAGAATGAGCAAACCACAATGTTCATTTCACTGGAGTAGCAGAATGCTTCCTTTTGACCTCCCAAGCTCATCTCAATTTCATTGCAGTAGCCCCATTTCCTAATGCTCACCAAAGTGTGTAAGTACAGAGGGCGTTCCTGTAGTCAGGTGTTTCTATTTCTTATGATCTGTGATATTTATACATAGCACAGTGCTCAGCAGCACAGATTTGGGAGTCAGGATGCTTGGATCCAGTCCTTACTCTGATACTGAATAGAATTGTGATCTTGAGCAAATCCCTTGAATCTATGTAAAAGTATTATAATTCTACCTTATTTTTGAGGTTCCTGAGACGATTAAAGTTTTTTTTTTTTAATGAAGCCCTGGAGCACTAGATGTACCCTTATCATTATTATTATTATTTTCAGGTGTTGGTCAGGTTCAGAGACATTAATATCTCTTTGTCTTTATCTTCATCTCTCAAAATCATCTGCTTGCCTTTATGCAATACTGTTTTTCTTAAATGTAATTCCTTGCACAGGAAGACTGGGGATTACCACCAAATTTTGAAAGTAAATAAAAGCTCTTAATTATCAAAAATTTTAATGGAACTGTGAAAACCACCTAATATCAACTTTCTAAATTGTATAACATAAGTCAGTTCTGTTTATTCTACAAAGTGAATATTTTTGAATCTATGTATAATTAATTATATTAATTACATTTTTCAAGGAAACCCACCATTTTGGATCATGGAGTGCAGGATTTATGAGTCTCCTGGAGGCTGGAGAATCAAAGTACAAAGCCGTGTTCCAGCTCTGGAGTGCAACAGCCCACTACTAAATACACATGTATTTGCAGCCTTTTTGGCTCAAGGCTAGATGCTTGTCAGTCCTTAGGTTGAGAAAGCAGGCATGGTGACAATTATGACCTCTCCTATTTCCTCAAATCTCTGATTCGTTCTTGCTTCTAATGCAGGATACCCTCTGAGGTCAAATCATTGGGCTTGTGGCCATGAGACCACAGACTTTGCCTAGCTTCCAGTGACTGTCCGAGATGACCTGTGGAGTGCACCGCCTGTACTTGGACATCACTGTCTTTTCCGATCCATACCCGTCATCCTTGGAATTTCCCCTGCATCCAAACCTGTTCCTGATACAGGTGTGAGTAATGAGTAAGGAATTTATGGTTTTATTTAAAGATAGGAGCTTTGCTTTTTAAAACTGCTACTCATGTACAGGTCCCAGGCCAGTGGAATCATGGCAACACAGATTCCCAGAGCTAGAAGGAACGTGTGGTATCATTCAGTCATCCAATCAAATAATATTTGCACCTAATCTGTACAAGGAACCAGTGACATAAGGAATAAAGGATTAGAAAATGGGCTCCACATAAAATTTTTTAAAGGAAAACCTCACAATGCAATTGAGAGGAATATTTGCACCGTTCTTTTTGGATATCAGGAAGTAAATAGTGTTCCCCATGAGAATGGGAAAGACTTCACAGCGGAGCTGCCATCTGGGCTGGACCTGTTTGTGGGTGAGTAGCATTTCACACACAGCATGCACCAGCACAGAGATAAAAAAAAGTTCATGGAAACTGTGAGCAGAAAGAAGCAAAATAAAACACTGAGGTGTGCTTTTGTCTTTCAGGTTGTCACAGATGTTTAATACAGGTTAGCATCCCAAATCCAAAAATCTGAAATCCAAAATGCTCCAAAACCCAAAACATTTTCAGCTTCTAAATGATGCCCAAAGGAAGTGCTCGCTGGAGCATTTCAGATTTCAAATTTTTGGATTTGGAATTCTCAATCAGTAAGCATATAAAATGTAAACATTCTGAAATCTGCAAAAACCCAAATCGGAATCACTTCTGGTCCCAATCATTTCAGATAAGGGATACTCAGCTCTCGTGTGTAACATTCAGTGTTGGTGAGGATGGGGGGTAACACCCACTCTCTGTAACTGCTAGAAGCATATGAATTTGTATGATTTGTAAGAGGGCAATTTGGGAGGACCTATCTGTTTTAAAATTCTCCTAACCCATGGATCTCATCCCATTTCTAGAGTCTTTTATGTAAAATATTTCTACCATTAGGAGAAATATATGCAAGGGGACTTTCTATGTAGCAATGTTTTAATAAAATAGAAAATTGGGACAAACCAAATTTCCATCACAAAGGAAATAGATACACAAATAATAATACACTGAATATTATGCAGGTTTTAAACATCAGAAAAGGGCTCAGCTTCTGATCTCCAATGATGGTGTTGAAGTGGGTCACAGCCGGTTTACATTTGGTTTTCATGTGGGAACTCTGGGTGTCTGCCTTAGTTTAATGATTTTATATGTCACTAAATTCAGCTAATGAAAAGCTATTCCATGCATGGCAAAACGGAACTTGAAAACAGTTTCTTGTCAACAATCGAGTGGACCTGTTTTATGTACAACCCACGCCTTCATCTGCCTGCCCCTCAGTCTGTCTGTCCTCACAGTCCTCATTCATTAGTGGAACTGAGTGCCCACTGTTGGGTTGACGATCAATTCCATAACCTCCCTGTTCCTAGTCACACATTAATTCTTCAGTACATCCCTTTGGGATCACTTGGGATTAAACCTCCATCTCCAATTTCTTCCCCAGACGTATTTCTCACTCTTCTCCCAGCACACCCTTCAGCCCATCCATGCAGGTTTCTTTGCTTTTCCCACTTTACACCAAACTCTCTGTTTGTTGTTTTTTTTTTCTTTTGAGACGGAGTCTCGCTCTGTCACCCAGGCTGGAGTGCAGTGGCGCGATCTCGGCTAACTGCAAGCTCCACCTCCTGGGTTCACGCCGTTCTCCTGCCTCAGCCTCCCGAGTAGCTGGGACTACAGGCGCCTGCCACCACGCCCGGCTAATTTTGTTTTGTATTTTTAGTAGAGACGGGGTTTCACCGCCTTGGCCAGGATGGTCTCAATCTTCTGACCTCGTGATCTGCCCATCTCGGCCTCCCAAAGTGCTGGGATTACAGGCGTGAGCCACCGCGCCCGGCCCAAACTCCCTGTTTTTACTCCAACTTTTACCTCCTCTTGAAGACAAAACAAGCAAACAAAACTGTAACAGTATTTTTAAACTTAGCTGTAATCTTTCTTCCTTCATGAACATTTCTCCAAAAGCCATTCCCATGGCTCTGTGTGTTCCAAATATTTTTAAATATTAGGTATAAGGTTGAGCGTTTCAGGATATGCTGTTTTGAGCTGTACACTAACTGTACTGTTTGTATTGATTCTTCACATTTGAGGCATGGTCATTGCCTCCCACTGCTTTGGAGAGTTGATGTCAGTGCTCCTGAATAAGATTGGTGCACAGTTTTTCTTTTTATACTTAATTTTTTGGTTTGGTATTAAAATTACAGTGTTTTCCTCAAATTAATTGTAACTAGCCCCTTTCATCAATTTCATGGAAATATTTCAATCAGATTTGAATGCCAACTCCATTGTAATTTTGGTATTTAGCCACTAATACTATTAGGGGTGTGTGGGGGGCAGGAGGTGGAGCTGGGGTAAAGAAAGGGAGAGAAAGATGGAGATGAGGAAAGATACTTCTTAACTACTAATTAAATTTATATAATGGCTATTGAAGTATTTAGGATTTTTCTTCATGAATTCATTTTAGAAAATTATGCCTTCTAGGATTTTATCTATCTTGTACACATTTTAAATGTCTCAGCATAAATTTCCTCATATCAACTGTCTGTTTTGTAATCTCTGCTACCTCTATAATTATGTCTTTTTATTAAGTTCTGATATGAATTTTTGTGATTTCTCTTTTTTTCTTGATAATACACTTTTCTCAGAAACAGCTGTTGGCTCTGTTACCCCTTCCCACTATTGTCCTTATTTTCTCTTTCATTAATTTCTCTTCTCATCGGTTATCCTTCCATTACATTATTTGGATTTCTTCTGATGTTATTTTTTTCTAACTTAAGTTGTATACTTAATTTTTACCTTTCTTTCCTATTTATTTTTGAGACAGAGTCAAGCTTTGTTGTCCAGGCTGGAGTGCAGTGGCAGGATCTCGAGTCACTGCACCCTTTGCCTCCCGGGTTCAAGTGATTCTCCTGCCTCAGCCTCCCCAGTAGCTGGGACTACAGGCGTGCACCACCACATCTGGCTAATTTTTGTACTTTTAGTAAAGACATAGAGACGGGGTTTCACTATGTGGGCCAGGCTGCTCTCAAACTCCTGACCTCAAGTGATCCTCCCACCTTGGCCTCCAAAAGTGTCAAGTTCCTAATTTCAATAACTAATCTCATAGATTGCTCTCACATAATGCTGTTTGCTGCATCTCCCAATTTTCAATTTGTGCAATTTTTATTATTTATTAGTAAGTGTTATCTAATTTCATTGTGATTCTTACAGAGATTTGAGTTTAAAACTATGCTCTACATTTTCTCATATTGCAGCCAATGCTCCTGTGCATGAGTCTTCATATTTTGCAAGTCTACTTTGGGATAGATTTTGAGATGTTGGACGATGGGTCAAAGTGTTAGTGCTTATGCAGCTTTGCTAGATGTTGCCAAACTCCTCTCCACAGGTGCTGAGTCAGCTTTCTTCACAACAATGTGGGCACAACCACACTAACGTAGTTACATGTGAAACTTCTAAAATTTTGTCTTGAAGTGGTTTCTCAGTATAGTTTTAATGTGAACTTTTTCACATTTTGAATGAGATTAAAAGCCATTTGTTCTTTTGTTTTTCTTTGAACTGTTTGTTCATGTCTCTGACATGCTTACATGGGCTTGTTGGTAGTCTTTTCTTCCCTATTTTTAGAGACTTGTTATATATTAAGGGTATTAACACCTTTGTGTTATGCCAGGCCTGTTTTGTTTTTTTGTTTTGTTTTGTTTTTCCTGTATACCATGTATCTTTTGCACTTTATTGAACTTTAGGTCATACAAAATTTTTCTATTTTCATATAATAAAATTTAATTATAATTTAATGATATTCTCAGGGTTTCTTCACCGCTTTCAAGGGGGTGTTCACTTTCTTCAGTAACGTGTGCTGCTTTGACAGGGAACAGCCAGCGTCAGCTGAAATCGGAATTCTCTGTCTCATGTTTTAGAAGAATTGATCTTTCTTTATTTCAGATAACCCTAAGGAATATCTTGGATGTCTTCACGGGGCTTATGACTTATTCTGAGGTTTACAAAATAGAGGCCCCCAGCTGAGCAAAGAGAGGGCTGCAGCGCCGAGGGAACAGCTGCCGGACTCACCGGAGAGGCCTCCTGGAGCACGCCGGGACCCCCTCCACCCCCTGGCTTTGGCTGCATCCATGGCTAGTTTGCCTGAACTATATCTGAGCCACTGAGAGTATTTATTAAGCAGAGAATAATTTTGAGTTTCACTTTTATAACTTTTGTTTCAAAAGTTGTTTTGGATAATTTAATGAAATGACTGTAAACCAGAATTCCCCTTTTCATTATTTCTTTGTGTCGATATAAAAAGAGTTGATGATTTTAAAAGCCAGTGAGATGTCCCTGTCTGTGGATGTCAGCGGGAGCGTGGGGTCTGAAGCCTTTCTCTGGTGGCTGTCCAGGAAGATTGCCCCAGCTTGCACTCCCTTTTGGCGGGTTCCAGAGCCTTCCATTTGAAAGGAGCATCTCTCCCCACTCTGCCCCACCCAGCACCAGCTCTTCTGGAACCCACTGACTTCCTAAACACTTTCTTCCTCCTTCACCTCATTGAATTCAAGACTTTAGAAAACAGCCAAAAACTCTAGAGGTGGGGGTGGGTGTGATCTGGAAATCCCTGCTGTAATCTTTTTAAGGGAATCCACTGGAAATTATTAATTTATGTTTTAAATAAAACCATTCCTTACTTCACAGAATATTAAGCCACTCACTTTTTAACAGAACTTTGAGATATAATTAAAATGCCGTAAATTTCACCCCCACACAGTGTACAGTTCCAAGGTTTCCAATATAGTCACAGAAGTCTCTGCAACAATTACCACAATTTTAGACATGAAGACCATTTGTTGGCAGCCCTACCTGTATCTATGTGTATATATATAATTTTAATATTGGATTAGATGTTATAGTATTTAATATTGTACTGTTACCTATTTGTGTCTTTATATTGCTGTTTTTTATTCAGGTGAATAATAATTATCTCCATATAGTCATACATTTATATAGGGTTAAAACATACCTTTTTACAATTCAATAAATTAAATTGGCCAGGCGTGGTGGCTCATGCCTGTAATCCCAGCACTTTGGGAGGCCGAGGGGGGCGGATCACCTGAGGTTGGGGGTTCGAGACCAGCCTGACCAACATGGAGAAACCCTGTCTGTACTAAAAATACAAAAAATTAGCCGGGTGTGGTGGCTCATGCCTGTAATCCCAGCTACTTGGGAGGCTGAGGCAGGAGAATCACTAGAACCCAGGAGGCGGACGTTGCGGTAAGCCGGGATCGCACCATTGCACTCCAGCCTGGGCAACAAGACCAAAACTCCATCTCAAGAAAAAAAAAAAAAAAAAAAGAAAGTAAATTGTTTTTAATTACTCACATAAGAAACACATGTGTTATTGTTATAAAAATTCACATAGTGCTTAGGTCTACAGAATAAACGTATCCCCGCCACCTCCCAGCCCACCCCCTCGTCTGCATTCACCTACACACAGTTAAACATGCACATATGTTTCCGTGACACGATCTTGTTTGCATATTGTTCACTGATTTGCTTTTCCATATAAGATTTAATTTGGTGATTATTGCTTATCAGTACCTATAGGTCTCTCTCATTATTATTTATAATTACATCATTATTCCATAGGGTATTTTACCATAATTTGGTCACTTTTTCACTGAGGAATTTTTATGTCAGTTTCAGTTATTTGTTATTGTTACCAATGCTGTACTGGGCATCCCTGTATATCCACCTTTTTGTTGCATTAGTTAAGTGGTTTTTTCCTTTTATGATTGATTTCTAAAAATAAAATACTGCAGCAAATGTTAATGTTTAATATTTTCATAAAATTAAAAATCTGTGTTCCAAAAAGAAATCAATGGTTTATACTTCTACCATCAGTGTATGAGAATTCCTATTTCCCCACACCCTTAATTACACAGGAAATTATCAATGTTTGCCAATTTTATGATTTTAAAATATTTTTACTTTTAATTTGGATTTCTCCACTTATTAGGGAGATTGTGCATATTTGTGTATGTGTGTTGGCCGTTTGTATTTCTCCCTGTGATTTTCATAATGATACGTTTTCCTAGTTTTCTAATTCATTTAGTGATATTCTTTATATGTTCTACACATTTATTATTTCCATATAATTACTGAGTTTTTTTTAAGGTCTGTGTCATAACTTTTACTTTGTTTATATTGTTTCTGTTTTGAAGAAGCTTTTCTTTTTACACAGTCAAATTTTCAATATTTTCCTTACCATTTCTGGATTTGTGACAGGCTTTCAATAGTTGATCCTTTTAGGGCTTTATTGATTTGTTTTGTTTTAAAGAACATGCTCAAATCCTACATTATATAGTGATTTACTTGTTCCCTTTATAACACGTGGTAGACATTACTAGTTCCAACTAATGTAGATTAAATGTATTCTTTTCAGTTGTGTAGTAATTCATATTATAGATACGTTCTGATTTCTTTCTTCTCTGTTAGATGGATATTAAGCTTATTTTTTAAAATTCCCACCACTAATGACTTTCCAGTAATCATCAATATACATAGATCCCCCCAATGTTTTTGGTTTTTTTTTGTTTTTATGTAGTATACGATTCTCAAAATTGTATAATTGAGTTATGACAAATTTAATTATAATTTAAAAAATACTGACATTATTCTTCACAAAGTTAATCAGATCACACTCTTACCAATTACATAAGTAGGCCTCTTCCTATCTAGGCTCAATAGCACTAAAAGTTTTTTAATAAAAATACTAATTTGGTTTGTGAAAAATCCCATAGGTGCTTTAATTAATCAACTAGTTCTATTTCAGTGAGTTGCCTATTCAGTGTGTGTGTGTGTGTGTGTGTGTGTGTGTGTGTGTGTGTGTGTTTATGGCTGAGCCGGCCCTGCCTGGGCCACAGCTACCCTAAACAGAGACGAAGGACTGTAGGTCAGAATCACAGCCCCCCTGAGGAGAGAGGTGTGTGAAGCAGAGTGGGGTGAGGTTCCCCCTCCCCTATGCAGGGGGTGAGCAGGATGAGGACAGGAGCCCAGGGAGTGGTGCAGACACAACTCCCACTTCCTGACACTGCTTTGGAGCTTGGGCTCCTTCAAAGCCGCCTTACAGATCCTAAAACCTTCATGGGGGCACAGCCACTGCATGCAAATAAGAGCTGTTACCTGTCTGTCCCTGGGCCTCCCTCTCCTGGGTTCTCACAGCTGACCCAGTGGGTGGAGGGGGGTCCTTGCTGTCAGCGTTGCAAGCCAAACCTATCCAGTGGGCACCCTGATGGCTGAACTCCCCTGGAGGCCCTGGGGGGTTTCCCAGCTGGGAAGGGCCATCTCAGGAGTGTCCCCACTGTCTCCCACTGCCCTCAGACCCCAAAGCCTTCCTGCCTCCCTGACACACCTGGGCATCTCAGTGTGAGGCCCGCAGTTTTCTAAAGCTGTTCATGGTGTGAGAGAGGGGCCAGGGCATCTGGGAACTGTAAACAAGGGTGCTGTCAGTGGAGGGAGGTCTCTCTTCCCGAAAGGAGCCGCAGCCACCTGCTTTCCAGCTGTACCAGCAGGGCATGTGTGCTATTTCCTCTCTGTCGGTGTTTCCTGGGAACTCTGCCTCCCGGGTTCAAGCGACTCTTCTGCTTCAGCCTCACCAGTAGCTGGGACTACAGGCATGCACTGCCACATCTGGCTAATTTTTGTACTTTTAGTAAAGACATAGAGACAGGTTTCACTATGTGGGCCAGGCTGGTCTCAAACTACTGACCTCAAGTGATCCTCCCACCTTGGCCTCCAAAAGTGTCAAGTTCCTAATTTCAATAACTAATCTCACAGATTGCTCTCACATAATGCTGTTTGCTGCATCTCCCAATTTTCAATTTGCGCAATTTTTATTATTTATTAGTAAGTGTTATCTAATTTCATTGTGATTCTTACAGAGATTTGAGTTTAAAACTATGCTCTACATTTTCTCATATTGCAGCCAATGCTCCTGTGCATGAGTCTTCATATTTTGCAAGTCTACTTTGGGATAGATTTTGAGATGTTGGACGATGGGTCAAAGTGTTAGTGCTTATGCAGCTTTGCTAGATGTTGCCAAACTCCTCTCCACAGGTGCTGAGTCAGCTTTCTTCACAACAATGTGGGCACAACCACACTAACGTAGTTACATGTGAAACTTCTGAAATTTTGTCTTGAAGTGGTTTCTCAGTGTAGTTTTAATGTGAACTTTTTCACATTTTGAATGAGATTAAAAGCCATTTGTTCTTTTGTTTCTCTTTGAACTGTTTATGTCTCTGACATGCTTACATGGGCTTGTTGGTACTCTTTTCTTCCCTGTTTTTAGAGACTTATTATATATTGAGTATATTAAAACCTTTGTGTTAGGCACAGAGTTTACTCACACCACACTCTCATCAGCCTCTCTTTTATCTATTTTTTTCCTTTATAACTATTTCAGATCATGTTTCCGTCCATCCCTGAGTCACCAACCCAAGTGTAAATAATGTGGACCACTCTTCCAAATAATCTCTACAGATACTTAAAGAATTCATAGAGTGTGTTTGCATTTTTGCATTAAATTATTTTCCCCCTTTAGGCCTCATCGGTTTTTTATTTTTTCTGAGATTTAAGCTCATACATTTAATTTTATCCATGTGTGCCTGTGAGCCTCTTCCGTGACTTCCAACTGGTCAGCATTGCGTCAACCACACTTTCCTTATAAACCCCCTTGTGCCGAGCAGCCAGGTTGCTACTGATACCAGCTCCCTCCTACAGTGAGGACGCCTCCTGCATCTTTCCTGCCTCTGAACGACAGAGGGCTTGGTGCTTGGAGAGTGCACACTTAATGTTCCTGTGTGCTGAGGAAATCCCTCAGGATGGTTGACCTCCTAAATACTCCCAGTTGTGAGAGTTTGACTCCCCATAACCTAACTAGCAATTTATTTTGATTCTTTTAAATTGCAACATTAGTTGTCTGCTCAGCACTCACTGGTTTCATGCCTGACTGAGAAATAAGTGTGCAGTTCTGGAGTGTCCACGAGAACCCACGGGTTTCGCTTGCCCGGGCTGTGCTGGCGGGCGGACCTCCATCCCTCTCCCTGCTTCCAGCCCAAGGGGCTCTGGCTGCTCCCGCCACTCCCATCGCGCTCCGCCCCAAGCCCCATCGCGCTCCGCCCCAAGCCCCATCGCGCTCCGCCCCAAGCCCCATCGCGCTCCGCCCCAAGCCCCTTTGCTTTCCCTTTGCCCTTCGTGGAGGGAGCCTCCCACAGAGACGTGCTGGGCTTCTCCACAGCCACTGCTTTTGCCTCAGGTGGATCTGAACCTATGTTCATATGACTTTTATTCATCCACATTTGCCTTCTGTAATTGCTTTGTTGTAATATTTGTCCATTTTTAATTAGGTTTCCATTTTATTTGTCTTTTCTATTTTTTTTCAGAATTCTCGGTAGTCCTTGCAAATATCTTTCCATTGTTTGATACCCTGTGCAATTTTACCTATTAAATCCTTCTTTGAACAAAACACCTTAAATAATAGTCGTGCAGGAACTCACAAGGTTATGTGGTTTCTCAGACAGAATAACACACCATGTACTCACTTTCGTCTGTCAAATTCACAGAAACCTCAGCAAGTTTGGCATAGTAAAGCATATGAAAGTGCACTCAATCACACATGATCTGAAGAATGCATATTCAAACTAGAGTTTCTCACTTCTACACCCACCAAAATAGACACGTTATCACAGAGAAAAATGCAGAGGGTTGGTGAGATTGTGGAGGAACTGGAGCTATCACATGTGACTCTGGGAACATACTTAATTTCATCCACTTTGATAAATGACTTTCTAGGGTGTACTAGAGTAATCGGTACCTGTGACCCTACAGTCCCACTCCTGCTACCTATGTCCAAAATACATGTATGAGGCAAAGATGTTGGCGTCCCCCTGGGGGGCTTTATAGCAGCGTCACTTCATGTAACTGTAGCAGGACAAGCCGCAGACAAAACCCCTCAGACACCGAATTAAAGCAGGAACGGCTTTATTCAGCTGGGAGCTTCGGCAAGACTCACGTCTCCAACAACTGAGCTCCCCGAGTGAGCAATTCCTGTCCCTTTTAAGGGCTCACAACTCTAAAAGTGTCTGCGTAAGAAGGTCATGATCGATTGAGCAAGCAGGGGGTACGTGACTGGGGGCTGCATGCACCGGTAATTAGAATGGAACAGAACAGGACAGGGATTTTCACAGTGCTTTTCTATACAATCTCTGTAATCTATAGATAACATAACCGATTAGGTCAGGGGTCAACCTTTAACTACCAGGCCCAGGGTGTGGTGCTGGGCTGTCTGCTTGTGGATTTCATTTCTGCCTTTTAGTTTTTACTTCTTCTTTCTTTGGAGGCAGAAATTGGGCATAAGACAATATAAGGGGAGGTCTCCTCCCTTATAACCATCATGATAAACAGAGTGAATGTAAAACATAGAGGGTGAAAACTCATTGTGCCAACTTCCTACAATGTAGATGTTATATATGGACAGGACCGAGCAGTACAAAATGCTGAATGTGTCATCACAATGGAACATAGGTGAAATTTACATGATATTCACGTGTAATTTTCATTCAGGCACAAAAGAGTACATACTGTAGGTTTCCATTTATACAGTGTTTAAAAATAAATTTAAAATATGTTGATCATGACCAGAATAGTGAGTGTCTCTTGGAAGTTACTGCCTAGGAATTAGCCAAAGAGCGGCTGCCAGGGTGTTCATATCTGGGCGGTGGTAACACAGTGTTTGTCAGAAGGCAACAATCTGTACAGGTAATATACTGTGCACTGCACCACAAGTAAAGCAACCATCAAATAAAAACAAAGTAACGCAAACTATTTTTCCATACGCAAACTTCCATCCTTACTGTCCCCTCTGAGTCCATCACATATTTTAAATAGAAGTAACTCCAATCTTGCATGCACACTTCTGGATATAGAGGGAACACACAATGCTCTCTTTTAATCGGGACAATCATGACAGCAAATTCAGCAAAAGACATCACAAGAAAGGTGAATTAAAAGCCAAATTCGGCTGGTGTGTGGGCTCCTGGGGACAGTGGGGTGTCCCCTCCCCTCACTCCAGCTGCCCTGATTTTCCAGCACAGGATTTGCTGGCCATGCCCTTCACTCTGTTTACACATCGCCCCCAGATGTGAACCCCTCTAGGACCTGGATGTGACTCAGTGTTCAGCACCCCTAGGGTCTCACAGAGCACTGGATACTTATGCCTGTGCCCAGGAAGTACGTACTGGATGAAAGATAACACTAGGCCATTGATGGCTACACTGGAAGGAAAACCCAGAGGCGGGGAGGTGACGTCTCCCTCATCTCTGAATCCCAGTTCTGGACTCCCTGGTGCCACAGTCATTAACCAGGTGCATCTGTATTTTAAATTAATTTTCAAATGTAATCTCCAGTACCTCATCACATCAGGCATATTTCCAGTGCCCGATAGCCCTGCGCTCACAAGGCAGAGGAAACATTCCCGTCTGTGCAGAACAGGCTCGTGGCAGTGGCTCCAACCTGGGACAGTGCCTGTTTGTGAATCACTGACCTGTAGGGTTGGAGCCCCACATTGATAAGGCTGGTGGGGAGAGCTGCAATGATCCGGAAGAGAGGGGAGTGGCACGTGGAAAGGGGGTCCTCTCTTGACGTGAACATTTGCAAATGTGAGCAGTGACTTGTTGAAGGTCTCTGATTCCAGAGAGCCCAGGTTAGTTCTGAGAAAGCAGAGGACGGAGCAGGGAGTTGCTGTGGCAGCTGGTGTGGCCTCCGGTGCAGCAGGGAGGATGGGCGAGTGCCTCTGGGTAACACCTTTCTTGTGGTACTTGTGTCTCCAGAGCTTGGATTGGCAACAGGAGACAAGACTCCAGCAGTGACGATGATGACGCTCCAGGTAGATGGGCACCCTGGAGAGGGGACGCCATGAAAGTGGCTTCCCGGGAGCAGTCCACTCAAGCCTGCCGCTTTGGAGACCAGGGAAGGAAGAGGGAGATGAAATTAGAAAAAAAAGAAAATGTGTTATGTTTAAATGTTCATGATGGTAAAAAAAGTGATGATGTCTAGGGCCTTTGAGTGTTGTGTTTGTCATCATCTTTTCTTGCTTTGCTTCTCAAACATTATCTTTCCCTCAGGACCTGCTCTTTTCTGCCTCTTCCACACCAAATCCCAAATACTTGGGTTCTATTGGTTATCGTCTCTTGAGAATTGGCTTGGTTTCTCCTGACTGCTTAGAGTAAAATGCAACAAGAGACTGGGTTTTGGAGCTGCAGGATGTCTGTGGGCGCAGCTCTCCCCAGGGCACTTGACACTGGGAGTCAGGTGGGGGTGGGGACTGGGCCCCTCCTGTCTGCACTCTCAGGTGGGGGTTGGGGGTGGGCCCCTCCTGTCTGCACTCTCAGGTAGGGGTGGGGACTGGGCCCCTCCTGTCTGCACTCTCAGGTGTTGTTGCAGCAACTTAGTGCTTCTGCCCCCTCTGCTGACTCC
This sequence comes from Homo sapiens, assembly GCF_000001405.40. Taxonomy (NCBI): domain Eukaryota; kingdom Metazoa; phylum Chordata; class Mammalia; order Primates; family Hominidae; genus Homo; species Homo sapiens. The sequence goes on from NC_000018.10 coordinate 12,231,374, forward strand.
TGCTTTGAAGGCACTCCCGTGGCTGTGGAACTTCCAGAATCAGCCTCGGTGTGATGCAGTTGTAGCAAACTCAGCCCCTTCTATGCTGAGCTCTGGAGCTGGGAGGGCACCTCAGAGTCCTGAACTGGGTGAGGGCCCTCCCACAGGGCCGCCCTCACCTCTCAGGGTCACCCCGGGGCCATCCAGGGCGGGGCTTTCAGACAGAGGAGTTTCCTTCAGGGGTCTCAGGCACCGGGTCATGGATGGAGTTGTGGCACATCAGCCACCGCAGGCTCCTGGGACCCGGGACTGGAGGAGCCTTCCCCAGCTGATCTTGCTCTGCAGAGCCCGGCCCACGGTACCCACTGGAGTCCCAGAGGCACAGGGTGCTGCCCCCAGTCCTGAGGGTCTTTCCTGTTCCTTGTGAGTGGTGGCGCTGGTCAGCACGTGGGTCAGCGTGGAGGATGCAGGAAGAAGAGCAGCACCACGCAGGTGGAACCAGGAGGGGCTGCTCCGTGAAAAGGGGGAAGGCTTTATATGGCCACGTGGCCAAAGAATCTGTATGAATGCCCAAAAGGCATATAAAATGTATGGAGCATTATGAATCCAAAATGGAACATTGCATCACAATGCTATCTCTTTACACAAACATAATAATGCCCACAGTGAACAGAGTGGGAAGAATTGATGAGGACACAGGCCACAATTTGAGGCAGGAGGGAGTTAAACCCAAAGTGCACGCTACCAGCAGCTCCTTAGAGGCCCATGTAGCCCCTCGGGAGGACTGCAGAGTCCAGGGGCAGGAGGCGGCACCCCCGCCCTTCCTCACAGCTCTCTGGAAGACCCTGTGGTTCGAGGTCACTTTCCTGAGGGCTCACCACATCGCCCGTGTACATATAACTAGGCAGGAGTATTGCCCATTAGGAGGCTACTTTGGTGCTGCAGCTTGGATTTTGGGCCAAGAGCTCAAGCACTTGCTGGCCTCACCCGCCCCAGCTGCTCCAGCCTCCCGGCCTCCAAACCTGCAGTTTCCTATGCCCGATGCCCCAGCCCCTGCACCAGCTGGACTCACCCTCACTCCGTATAGTTTTTATTTCCATATTCTTGTACAGTCTCCACTATTTTAACATTTCACATTCGTGTTGTACATTTGATAAAACTGTAGAAACCAATATTGATAAATATTGATACGTTATTAATCCAATGTCAGGGACCCACCATTATGCACCAAGTAGATTCACTGCCCTAAAACTCCTGCTTGGCCTCCTTCCCACGCCTGGACTTTGGTAACCACCGATCTTTTTACTGTTGTTATAATTCTAGCTTTTCTAGAATGCCATATTGCTGGAATTATACAGCCTTTTCCTATTGACTTTTTTTCACTTAGAAATGTGCATTTAGGCTAGGCTCATGCCTGTAATCCCAGCACTTTGGGAGGCCGAGATGGGCAGATCACGAGGTCAGAAGTTCCAGACCAGCCTTTTCAACATGATGAAACCCCATCTGTACTAAAAATGCAAAAATTAGCTCGGCGTGATGGCACGCACCTGTAATCCCAGCTACTTGGGAGGCTGAGGAGGAGAATTGCTTGAACTTGGATTAAATATATATACTCAGATTAAATGCATATAATTTAATTTAATTTAATATAATTAAATATAATTTAATCTGAGTCACAGCACCAAAAAAAAAAAACAAAAAAACAGAAATATGCATTTAAGTTGTCTCCATTCTGTTTTGTGGCCTGACAGCTCATTTATTTGAATCACTAGCGATACCTCATTGCATGGATGTACCACATTTGGTTTATCATCCACTGAACTGCCTTTTGGTTGCTCTCAGGTCTTAGCAATCATGAACGAAGCTGCTATAAGCGTCTGCGCACAGGCTTTGTGTGGACACACGTTTTCAACCCATGTGGGTGAGCACCTGATGTGACTGTGGGATGGGTGTAAAGCACATGTATAGCTGGGCGGGGACCTGCCATCTGTCTTCCAAAGGGGCTGACACCATCTGCATCCCCACCAGCCATGAACGAGTTACTCTGTGGCTAGTTTAGCTCAATTACTAGTTTCATTCATGTGTTCAACAGGGTTTCTCTATGCTGGCAGGTTAAAACTCAGACATCCTACACAATTTTAATAACATTCTTAAGGTCAAGTCTAGTTACTTACTTGAACTTTCTTATCAGTTGAATCCACCACACGCCTGCTATTTTCTCTGACCTGACAGTGGCTGTCTGATGGTGCAAACTTTGTATTCAGGAAATTCCCAAAGTGAGTCAGCAACAGCAGACCTTGTCACAATAACCTAAAACCCTCCCCTCGAGACCCCGGCCCCATTCCATGCTTGGTATATCATCAGCTATCTGATGTCTGTAAAAGATGACCATGTAGGCCAGGCACGATGGCTCATGCCTGTAATTCTAGCACTTTGGGAGGCCGAGGTGGGCGGATCACGATGTCAGGAGTTCAAGACCAGCCTGGCCAACATGGTGAAACCCTGTCTCTACTAAAAATACAAAAAGTTAGCCAGACGTGGCCTGTAACCTCAGCTACTTGGGAGGCTGAGGCAGGAGAATCACTTGAACCCAGGAGGCAGAAGTTGCAGTGAGCTGAGATCACACCATTGCACTCCAGCCTGGGCAACAGAGCAACAATTCGTCTTGAAAAAAAAAAGACTATGAAATTATAATTTTTAATAATTCATTTATGTTATAATTCTCAGCAGGGGAAGTGTTCTACCACCCATAACTGAAGATTCTGGACATTATTATAAAGGTCTGTTTTAGATCTGGGTAAAAATTTGGTCCACTTTTCTGCTGTTTTGTCTCTGGGGCAAGAAACATAAAGACCCCGAAGTCTATCCCATTCCTCTCGATAGGCTCAGGCTGAGGAACAAATTCAGGACCTTCATTCATTAGAAGCCACCCCTGTAACCCCTCCTACCTTCCTTAGTCGAGGGCAGATGGCTGAGGTGGAGGAAAGCTCCCTCAGCCTCCTTGGGCTACTCCAGTTTGCATTTGGGCCCCAGAGGAGTCTCTTCTGTGATGGGGCATGAGCCCAGTCTCCCCACAATGATCCCCTGAGCAGAATATTTCCTGAAAACAGGCTTCCAGTGAGAAGGGCCAGGCTGTTCCAGCCATGAGGAAAATGCCCTGCGGGGGACTCGAACATCCAAACAGCCAGGAGGGTCAAGGAGATGGACTCTGCTTTCCGCAAAGCTCCTGCACACTTCCGCGTCAAGGGCTTCTGTGATACTCAACACAATCCCATCTCCACATGGTCAGTGACAACCCCAACCAGGCAAGCTGTCCACCAGCACAAGAGGGAGTCTGCCCGCCCCCGATCAGCTCAGCTGGTCCACACTCCCAAAAACCCATATTCAGGGGTGGGGGGCAATTGTCCCCACTGGCACCACCTGCAAATGCAAGTAACGCAGTGTCCTGCAGTGCGGACACCAATCAGGCTTTACTGAGGACATTTTCAAGAGTGGGCTCGGCTCAGCGTGGCTCACGGTTCTTCTGCCTCTCGTGAGCCTCAGGGCAGCTGGGTGGATGTGGGCTTGTGCTCCAGGATCAGCACCCTCCAGATTCTCTGCTTTTTAATAAATGCAGTGGTAAGAGGCCGTGCAAGGAGGAGTGATGGGAGGAAGAAGCTCTAGCCGCTCAGGGGAGGTGCAAGGCCAAGACTGGAGTCAGTCTTACCGCTCTCGCTTGACCAGATTCTGAGCAGAATTGTGGGGGGCTGGTGTGGTAAGAATTCCTCCTTTCGTCAGCATGATCAGTGTCCTGAGACCTCGGCTGCAGCCTCCAGAGTGAGCCCCTTGTGGCTGTCACAACTTTCTAAGTGGAAGAACTTTTCATCTGTCCTCTTATGTTCAGTGCCTGGGGCCCTGCAAATTAAACTTTAAAAAGACAGATAAACAGGAAAAAGGCAAACAATTTTAAAAAAATTAATGTGGCTGAGTGGTGCGGTGGCTCACACCCTTAATCCCAGCACTTTGGGAGGCTGAGGCAGGTGGATTGCTTGAGGTAAAGAGTTCAAGACCAGCCTGGGCAACATAGCAAGACCCCGTCTTTACAAAACTTAATGAATTAAATAATTTAAATTGTTTAAATAAATGTTCTATGTGGATGAAAATTTACAGAAAACAAGTGAAACTCAAAGGAATGGTTAGACTCAGGGGCTTACCTGCCATTTTAACAGAGAAAAGGGGGTTTGGGCTTCATGGACGGCAAATCATGGAGAGGTGGCTGGGAACATATGGGGGACGCTAACAGAAGGTGAGGGTGAGTTTAGCAAGGTTTGTTCACGCTCACTCCCTCTCCAGTGAGAAGAGTCACTCTCCCCTCCTGGCGTGGAGAGGGGGAACCTTCACAGGGGAGTTTATGCCCTGCTTTCACATGGGAAAGGGGAGGGCAGACAGCTCGTCCTGCATATGCCCATTCTCAGTTTCCTCAGCTCAAAATAATCCTTATGCCAAAGTGGCACATTTGGGGGTGCATATTCAGGACCCTTTCAATATGTAAAGCACTTAGCACCACTGCTGGCCATATTGAGCGCTCATATTAAACATTTCTTATTACTTTTATATTTACCATAGTTAGGTTCTGAGCTGGGTGTAACATCATTCCTGTCCTCAAGAAGTTAACAGTTTGAAGCAAACGGAGAGACGCATGAACACAGACAGGTACACAAGGTCATCAGTGGTGAGTGCTGTGGAAACGCAGCCGAGGGCAGGGCACGCAGAAGGAGCAGTGCGTGATGTTGGCGTGGGGGTTCCAGGAGGTTCTGCAGGAGGGCCCCTCTTGAGCTGGGTCTTGGAAGAGGAGTGGGTTTTAGGTGGAGGAAGAGAAGAACTCTAAGCAGTAGAAACCACAGGAACGAGGACACGGAGTCCTCATGAACATGTGCAGCGAATTCAGGATCAGCGAGGGGCCCGTGTGGCCGGCGGGAGGGGGTGGCGTGGGCGGCAGGCAAGTGGGTCCAGGGGAATGGCCACAGTCACAGCAGCTGGCACCTGGCGGAGGCTCACCCTGGGCTGGCACACCGGGCTGGAAGGTCTTGGAGCTGCACGAGCCGTGCTAAAAACTCTGTGATTCATCTCGTAGCCAATGAGGGGCTATCGGACACATCTGAGCAGACTGCTGTTTGGGAAAGGACAGGCACACGCAGGCTCTTGGTAAATGCGCGGTGAATTAAATTGAACTGGATCATGGTATAAAGAGTCTATCTGGTGGCAAGTCCCATGTAAGGGGTTATAAAATAGAAGTCCTAGCAATGAAATAGGCCAAATGCAGTTGATAAGTGGAAGTAATGAGTGGGCCCAAGATCCCATAGCTCATTTTAGAATGAGTGAAAAATATAAGGCACAGTAGAGCAGCAGTTTCTACCACGGGCCACTGACTCACAGAGCTTGTGAATGACATGTGTGAAGCACCTAAGTGTCGTTTCTTATTCCTGAGGGAGTGAGGTGAAGATTCGCCCTGGCCTATGACAAAAAAGGGTCCTTCTGAGGCTGGGGGGATGTGCAGGCCCATCCTATCTCAGGAGTGGGGAATCTGGAAGCCATGTTCATAGCCTCCCTAGCTAAGTAGCTGCGAGTTCAGCTGAGCTGAGCTTCACGCTCTCCCCTGGGCTTGTAGGGCATTGTTCAGGGACACAGGAAGCCGCACCTGCGCTGGGGCGTACGCAGGGCAGGCAAAAATGACATAACTGTTACCATGGGCTCTGAAAGCCCTACGCTTGGGCTGCACTGGCCACAGCTCACCTCCTCTAGAGCTTCATAGAACGCACACGCTTGCAAACCCACAGGCGCGCTGATAAACCTCAGGGCTTCCCCCAGGGTCTCACCAATCCTCTATTGACAGCTGTGGCTGGAGAACCTCCACGCAAGCCAGAATGTGGGAAGATGGCCCGGTGGGTGGAGTGGGGGTGAGGACAGCAGGGGAGCCAGTCCAGGGGTGCTTTGTCTCAGCGGGAACTGTGCGGAGTTTGTCAGTGCCCGGTAACTGTCGTGTCGCCTGCCCCCTGGTGGCCGCGGGCGCACACCGCTCTCCCCAGGCCTTCCTGCACCGCCTCCTGATAGAGATGGGGCCATCTGGGGAGCAAACCGTGCCGGGAGCCAGTGTTGCCTGCAGAAACCACTGGGCACGAGAGCCTCCTCCCTGGACAGTGCAGAGGGTCTTGCCCCTGGAAACGCACAGGAGACGACCTTTGCTGTCTTTTGGCTTGAAATAACCTCCGGCTGTATTTCTACATTGGCTCCAAAGACACACGTTTCAGCCTCTGGAAAAGCAGGAGCGTTTGCTTACCCAGGGTCACTGTCGGATTCAGTGCTGGTCATGGGTGTCGTCCTCTGTTCCTGTGCTGGCCTCTGAACAATGCAGAAAAGGAAGGAAAAAGTGACCAGACAGTCAATCTTTGCTGCCCTAGTTTTTCATTTTTAAAAATTATGATGCCATATTTGCACACCCACGTTCATAGCAGCACTATTCACAGTAGTCAAGAGGTGGAAGCAGCCTAGATACCCATCGATGGGTGGATGCATGATCACCACGTACTGCATGCATGCAACGGAATATTATTCAACCGTCAAAAGGAAGGAAATCCTGAGACAAGCTGCATCATGGATGAAACTTAAAGACATCGTGCTAAGTGAAATGAGCCAGACACAGAAGAACAAATACTGTGTGATTCTACTTACATGAGGTACCCAGAGTGGTCCAATTCAAAGAGACAAAATACAAGCATGGTGGCCAGGGCCTGGGAAGGGGGTGGTGGAAGTTGCTGTTTAATGGGTGCAGAGTTTCAGTTTGGGATAATGAAAAAGTTCTAGATATCTGTTACATAGCAGTATGAATACACTTAACGCTACTGACCTGCACACTTAAAAATGGCTAAGATGGTAAAGTTTATGTGTTTTTTTACCACAATTAAACATTTTAAAAATTATTTTTTAAATATGATAACTATTGACTATTCTCTTTTTGCAGCATTATTTATTTTATATTTTACATTCTTTTGTGCTGAGGTGTAGTTTATATACAATAAGTTACACAGTTCTTCTGTGTTCAGTTTGATGAGCTTTGACTACACCAAACAAGATATGAAGAACATTTCCATCACTCAGAAAGTTCCCTCGTGTCTCCACCCCATCAGCCCCCTTCCCCAACCAGATAATTGCTTTCTGACTCTGTCACTAGACATTATTTTTCTCTTTGAGGTTAAAAATTATATTCAGTGAAATGCACAGTTCCAGGCATACAATTTGTGAGTTTGACAAATGTCTGTACCCACGTAACCAACACTGTAATCTAGATGCAGACATTCCCTATAGCTCCAGAAAGTCCTTTCTGTCCCTTCCTGCCTGTGACATCCTCTACCAAGGTCATCAGTGATCAATGTCCTAAAAACACAGCAAAGTTCTGGGGACACAGAAAGAGCAGTCTCCCCCGATAGGTCATTCTACGTGTTCTTGAACTTCACAGAAATGGAGTCGTGCAATCTGAGCTCTTTTATGCCTGGCCCTCCCACTCAGCATGTTTTTGGACTCACCCGTGCTGCTGTGTAGATCAGCAGCTTGTTCCTTTTTCTTGTCGAGTAGTATTCTGTTGCATAAATACACCAGCAACTGCTTATCTATTCTGTTAGTGAACATTAGTTAGGGCTGTTTCAGGTTTTGGTTGCTGTGAATAAGGCTGCTATGAATATTCTTGTGCAAGTCTTTTTGTCAACAAATGTTTTGTTTTTCTTGGGTGAAACACTGGGAGAAGTGGAGCTGCTAGGTAATAGGATAAATGTGCACTTTACTTTTCAAAAACTGCCAGAGTTTTCCACAATGACTCAACCATTTTGCACTCCTACCAGTCTTTTTCACATGACTTACACACAGTAAAGTTCATTCTTTTTAATGTATATTTCTGCACATTTTGACAAATGCATACAGTTATGTAACTACTGCCACCCTCGGGATATATGACAAGCCCATCGCCTCCAAAATTCCCATGTGTCCCCATCATAGGCTCCCTCCCCACAACTCTGCCTCCTGGTCACCCTGATCTGCTCCTATATTTTTGCCTTTTCCAGAATGCCACATAAATGGAATGATGCAGTGCATGGTCATTTGAATCTGGCTTCTCTCTTCGCATAATGCATTTGGGGTTCATGCGTGTTGTTGGAGGTGTCAGTAGCTCGTTCCTGTTTACCGCTGGGTAGTGTCCATTTACGAACACACCAGCTTGTTCATCCCTGGCTGGGGCACGTACATCCATGCAGTTCAGTGGCATTCACACTGAATTCCATTCCCATTGCTGTGCAATCATCACCACCACCCACTTCCAGGACTTTTTCATCATTCCAAACAGAAACTCTGTACCCATTCAACAATGGTGCCCTACTTCTGCCCCCACCCCAGCCTCTGGGAACCTCTATTCAATTCTGTCTCTATGAATTTGACTACTCTAGGTACCTCATGTAAGTGGAATCATACAATATTTGTCCTTTTGTGATAGACTTATTTTATTTAGCATAATGTCCCCGAGGTTTAATCACGTTTTAGCATGTATCAAAATCTCATTCCTTTTTAAGGCTGAATAGCATTCCATTGTCTGGCAATGCCACATTTTGTTTGTCCATTCATCTGTGGATGGCCATTTGTGTCATTTTCACCTTTTGACTATTGTGAATAATGCTGCAATGAACGAGTGTTCATTTGAGTCTCCGCTTTCAGTTCTTTTGGATATATACCTGAAAGTGACATTGCTGAATCATATGTCAATTCTGTTTAACTTTTTAAAGAAAAACTAAAGTGTTATCTTTTTTTCTTGCAGTGGCTGCACCATTTTACATTCCCATCAGCAATGCACGATGGGCTCCAATTCCTCCGCATATTCACCAGCATTTGTTACTTCCCTTTTTGTTGAAAATTGCCATCCTAATGGGTATGAAGCGGTACGTCATTGTGGACTTGATTTGCATTTCCCTATTAATTAGTGATGTTGAGCATCTTTTCATGTGCTTATTGGACATTTGCATATCTTCTTTGGAAAATTATCTGTTCAAGTTCTTTGCCCACTTTCGAACTGGGTTGTTGAGTTGTAGGAGTTCTTTATATATTCTGGATATTAAGCCCTTATTAGATATATGATTTGCAAATATTTCTCCCATTCTGTGAGTTATCTTTTCACTTTCTTTATAGTAAGAATTTAATGAGCTTTTTATGCAATTGTAAATGGTATTTAAAATTTTCCATTTCTAATTATTCATTGCTAGTATATAGAAAAATCATTGATATTTGTATATTGACCTTATACTTAGTGACTCTTCTGAATTCACTTGTTAGCTCTAGTAGCTCTTTGCATTTTCTACATTAAAAAATTATGTCATTGCAAGAAGATAATGTTTTATTTCTTCCCTTGCAATCTGTGTGCTTTCTTTCTTTTTCTTGCCTATTGCACTGGCTAGAGACTCCAGTATGATGTTAAACAGGGGTGGGGAGGGAGGGCATCCTTGCCTTGTTCTCAATCTTAGGGGGAAAGCATTCAATCTTTCACTATAATGTTAGTTATAAGATTATTTAAAAATTGAGATATAATTCACATATGATAAAAGTCACAATTTTAAAGTTTAAAATCATTGTTGTTCAGTTTATTCCCAAGGTTATCCAATCGTCATCACTACCTAATCCAAAACATTTTCTTTTTTTTTTTCTTGAGACAGAGTATTTTAGAGTGCAGATCTCCCCACGGCACTCCAGTCACCCAGGCTCACTGCAGCCTCCGCCTTCCAGGTTCAAGCGATTCTCTTGCCTCTGCCTCCTGAGTAGCTGGGATTACAGGCGTGTGCCACCAAGCCTGGCTAATTTTTGTATTTTTAGTAGAGACGGGGTTTTACCATGTTGGCCATGCTGGTTTCCAGCTCCCGACCTCAAGTGATTCACCCTCCTCGCCCTTCCAAAGTGCTGAGATTACGGGTGTGAGCCACCGTGCCCCGCCTCTAATCCAAAACATTTTCATCACTCCAAAAAGAAATCCCATAGCGCCACCAGCAGCCACTCCCCATCTCCCCCTCCTCCCAGACCCTGGCAACCACGACCCTATTTCTATTTCTGTGCATTTGCCTATTCTGGACATGTCTGGCTCCTTCCACCATGCATGATGTTTTCAAGCTTGATTCCTCTTACAGTGCATATCAGCACTTCACTCCTTTTTCTGGCTGAACACTATGCCATTGTATGGATGTGCTACATTCTGTTTATCCACTCATCAGTTGATGGACATTTGGATTATTTTCACTCTTGGTTATCATGAATGATGCTGCTGGGAGTATTCCTGTAGAGATTTTTGTGTGAACACAGATTTTCAGTCCTTTTGAGTAGGTATGTAGGAGTGGAATTGCTGGGTCATAAGGCAACTCTATGTTTAACTTTTTGAGGAGCTGCCAAACTGTTTTCACAGCAGCTGCACCATTTTACATTCCCGCCAGCACCAGGAGTGTGTGAGGGCCATTTCTCCACATCCCATCAACACTTGCTATTTTCCATTGTGTTTTTTCAATACATACATAAATGACAAGATGATCATATGGTTTTTCTTCTTTAGTCTGTTGATGTGGTGAATTATCTTGATGGGGCTTCACCTGTTGAACCTGCCTTGACCAGCAGTGGCCATAACGTGAGCACCTTTCATGTGTTGAGCGGCCATTTGTGTATCTTCTTTTGTCAACTGGCCGTTCAATCTCATGTCCACTTTTGATTTGGGTTCTTCATCTTTTTATTGTTGATTTTCAGGAGTTCTCTAAAGACGCCTCTTCACATATATTTTCTGCAAATATTTCCCCCAGTGTGTAGCTTACCTCTTCCATTTTGTTGGATTGTTATTTGGTAAGCAGAACATTTCAAAATTTAATGAAGTCCAATTTATCAATTTCTTGTTTTACCGATAGTGTTTTTTTTGGGTTTTTTGGGGCTTTGTTTTTGACAGATCTCACTCTGTCCCCCAGGCTTGATTGAGTGCAGTGGCACAATCACTGCTCACTGCAGCCTTGACCTCCCGGGCTCAAGTGATCCTCCTGCCTGGGGCTCCCAAGTAGCTAGGACTATTGTCCCATGCATCACTGCATCCAGCTACCTTTTTATTTTTTGTAGAGACGAGGTCTCTCTCTGTTGCCCAGGCTAGTCTCAAACTTCTGGGCTAAAGCAATCTTCCCGGCTCTACCTCCCAAAGTGCTGGGGTTACAGGCATGAGCCACCACATCCAGCCAGTGTTTTTTGCACCATCTCCAAGAAATCTGTGTCTGCCCTAAGTTGTAAAGACAGTTCCTTCTTTTCTTCTAGAAGCCTTACGGTTCTGGCTCTTCTATGGGGGCCTATGACGCATCCTGAATTCCTTTTGCAGGTGGTGTGAGAGAGGTCTGAGGCCCATGTCTTTCTATGTGAATATCTAGTAGTTCCAGCCACAAGTGTTAAAAAAAAAAAAACCTCTCCTTTCCCCATTGGGTTAACTTAGACTCTTAGTCAGTATTCCTTTTTTTTAAAAGAACTCTTCCCTCTCCCCCTCCCCCTCCCCCTCTCCCTCTCCCCTTTCTTTCTTCAGACTCCCTCTGTCGCCGAGGCTGGACTGTACTGCCGTGATCTCAACTCGCTGCAACCTCCCTGCCTCGGGCTCCCGTGATTCTCCTGCCTCGGCTAACCGAGTGCCTGGGATTGCAGGCACGTGCCGCCATGCCTGACTGGTTTTTTGCGTTTTTGGTGAAGATGGGGTTTCGCCGTGTTGACCGGGCTGATCTCCAGCTCCTGACCTCGAGTGATCTGCCTGCCTCGGCCTCCCAAGGTGCTGGGATTGCAGACGGAGTCTCGCTCACTCAATGCTCAATGTTGCCCAGGCTGGAGTGCAGTGGCGTGATCTCTGCTCGCTACAACCTCCACCTCCCAGCTGCCAGCCTTGGCCTCCCAAAGTGCTAAGATTACAGCCTCTGCCCGGCCCCCCCGTCTAGGAAGTGAGGAGCGCCTCTGCCCGGCTGCCCCGTCTGGGAGGTGAGAAGCGCCTCTGCCCGGCTGCCCCGTCTGGGAGGTGGGGAGCGCCACTGCCTGGCCGCCCCGTCTGGGAGGTGGGGAGCGCCTCTGCCAGACTGCCCCATCTAGGAAGCGAGCGCCTCTGCCCGGCTGCCCCGTCTGGGAGGTGGGGAGCGCCTCTGCCCGGCTGCCCAGTCTGGGAGGTGAGGAGCGCCTCTGCCCGGCCGCCCCATCTAGGAAGTGAGCACCTCTGCCCGGCCGCCCCGTCTGGGTGGTGTACCCAACAGCTCTGAAGAGACAGCGACCATCAAGAACGGGCCATGATGACGATGGTGGTTTTGTAGAAAAGAAAAGGGGGAAATGTGGGGAAAAGAAAGAGAAAACAGATTGTTACTGTGTCTGTGTAGAAAGAAGTAGACATAGGAAACTCCATTTTGTTCTGTACTAAGAAAAATTCTTCTGCCTTGGGATGCTGTTAATCTGTAACCTTACCCCCAACCCCGTGCTCTCTGAAACATGTGCTGTGTCCACTCAGGGTTAAATGGACTAAGGGCGGTGCAAGTTGTGCTTTGTTAAACAGATGCTTGAAGACAGCATGCTCGTTAAGAGTCATCACCACTCCCTAATCTCAAGTATCCAGGGACACAAACACTGCGGAAGGCCGCAGGGCCCTCTGCCTAGGAAAACCAGAGAACTTTGTTCACGTGTTTATCTGCTGACCTTCTCTCCACTATTATCCTATGACCCTGCCACATCCCCCTCTCCGAGAAACACCCAAGGATGATCAATAAATACTAAAAAAAAAAAAAAAAGAATTCTTCACAATTATGTCTATATAATTACACAGAAGTAACTGAAGAGCATTCTGAGCTGATATTGAAAGATAACTAATCAATTAATACCTTATATTGGTAATACATGCATGTGGTTTTAATTGAAATTAAAAGGTACAAAATTCAAAAAGTACGAAAGATCACAGGAAAAATCTCAATTTCCTTTCCATTTCTGTTTCATATCCCCAGTGCCATCCACTAAGGCAAATGCTGTGGGCAGTTTTCTGAGAAACTTAAAAAGCCGGACTCCACAAAACCAAATATTGAGGTTCTGGTTGAGGCCTGAGAGTCTGGGAGTTTTGTGTGTCCATGTGTGTTAAAGGTGCAAATACGAGGTGGGTATTGCAAACAACTCCAGCTCATTCTCAGGGACTCACCTGAGACATTATAAGCAGTGCCTCAGAATTCTTACAAGGCCTTATTTAATTCTCTCTTTCCATCTTATGTAGGTAAAGAGAAACATTGTACGACTGAGTTTGAAGTTCACACATAATGTGAGGTGGTAAGCTTGTTTCTTTTGTTTTTCTTCTTTCTATTTTGTCAATATTTGTAGACCAACCCATCAGATTCCATGCCCTGTAGGAGCATCAGAAATTGCAAATTTAAGAGGAAAAAGTGGAGGAGCTCAGGAAGACAATAATGAGGATACATTGTTTACTCGGTAAAAATTACTGCACTAGAGCATCCATGGTGAACACAGTTAGTGGGTTTTTGAATTTTTTCTGTCCTTTAAGCAGTTTTCATCTAGTCACATGATCCTTGGGGTTCTGTCATTTCAGGTTGTCTTTAATTATGAAGTGGAAAGGAGGGGAATGCCTTTCTCTTAGCCAATCCTGGGTGTCATATAATAATAAGGGAGAGAAGATTCTGGTTGCATTAACACGATTTTTATGAGAGCTTCCCTTTCTCTGAATGTTGGCTATTGAATCCAGGTATGTCACTTCATGACTATGCTGCTATTTCAGAAAGTGTAATCGCCTGAAACACGTGCTCCACTTAGGGCTCTAACATAAATCCCTCGAAATGCCGAAACTTCGCCTTTTCCAAACAAGTCATTTTTCTTCTGGCCCCAGGGCTGCAGTCAGAGCTCGGCCTGCCCCACCTAAGAAGACAGGGTTGGCGGCCGCAGTAGCTCACGTCTGTAATCCAGGCCCTTTGGGAGGCCGAGGCGGGTGGATCACGAGGTCAGGAGTTCAAGATTAGCCTGACCAAGATGGTGAATCGCCGTCTCTACTAAAACTACAAAAATTATCCAGGCGCAGTGGCAGGCACCTGTAATCCCAGCTACTCAGGAGGCTGAAGCAGGAGAATCACTTGAACCCAGGCCGCAGAGGTTGCAGTGAGCCGAGATCGCACCGCTGCACTCCCGCCTGGGTGACAGAGTGAGATTCTGTCAAAAAAAAAAAAGGAAGGCAGGGTCGGCCCTCAGACCCACTCCCCATCCCGTGGTGTGCTGAAGGGGGCCCTGGCACCAGGTCACTGTGCTCTGCTGGGGCCTCTCAAACCACGGCCATGCCAGGGAGGAGGCAGCGTTGAGCAGCCACTGGCTCTTTCTGGTCAGGGCCACCCCACCCAGCAGGGTCAAAAGAGGACCATTTCCATGAGCTGAAGGGAGGCACCAGGGAGGGCAGAGGCTGGAGCTCCAGGCTGGAGGTGAAGATGGCAAAACCCGGGCATGAGGAACAACGACGCAAAGCCAGCCGGGTGCAGAGCCGCCGCAACCCCACAGCCGCCACCAACCTCCTTCCTGCCCTTTCTGCACGAGACCTGCCGACTGAGTGGACCAAATACACACCAGGGGTGCCGCGGCTGCCAGAAACGGTTCTCGGAAGTGGAATTGGTGGAGGAAAGGTGAGGCTCATTTGTTCAAGTTTTGATACATATTTACCCAATTACTTTCCAAAGAGTGGAGCAGGTGATCCTCCCATCAGCAGTAAGAGTACAAATTCCTGTTTCGTTGCACCCTCCCCAACATGGCTGGGTTCTTTTAAACAAGCTTTACCAAACGGACAGGCAAAAGGCGGCATCCAGGGACTGTTTTATTTCCCTTTGATTATCCGTCATCCTGGACATTTCCTCAAGGGCAATTCTCACCAGCCATTTCCATCCGTTTTTCTGTTTTTCTATTGTTTGAAAAGGTAAGTTTCTGAATAAGGTTGGAAGGAAGGCATAAACCGCAGTTATTACATTATCATTAGTATGATGTTGATGTCATAGAAAGGGGAAGGAGAGCACTGTAGAGACACCGTCCAGCCAAGCTTCATGGTCAGCACAGGGAAAGGGGCTGCATACATGCAGGAAAGAGAAGCAAGGCGGGATCTATTGAAATTTTAAAATACACAGCTTTGCAGACGCCGCTGCCTCCCAGAGTCCCCTGCCATCAGCCATGGTCAACCCCACCGTGTTCTTTGACATTGCCATTGGTGGTGAGCCCTTGGGCTGGTCTCCTTCCGAATATTTGCGGACAAAGTTCCAAAAATAGCAGAAAACTTTCATGCTCTGAACCCTGAAGAGAAAGAATTTGCCTATGAGGGTTCCTGCTTCCACAGAATTATTCCAGGTCTTGTTGCCAGGCTGGCGACTTCACAGGCCATAATGACACTGGCGGCAAGTCTGCAGGGAGAAAATTGATGACAAGGACTTCATCCTGATTCATCTGGGTCCTGGTGTCTTGTCCATGGCAAATGCTGGACCTAACACAAACAGGTCCCAGTATCTCACCGGCGCAGCCAGGACTGAGTGGGTGGCAAGCACGTGGTCTTTGGCAAGGTGCATGGACACGGTGGAAGCCACGGAGCGCCTGGGCCCAGGAATGGCACGACCAGCAGCGGATCACCACTGCCGACTGTGGACAGCGCTAACGATTTGACTTGTGTTTTCTCTTAACCACCGGCGCACTCCTTCTGTAGCTCAGGAGCGCCCCCTCCACCCCATTGCTCACAGCGTCCTATCATCTTTGTGCTCCCGCTGCAGTTCTTTGGCTTCCACAGTTTTCTTACTTCCCTCCATATTTAGCTGGACTGCACTTTATGGTTATGAAATAAAAACGAAATAACAAAATAAATAAATAAATGAAATATACATACCCTAAAACCCACCAATTCCACTTCTTGGTATTACCCCCAGCGAGGCACCCACGGAGACAGGATGCATGCGAGCATGCTCAGGAGAGCACTGTGGATGCCAAGGACCAACTGGAAACAGCGCAGAGGGCAGCAAGAGGGAGATGTTCGCTGTGATGCGCTGTACACCTGCCGGGAACTCCAGGCAGTTACAACAGCGGGGCAGTCCCCGTGCCCGGGGACAGGAAGAGCTACACACTGTTGGGTGAGAAAGCAAGCTGTGAACATTCCGTGGAATATGATACCGCTGTGCAAACCACCCACAGTGCAGAATCCCACTTGTGATGTGTGGGTATCACCCACAGGACAAGGCACTGGAGGATTCAGAGCGAGCTGAGGACGGGGCAGGAGAGGGGCAGGATTGGAGGCCATGATCCCAGAAGATTTTGCCTTCTCCACAACGTTTACATAAAAATCATTAATAATGACACAGTATTTATCTATTACTTATAGAGTTAAGATGTTATTAAAACCTTTCTGGAAGATCAGGACATTTTGTATGGAGAGCCTGGGGCTGGTGTCTTGGACGTGCTGCTGTTGACGCTGACACCCCCATTGCACGAAGCAGAGTCTGCTCTGCCCTCCTGCCCAGTTGGGAAAGTCCTGGAATTAGCTCTGAACACAGGCTTCTTTGGCCACTTTTTTTGGACAGAAAAACACATATAGAAGTCAGTGAAAAGAACATCACCTTTGTTCCTATATTTGGAAGGAAAATAAACATCCAAGCCCAGCAACAGCCACAACCAAAACAAGTGTCCGGAGTGCCCAGCTTGTTAATAGCACAAAGCACTGAAGGGTCGGCTGCAGCCTGCAGAGACCATGCCTCCCCTCAGAGCAGGCTTCCCAGCCTGTGGCACAGGGGACCCCCAGAGTGTGAGCACAATGTCGCTGGGTTATATGAGTCTTTTCGGAGAGAAGGGCTATCACTCTCATCAGACGTTTCAGGGATTTTGAGCCCCAAAAGGTTAAGAATCAATGTATGGGGGCCCCATTAAATATCGTAGGCATGAAATAATACAAGATTGAGTTTTGTTAAATTTTATTTTATTTTGTTTTTTAGATACAGAATCTCAATCTGTTGCCCAGGCTGGAGTGCAGCAATGCAATCATAGCTCAGTGCAGCGTTGAACTCCTGGGCCCAAGTGATCCTCCCACCTCAGCATCCAGAGTAGCTGGGACCACAGGTATCCCCCACCGCACCCAGCTAATTAGTTCATTTTTGTAGAAATGGGGTTTCACTATGCTGCCCAGGCTGGTCTCAAACTCCTGGCCTCAAGAGATCCTCCTGCCTTGGCCTCCCAAAGTGCTAGGATTACAGGTGTGAGTCACCACGCCCAGCCTGCCACATTGAGTTTTTATTGTAAGCTGCCCAAGAAATCAAGAAATTCTTAATGTCTACTCCAGAATTAAAAGGATCTTTTGCTTTTCACCTAGTTGGACAAGCAATTGTCTACACTGAGTTTCCTCACACAAGTTTCCTCACACAAGTTTCCTGACTGCCCTCACCCTTTGCAACCTTGGGTACCAACTCTGAAACCTAGGACCTGCACTTCAAATCGGGCATTGCTGAGGGCAGGTGAATTTCAACTCCTCCTGTTCGGAATGTGCTGCAGCTGCCCTCTCAAATTCAGCTCTCTGCATACATGACAGCATACACGACAGATGCAGAGAGCCGGATTTCCCTGTTTATGGTTATTCTGTGTGTGGAACTGAGGCTTGGAATTGGAACACCGAGGAGAGATGGCGCCCTGACTTCCTGCGTAATCTTTCCCACACCACAGGGCTCACCAGCCCTGGGCCATCAAGTGTGAACCCACTAAAGCCCCATCTGCTGCCCTGGCCCTTCTGCCTACAAACCCGCTCACTTTCCTAACGGGCACGCCTGACCTCATTAGTTAACAATGTGAAGAAAGACATCTTAGTCGACTGCAAGCAATGCTCCTCAATTTTGTGAAAATTCACCTTAGTTTTTTGCTGTAACCCAGCTCATGGCCAAGGCATCGTTGCATAGATTTGAGACACTAGAAATCAAACCTGAACTGCCGGAAGTGCAGATGCCCAGGCAGACCTCCTGGTCAGGCTTCAAATCCCACCTTCCACACCTGTTCCTGGGAGATGAAGTTTGTACCCATGGTCATCTGTCCCTCTGCCACTCCATTCAGATGTGTCCACGTCTCCATGGCCCCTCCATCCAAGAGAAAGCAACACACATGTGCAACCAGGAAACATACAAAAGTGCCTTGCAGCCTTGTGGATCCTTACCGGCCAGATAGCCATGGGCTGTGGAATGGAACATAAATATCACACAATGCAGTTTTCCTTGGCAGCAAAAATGAGCAAACAAATAACATACATAATAAAATGAATAATTTCACAGGCACAATGAAGAGTGAACAAAACCAGGCACAAATGAGAACACCCTGCGTGATTCTATTTATACAAAGTTCAAGAATACGCAAAATGAACCTGTTGTAATGGAAGGCAAAACAGTGTGATCTCCCAATGAGATACCATCTCACACCAGTTAGAATGGCAATCATTAAAAAGTCAGGAAACAACAGGTGCTGGAGAGGATGTGGAGAAATAGGAACACTTTTACACTGTTGGTGGGACTGTAAACTAGTTCAACCATTGTGGAAGTCAGTGTGGTGATTCCTCAGGGATCTAGAACTAGAAATACCATTTGACCCAGCCATCCCATTACTGGGATATACCCAAAGGATTATAAATCATGCTGCTATAAAGACACATGTACACGTATGTTTATTGCAGCACTAATTCACAATAGCAAAGACTTGGAACCAACCCAAATGTCCAACAATGATAGACTGGATTAAGAAAATGTGGCACATATACACCATGGAATACTAAGCCATAAAAAATGATGAGCTCATGTCCTTTGTAGGGAGGGACATGGATGAAATTGGAAATCATCATTCTCAGTAAACTATCGCAAGGACAAAAACCAAACACCGCATGTTCTCACTCATAGGTGGGAATTGAACAATGAGAACACATGGACACAGGAAGGGGAACATCACACTCTGGGGACTGTGGTGGGGTGGGGGGAGGGGGGAGGGATAGCATTAGGAGATATACCTAATGCTAAATGACGAGTTAATGGGTGCAGCACACCAGCATGGCACATGTATACATATGTAACTAACCTGCACATTGTGCACAGGTACCCTAAAACTTAAAGTATAATAATAATAAAATAAAATAAAATAAACAGTGTGATCTCCAGTGTGGGGTGGGTGGTACGGCCTTGAAGGGGCAAAGGGAGCCTAATGGGCACTGCAAATATTCTGTCTTGATCCAAGCAGTTTATGAACATAAACATTCACACAAAGATCTGTGCATTTTCGCAGATGCACATTATTCTGCAGTACAATTGTTCTTAATTTTTTAAAGCCCAGCATGAACCAACTGGTAGCCCAAGGGCAAGGAGCAGCCCGTGGGGCAGCCTCCTGAGCACAGGGCTGGACAGAGAGGGCGGGGGAATGGACCTGGTGGAGAGCTAACCAGTGAGATGCTCAGAAAATGCTTGCTGAGTGGGACAGCAATCATTTACACCTTAGTATAAATAACTATAGAAAGTTTTTTCAAACAGGGAGGCTGGAAGCTATACGGAAATAGGAGGACACTTGGCTTTGGCAAATAGCAGAGCAAATTGAAATAAATTATTTGCCTTACTGACCATTCTGCTGAAGATGCCCTGGCTATGTGTTTAACGGTGTTTGGATTAGTCCTCTTCCAGTGCTTGATGGTTCACAATGTATTTCAAAAGCATTACCTCACTCGACTCTCACTGCACCCCACTGAAACTTGGTAAAAAGTGCATGTCATCAGGGATCAGTAGGAATAAAGAAACTGAAGCTCAAAAAGGAAAGTTCCCACAGTGACAGAATTTGAAAGTAGCAAGGCCAAAGTTCAGGGATGATTGTTTCCTCCACCAAAAAAAAACAAAAACAGAAATTGGATTAGAAACTGGAGTTTCTTTGAACCCTAAGCACCGATGTTTATAACGTATTGCGGTAAGTGGGAATCAATTTCTGTTTCAGGCACGCGCTCTTGGCTAGGAGTAGGGAGTGGAGCCGTTCATTGCTGTCGTGGTCAGTCCCACTCACGCTGCTGGAGCTGACCAGGCCGGCCCTTCCCTCATGGCATTTGAGTCTCACACACCCTGTGAGACAGACAGGCCGCTGCCCTGTGACAGATGAAGATCTGAGGCTTGGGGTAGTTATGTGACTGGCCCAAGGTCACCCAGCTAGAGGAGGCAAAACCAGGCTAGGAACCTAGGTCTCTGCACTCCAGAGCATGGGCTGTGCCCAGCACATGCTGAGACTCGGGGAGTGGGGAGGCATCCATACTTTGGAGAAAGAGCAGAGCCCACTGTGGCATCACCCCACAGATACTGCTGGGAGCCGAGGGAAGGCAATGCTGAGGTCCCTCCCTGAGGGTGTGGGTGTCAGGTGGAGCCCACTGTTCACAGCTGCACAGGCTCTGTGACAACAAACATTTGGTGAATTGAACTAAAAAGCTGGGTTCCCAATCCTGGTTGCCCGGGCACAGAGTAGTTGTTGAACATGGATGAATGAAACCTGTCGAGTGAGAGTGGAATGAATTTGTGTGCTGGAGACGAGAATATGCTGGAAGGCTGGGCATGACTCGCACTGTTGTCTTCTCCATCATCTGTTGGGTTTGCAGCCAAGTCCCCTGGAGCTCAGTCTGCCCTCTGCCCTCTCCCACCTCTCCCCACCACCCTCCTAGCGCAGCACTCCAGGATTCCCACTCAGCAGCAGGGCAGTGACCGACTTTTACTCCCAGCCTGAAGATCTGCATGAGAACCAATGCACACCAGGGCTATGCTGCCTCCGTGACCAAGGGGTCCCCAGGGCCTGGTCTCACCACCATCTCCGCTTCCACCACAGACTTGCTCCCGTCCAGGATTCCTCATCTCTCCAGTCTCCCAAGCTCAAAACCCCAGGGTGATCTCCTGCTGGGTCCCTTCTGCCATCGCCATGGCCTGGAAATGTTTGCTAGTCCCCACCCCACCCCCATGTCCACACTCAGTGCCCAGGTCTTTATTTTTATTTTGTTAGAAGTGATAATGTCACTATGGTTATGTATGAGATCATGTCCTTGTTTCTCCAGAGATGCAAGCTAAAGGATTTAATTTGGAAGGGTTCAAATTCAAATATAAAGAACAAAGAAATATGTCAAAATGTTAACAGTGGTTGAATCCAGGGGCTGGGTGTAAGTGTGCTCATTGTACTGTTCTCTCTTATCTATCTATCTATCTATCTATCTATCTATCTATCTATCTATCTTATATATAGATAGATAGATATATACACACAAACAGATTTTTTTCTTTCTTTAGAGAGAAAGTCTCACTCTGTTGCCCATATTGGAGTGCAGTGACATGATCACAGCTCACTGCAACCTCAAACTCCTGGGCTCAGGTGATCCTCCCTCCTCAGCCTCCTGAGTAGCTAGCACTACAGGTGCTCGCCGTCATGCTTGGCTAATTATCGTTATTTTTGTGTAGAGATAGTAGTCTCACAGTGTTACCCAGGCTGGTCTCAAATTCCTGGCTTCAAGCCATCCTCCTGTTTTGGCCTCCCAAAGTACTGGGATTACAGATGTAAGCCAGTACCCTCAGCCCTGTTCTTTCTATGTATCTCTATATTTGAACTTTTTCACAATAAAAAGGTTAGAGGTAAGTTGACCTGAATTGATTGGACCCATTTTCTCATCCATCACATTGGGGCTGTGAGTGGGAGGGGCAGTGAATGACCTCCTAAAGCTGTGTCCGCTCAGTGCCTCTGGGGGAAGCTGCCCCCTGTGAGCCTGGAGCTGGGTGTTCCCAGCAGGCGGAGTCCTTGACTCTGGAAGGCAATTGCCTTTGGCTTCAACAGTCCTGCAAGTCACAAGGCTTGTTGACCACGGTGACCCTTTCTGAGAGCCAGCGGAGGAAGAGGGCGGGCATAGGGTCAGGTCTTAAGAGATCAGGTCAGTCTGCTCAAACCAGGTGGGCTCAGGAGGAGCCGGCGAGGGTCCCGCTGCAGCTCCCGAAACGCTGTTTCCAGGCGGCAGTCAGCAGTTGGGCACGAGAGGATATCCTAGCAAGCCTCCATCCCAGAAAGTTACACCTCTTACTGCCCGAGTCCCACCCCTCAACACTGAGCCCACCTCTTCAGTCCTGTAGTGAGGGGTTCTGGGAACCCCTTGTAACTGCCCGCCTTCCTCGGAGGTCTCAGAGGCCCTAATTGCGTCTTCCGATGGGAACAACCATGAGAGCAGGGTGTGGACGGAAGTCCCCCAGCCCCAGCGGGGTTCACTCTTTGCCTCCTCACTCTGCGAGGGTCCCTTACTACAGCTAAAAGGCAATTCATGCAGTCCAAAGGCTCCTTTCCCCTCCCGTTCTGCATGCCCTTCTCACTGTCCCCAAATGCTCATGACATGGCCTTGAGAGCAGCGCAGCGGGCAGGAAGCCCAGGCGCCTCGGAGAACCTGAAGGGCTGCAGGTCCCGGTGTCTGCGGCAGCTTCCGCATCCCTGCAGGGAACCAGCGGCTCGCTGAGCCTGGGGCTGGGCTCTGGGGGACTCCAGAGCTGGAGGCAAGTGGCGCTCACATCCGTCTCCTCACCTGCCCCACCCGTGGCCTGGGTTTAAAATCCACATACCCGTCTTTCCGCGGCCAAAGTGATGCTGCCAGGATTGGTTATGACCCCAACTGCCCCGACCCCCAGAAGTGCAAAACGAACAGGCTGGCAAGTGACCAAAAGAGACCCGGGGAGCATCTGGGCTTCCAAGGTCCTCGGTACGGCCCAAGGCAGCGAAGGACGCGCGGCTCCAGGCTGCGGGAGCCAGGACGACCGGGGGCTCCCAGAGCGCGAAGTCGCGATCCTCGGCGGTGGAGAGCTCGTGCCAAAACGTCCTCCCCTGCGCCAGTCAGGCCTTCGCGGGGCTGGCAGGCGGGCGGGGGCGGGGCCGCCGCACTTTAAGAGGCTGTGCAGGCAGACAGACCTCCAGGCCCGCTAGGGGATCCGCGCCATGGAGGCCGCCCGGGACTATGCAGGAGCCCTCATCAGGCGAGTGCCCCGCGTCCCCCTGATTGCCGTGCGCTTCCAATCGCCTTGCGTTCGGTGGCCTCATATTCCCCTGTGCGCCTCTAGTACCGTACCCCGCTCCCTTCAGCCCCCTGCTCCCCGCATTCTCTTGCGCTCCGCGACCCCGCGCACACACCCATCCGCCCCACTGGTGCCCAAGCCGTCCAGCCGCGCCCGCGGGCAGAGCCCAATCCCGTCCCGCGCCTCCTCACCCTCTTGCAGCTGGGCACAGGTACCAGGTGTGGCTCTTGCGAGGTGCGCGGGCGTCTGCAAACCAGGTGACAGCTGGCGAGTGGCTGCATGCATCTCTGGCCGCTGCTGCAGTCGCGGGCGCAGAAGAGGGTCCGGTCCCAGGAACCCCGAGCAAAGCTTCCGCGATGCGAGGGGACCGGGCTTCTGGGGGTCCTGGAAATCACAACGGGAGCTGGGCGCGGGAGGGGCCCAGGCTTGGCCCCTCCTGGAAGCGCGGGCTCTGGTCTCCGAGGGGAGGCCCCAACCGTCCGGCGGAGCCCTCCAGGTTGGTGGTGCTGGGAGAAGCGCTCCTCCTTGCCTCCGGGTCCAAGGGCGGAGACGCTGCCTGGGGAGCAGGGGGGACAAGGGGCGGGTGGACCCTGAGGAGTCTTCCCTGCGCTTCGCACCCGCTCGTGGTCGAACAGGCAGCATTGGCTATTTTCCTGCTTGGGTTAATATTCATATCCCAACAGACCCAAGCCAATTCTTGGTAAAATCCTAAGTCATTGCGTGGCAGCAACTGTAAAGTAAGGTCTAAGAGGGAGATCGTGTTTCTCTGAAGATCAAGTACCTGGAAAAGGATAGAGAACCATTTGCGGGCTTGAAGGTGCAGGCGTTCAGCGGCGCCGGGTCCCACTGTGTGTGCTACGTGTGGCGGGCAGAGAGACTACATGTGTGAAAGGGAGCGGTCCGGCTACGAAACGCAATCTATGAGCTTCCAATCCCGGGTTCTTAAATGGGAGCTGTTGTAGACACTGCAGGTTAGAAGCATCTTTCTCTTTAAAAATAAGCCCACAGTACAAGTCGGGGCGGTGGCAGGGGGACGCTGAGAAACACCTGCTTCGTGTATGGTCATTAACACGCTTAGGCCTAAAGGTCAGGGCCCTGTATCTTTTGCGTTCTTCCAGAACCATCCACACCACAGTCCCACTTCCAGGAGGGGAGGTCTTAGCAGTTTGGAATGCGTCCTTCCAACCACTTTTCCAGTGAATTCACAACACACCCACTGTTCCTCCGGAGCATGGGGGAAGGAGGTGTGGGCTGACTCGCACTAACCAATCCTGGTTGGCCTCTGAGCAGGATTCAGGCTGAGCCTGTCCCTGCCTCTGACTATTATAACAGCTCACCAAAATCCAAAATGCATCTGTGTGGGGTCTCTGTGAGGTCGTGTGAAGTGGAAGTGACTTGCTTATGAGCTGTTGACAAATGAAACATTGGGAAACCTTGAGTCTCCTAGGACACATTCCTTCCAGCTTGGCTCATCCCAGGAGTGAATGACTCTACCTGTTATGGACAAGCTGTTGCTGCAGTTCTTTGAAATCTACCTGCTTCCAGGCTGAACTACTGTCATTCTGTGAAATCTACCTGCTCCCAGGCTGAACTACTGTCATTCTGTGAAATCTACCTGCTCCCAGGCTGGACTACTGTCATTCTGTGAAATCTACCTGTTACCAAACTAAACTGGAAGAAAACAATCTGTAATTCTTGTTGAAGGGAAAACACCTTTTCTTCCCTGCCCCTCTCTAAAACCCTGTCCGGGCAAAAGAGCCAGAGGCCAGGTCCTAACATATTTGCTAATTGTGCTCTTGCTGGACTTCGGCTTCCTCTCAGGGTTCCTTAATTTAAACCAGGTCCAGGATGTCATAATTCTGTCTTTATTAGTAACTACATTTTACCAAGGAAAGAACCGAATCAATGTGCACAAAAATTTTTAAAAATCAGGTACTTGTAGTCAGTGGTGAAACCTTAACCCAGGCATTTGTTAGTCAGCTAGAATCGTTAGGGGCCTTGGTCCTGAGGAAAGCAGCCTGAGGTCTCACAACAAAGCTCCAGACATCAAGGAGGTCCACATGCAGGTTGACTATCACAGACAAAGTCTGCTCTGTTCCTGTGTTCTGCCAGTGATAACATTCCTGCCAAACGCTGAAGTTGTTATGAAGCTGGTACATGTTATAAGCTTCGTGTGAAATGGCTGCTTTCATAGCTATCTAGCACATTTTTCCTTTCCTTGAACAAGGAACTCTAGGTTTTGTGCTGCTATTTCAGTACAAATTTCACCAGTCTTCTTAGTGACATTAGTAAGGAATTAAGTATGCTACAAGTCAATCTCTCAGCTTTCTGCTTCTTGAATTTAAATTCTTATTTTAACGAAACTGCAAAGTGTTCAAAGACTTCATGGTCATGTATTGAACACTTGATAATGTCAAGCCTTTAGGTAGCTTGCGAAGAACTGAGCCATGAACCAGGCAGTCCTTGTCGGGGCGAGTTTATCTGGGGGGTAGGTGTGCTCCCACCTGCATATGTCACGTCCAAGAGCCCTAGGGGAGCCGGGCAGCAGGAAGTCTCGTCAAGGCAGCACTTGCTTCCCTGCTTCCTGCCACTGACCCCACCATCCTCTGACACTGTCTCTACAGCTCAGGGACTCTTCTCCAGGCCTGTGGAGCACTTTCCCAGCCCTCCCTTCCTTCTCTGCGTGGCTGTGCTTGACCTCACACTTCCCTCCTTGGCATTCCCTGCTGCTCTTGGTGACAGTGCTCGGTTGGCTTCTGTCCAATTCCTGTGTACTGCTTCTTCCTCCCACGGTGGCTGCCTCTTTTTCTTCCTAATGATGAGATGCAGAGTTCCCTCAGCCATCACTGCCCCCTGAATATTCCCAGGCACTATTTTACACAGCCTGTACTGCTGCCCCCTCACCCATGACACCAAAATATTTCACTTTGAGGAAGACCTTAATACTGGGCCCTTTTCCTCCATAGGTGGCATGTAAAGAAAGCTTTTTAATTCTCTGTACGGCTCAGGTTTGTTTTACTGGAGAAGAGTTCAGGTCTACTGTCAGTCTGTGGCTTGTTGGTGTATTTCACACACTTTTGGAAGTTGGCGGCGCCCTGCCTCCCTCGGGGCAGAATACAAAACCTTCCCTTCCCACCTGTTCCTGAGAGACATGCCGTTTCACAGCGTTCTATGAAGTCTGACTTTTCCTCTCTGGATTTCTGTGAAACAGCCTACTTCCTTAAACAAACTGTTTCCTTATATCTTCCCTGTTAGAGGGTTATTTCCCTTTCTGTTTCCTGTGGTTGTGTGCCCCCACTTTCACAGGAATTAGGAGCGGCAGTTCTCATGTGTGGTGTGTCTAAACGCAGGATCCTAGGGCCGCTCAGTGGCCCTGCTTTTAGGCACGGTGCTGATGGCCAGTGATAGAGATGACTCTACTCAGCGGGCTGGAGGTGACTTGGGTGGAGACGGTGGCTTGTTCATGTAGCAGCAGATTCGGTACCTGTAGGGTCCTGGAGTACATAGGCCTGGCGTGCAGAACATCTCATTCAACCCCTTTCTGTGTTACATATGAGACAGCCTTGATTTTACATAATTTGACCCAGAAATCACTCACCTCCTCCTTGACAAGAAGGTGGGGTGTAAATTTCCTTTCCTCTGTGCCCCCACCAGCCTTTCCTCCAGCAGTGACGCAGCTCTTGGTTTGGAAATGCTACAGGTGAGAACAATAGGTGTTTTTTCACTGACGATGGCAATCTTGAGGGCAGGTGAAGGCAGGGAGAACCAGAAATGGTTGCCAGCTCTTATCTTGTCAGACAGGTAAAGACCGCAGGAACCTGGAATTAATCATCTGGGCCAGGTCACCGGAGCACAGGTGCTTACGAAGGCGTGAGCATGTTCGTCCAATGAGGAGATGCAGGGCCAGGGCTGCGCCTTTGACCACTGGGGCTGGACCTAGCATTGGAAGACATGGACCATGTTCTCTCATTTCTCTGATTTTGGCCTAGCATCTTTCACTCAGTAAATAGATGGCGTGCTGACAGGCGCTGTGGGAAAGTAGGAGATGCACCGCCAGACTCCGTGAGACAGATGCTAGAGGCCTTGTGCAAGACTGTGGTGACTTCCTGCCTTGGGGGCGAAGAGGGGCTCTTTCTCGCTGCTGAGGCCGGGCCCTTCTCTCTTGTGGGAGCCGCGTCTTCTGGCCAGGTGCCGCACCGCTGGGTGGAAGCCGGAGCTGGATTCAGACCCTGGTCTAGCCT
Organism: Homo sapiens; assembly: GCF_000001405.40. NCBI lineage: Eukaryota > Metazoa > Chordata > Mammalia > Primates > Hominidae > Homo > Homo sapiens. The sequence goes on from NC_000018.10 coordinate 12,258,702, forward strand.
TTGCTGCCCTGACGATTCGCCTCCTGCTTTCCCCAGGCCTAGGTTTCACTGTAAGGTGGATCCCAAGGAGTGGTAAGGCAAGGCGCTAGCTCTCACACACGAGGGTTTGGCATCCAGCGGCACTTGGGCCTTTCTGTCACCCTCCTTGAGGGGACTTCAGCTAGTTTAAATTTCAGCTGCCATGATGAGGTGGAGGCGACGCCAGGGTTCTGAACGTGAAATGTAACACAGCCCGTCCTCACCGCCCTCTCCCCCCGGGTCACCAGGAGTGAGAGTGTGCCCGAATTCCCCGTGGTGTCAGCACAGCAGTGTTGTTTATGGCATTGTGTAACTGAGAACCCTGCGTCACTCTCTTAATCGAGGTGACAGTTCAGAAGCTGTGTGCCAGTCCTGGGGCCGCGTTGGTGCACAGCCCGGCCGGGCGAGGCTCTGATTGGCTAGGTGGGTCCCTGGCAAACGTGTGCGGGTCATTCTGACAGGTCCGGAGCCCCAACCCAGCACATTTCCCTCGGGCTTGCCTCATTGAAAACAAACTGTGTAGCAACTTTGTCTACCCAGAAGGGAAAGGCGTTGAGGGCATGAACTCGAAGCGCTGCTGTGCTTTCAGCCATAGAGCAGCTTTTCCGCACAGCCCTCTAGATAGATGTTTATTGCTTGAGATTTGAAGTTCAGAGGATGGATAACAAAACAACCTGCTCCCACAACCAAAAAAAGTCTTGGCTTTGGACAGACCTGGGATCAGGTTTTATCTTTTTCCCTTATTGACTGGCCCACTTGGAGAAGCCACTCTGAGCCTCAGTTTTCTCATCCGTGAAGTGGGGCAATAGTTTCCTTGCAAGGTTGTGAGGATAATTTGCTAATATTAATTAATATTGAATTAATGGGCATGGTGGTGCACACCTGTAATCCCAGCACTTAGGGAGGCCAAGGTGGGCAGATCACGAGGTCAGGAGTTGGAGACAAGCCTGAACAACATGGTGAAAACCTTTTCTTTACTAAAAATACAAAAATTAGCCAGGCATGGTAGCGGGCGCCTGTAACCCCAGCTACTCAGGAGGCTGAGGCAGGAGAATTGCTTGAACCCGAGAAGCAGAGGCTGTAGTGAGCCCAGATGGCATCACTGCACTCCAGCCTGGGCAACAGAGCGAGACTCTGTCTCCAAAAACAAACAAACAAAAATTGAACTAACATTAACAAGAGCTGAAATTGCTAATACACTGCTGGCCATGGTGCTTAGATGCCAGCAGTTATGAGGCCCTGATGTCATCCTGGCCAAGGATACTCCAGACCAAATTCTTGCCAATGACCTTGGTCTGGTTCTAGAACGACACTTTGTTGGTGAGGCACCTGGAGAAGGCACAAACACTCACGATTATGGAAAGCCTGAAACTGGGATCAAGCTGGTAGCGTGAACTCAACAAGGCGATTTTTGAGAGCCAGCTTGTTACTCTACTCTCAGGTTTTTGGTCTGTTTTTTGTTTGTTTGTTTGTTTGTTTGTTTGTTTGTTTGTTTTAGAGACAGTGTCACTCTTTTGCCCAGGCTGGAGTGCACTGTGGCCCCAATCTAGGGCTCGAGCAATCCCCTTGCCTCAGCCTCCCAAGTAGCTAGGACTACAGGCATGCACCACCACGCCTGACTAATTTTTTTTTTCAATTTATTTTTTGTAAAGATGAGGGTCTCACTATGTTGCCCAGATTGGTCTCTAACTCCTGGGCTCAAGTGACCCTCCTGCCTCAGCCTTCCAAAGTGCTGGGATTACAGGCATGAGCCATTGCACCCAGCCAACTATCGGTTTTTTATATTACAAACAATTTGGTAAGTCATTGAATTTTCACTTGGATCCATTTGCAGAGCTTTAAGTTAGATAATATACTATCTAAAATGTATGTGCCTACAACTAAGCTAGGTATTACAGGAAATATAACAACGAAGTCTTTATCCATACAGAAAATAAAGCATGGATAGATGGCTGTGTGTCATAAAGTGCCAAATCGCAGGTGACAGGCATTGGCAATCCGTGCAGGTGTTCCCTAGTATTTTAGCATTCAGTGAGTTAATCCAGAAAAACTGCTCTAAGAGTCAAAAAGCAGTGATGTGCTCACTTTGTGTCTTTTTCAAGGTTGTCCTGAAACTACACCCTTTGTTTCATTCTCTTGAATGTCCGTGTACAAGCATTTGTCCAAATAGCCACTAATTTGAGCACCTGTGGTAGGTGGGTGCTCTCCGGGGTGAGGGAAGTGTCCAGTCCTGCTCTGTGGGGGCATGGGGATTCAATGAGGTCACACAGATGCCACTATCACGGTGCCTGGCTCTAGGTAAGACCTGAACCCTTGCTGATTTCTGATTGTGTTATTTGCAATCATTTTGTTATGAATCTATTTCTGAATGTAAAAAAGTCGGCCAAGAGTGCTGGCTCACGCCTGAAATCCTAGCACTTTGGGATGCTGAGGTGGGTGGATCACTTGAGGTCAGGAGTTTGAAACCAGCTTGGCCATCATGGTGAAACTCAGTCTCTACTAAATATACAAAAAATTAGCTGGCCATGGTGGTGCACGCCTGCAATCCCAGCTACTCAGGAGGCTGAGGCAGGAGAATTGCTTGAACCCAGGAGGCGGAAGAATCGCTTGAACCATTCCAGTCTGGGCAACAGAGCGAGACTCCATCTCAAAACAAACAAACAAACAAAAGTCTGCGGTCCTGGGTGAAAACTCTACATGTGGCTCTACTGGCCCCCCTTCTAGTGACAGCAGCAGGGTAACTGTGTCTCCCCTCTTGGAGTTATTTTTATAAAATTTCATGCCTTCATGCTTTTTGGTTTAAAAGCATGCAATCATGTGTTGAAGGCAGTTTCCCTTTTCTTTTCTTTTTTCTTTTTCTTTCAGTTGGAGTCTCACTATGTCATCCAGGCTGGAGTACAGTGGTGCAACCTTGGCTCACTGCAGCCTTGACCTTCTAGGTTCATCCGGGCTCAAGCAATCCTCTCATCTCCACTTCCTGAGTAGATGAGAGTATAGCTGCACCACCACACCCAGCTAATTTTTTTTTATTTTTATTTTTTTGTAAAGACAGGGTCTCACTATGTTGCCCAGGCTGGTCTCGAACTCCTGGGTTCAAGCTATCTTCTTGCCTCAGCCTCCCAAAGCACTGGAATTACAGGCATGAGAGCCACCATGCCCAGCAGGTTTTGCATTTCTTAAATTGCTATCAAAAGCTTCATCTGGGAGGCTGAGGCAGGAGGGAGGACTGCTTGAACCCAGGAGTTCAAGACCAGCCTGGGCAACAAAGTAAGGCCCTGTCTCTACAAAAATACAAAACTCAGACAAACATGGTGGCTTGCACCTATAGTCCCAGCTACTCAGGAGGCTGAGGCAGGAGGATCGCTTGAGCCCAGGAGGTCAAGGCTGCAGTAAGTTGAGATCACACTACTGCAATCCAGCCTGGGCAACAAAGCAAGACCCTGTATCTAAAAGGAGAAAAAAAAAGTAAATTTTTGAATTAATTCTTTGATAAATGTGGACTTAATCCAAAGTGTCCTGTGATGTAAGCCCTGAAGGTCTTTTCTTTCTTGTGATTCCAGCCACAGTTCTAAGGGTGGTTCTGCTGTTCTTGGTTCCTCCTAAGTTGATTTCAGAAACTTCATTGATTGCTATAGTGACCAATATTGCACTTTTGAATTGATTTCTGGCTTACCCTTATTGTGTAAACATGTAGCTATGTGCACGTGTCTGAGTGCACTGAGTCTCTAACTCTGCGTAACTACTTCATGGCCACTAGAAATCATTCTTTTGGATTTTTTAAATCTCCCACCCATATTTGCAGAATATAATTCTTATTTCTTGTTTGAGTTGAATTCCCTAACCATTCCTTCTCAAAGAGTTTCAGCAAGGACTTTGGATGTTCTAGTAAAATAGGAATAAAGATGGATGTGTGTTTTGGCTTGATGTGTTACTTGTTTCTTCTTTGGAATTATGTGTACACTTGTATATATAATTTTTAGTAATCCCAACAACTGAATTTCTTTCTTTTAGATGCAAATATTAAAAATGCATTATTTTTATGTACTTTCACACTTCTTCTGACAGACTCTTTTTAAAAAGTTTTACTTTTCACCTCCATTTTCAGGCCCCTGACATTTATGGGATCACAGACTAAGCGAGTCCTGTTCACCCCGCTCATGCATCCAGCTCGCCCTTTCCGGGTCTCCAACCATGACAGGAGCAGCCGGCGTGGGGTGATGGCAAGCAGCCTGCAGGAGCTCATCAGCAAGGTGCCCCACATCCCGCACCTCTCCCCCAGTCCACAGGGGTGCCCTGCACTCACACAGGGCCATGGTCTTGGGCTCTAAGCCAGGGCCAGCACAGAAAGATCAAGAAAAGCAGCATCTCACTGGGGGGAAACGGGGAGAGAAATTGGGAATGACTGCTGGTGGTTATGGAGTTTCTTTTTCTTTTTCTGTTTTTGAGACAGGATCTTGCCATGTGGCCCAGGCTGGCCTCAAACTCCTGGGCTTAAGTGATCCTCCCACCTCAACCTCCCAAGTGCATGCCAGTTTCTTTCTTGGGTGATGAAAGTGCTGTAAAATTGATTGTGGTGACGGTGGGCCAACTCTGTGAGCATACCAAAAACCACTGCACCGTATACTTTAAATGAGTGGATCATATGATATGTGAATTATACATCAGTAAAGCTGTTTTTAAAAGAGGAGGAAAAGAAAGAAGGAGAAACAGCAAGTTAAACTCATCAGACCCTCTCTTGGCCTCAGAGACTCTGAGAGTAAAGGTTAGGTATAAATGATCAAGGGGAACATTACATCTCTGTACCATAAAACATTGAGGTACAGAGACAAAAACCTTAAAACAGTCACTAATGGAGAATGTTGCTTTGTTTCTTTGACAAGGGAGGATGCAGGGATGGAGCCGACTTTGGAAGTCTGGGTTTGGTTGTAAAGGCCAGGATCTAGAACAGTGTCCTAGACCACCAAATAAGGAAGAATCCCAGCCTCTCAGAGAAGCATAACTCAGACTCAGGCACCCATGGAAACAAGAAACAAGCATCCAACATGCAGTCTCTGAAGCAAGAGAGACACTCAGCTACGCACACGAGGCTGTGGCTCTTACAGCAGCAAACATGCAAGAGCTTTCTTTTTATTCATCTAAATAAATAGGTAATCTTAGAAATTACAAATATTATTTAATGTAATCATTACCTCATGTATCTTAAGAAGACAGATCCATTAAAAATCTTAACTTCCCGGCCGCATGCAATGGCATGTACTTGTAGCCCCAGCTACTCCGGAGGCTGTGGCAGGAAGATTGCTTGAGCCCAGGAGTCTGAGGCTGTGATGCACTATGATTGTGTCTGTGAATAGCCACTGCACTCCAGCCTGGGCAGCATAGTGGGTCCCCATCTTAAAAAGAACATTCTTCACTTCCCTGTTTCCAAGCAAAGACTGAGTCATAGACACAAGTCAAGGTTACCTTTACCATTAAAATTTTATCAGAATCAGCCCAACACTTTTGAAAACTGTAACTTAATAAATGTCATTGGCTGGTCACATGGAAATACCTGGCTTCACTCCATTTCTCTGATGTGTTGCACACCTAGACTCTGGATGCCCTCGTCATCGCTACCGGACTGGTCACTCTGGTGCTGGAGGAAGATGGCACCGTGGTGGACACAGAAGAGTTCTTTCAGACCTTGGGAGACAACACGCATTTCATGATCTTGGAAAAAGGACAGAAGTGGATGCCGGTAAGCAAAAACACTGTCACCCAAACAGCTACTGGGTAGACTTTTTACCTACAAATTTGTGTGCCCTACTTGGGTGTTGACTTGTCCACTTTCTTTCTTTTTTTTTTTTTCTTTTTTTGAGACGGAGTCTCGCTCTGTCACCCAGGCTGGAGTGCAGTGGCGCGATCTCGGCTCACTGCAAGCTCCGCCTCCCGGGTTCACGCCATTCTCCTGCCTCAGCCTCCGGAGTAGCTGGGACTACAGGCACCCGCCACCACGCCTGGCTAACTTTTTGTATTTTTAGTAGAGACGGGGTTTCACCGTGTTAGCCAGGATGGTCTCGATCTCCTGACCTCGCGATCCGCCCGCCTCTGCCTCCCAAAGTGCTGGGATTACAGGCGTGAGCCACCGCGCCCGGCCAACTTCTCCACTTTCTAAATATGCACTTTGTATTCACCTAACAACTGGATCCACTGCCCTCAAAGGGATTCTTACAAATGTTTCTAGGAAACTTAGTCTCTCTGTGAACTGAGGCTATTTGATATAAAGCAAATAATTCCAGGGAACAGGCTTTGGCCAGTGAGTAGCTACAGATCCTGTAAATGCACGGAATTGACTTGGCAACTCTTCACCATCTCTGTTCTTAGAAGGCTGGAGAAGTAAACACCATCAAGGAAGTTAGGGAGAGGGGTGTGTGTGCATGTGTGAATATGGAGATTTAGAAAAGTAAAGAGACAGAATGAAGCCTTCGGTCTCTGGGAAAACTATAGATGATATAGCCCAAAAAACCTTCTCAGTATAAAATGCCTAAAAATGTAAAGCACAATATCAAAATATCTTTTCACATAATAAACTGATCTCCAAGAAAGAGAAATCCTCAGTGGTTAAAATGTTGAGGCCAGCATCCAGAGAGGAACACGAACACTGAAGCTGGCAGTTCCCCAGGCATCTCCTCTGGGGTTCCCCCACCTGTGAGCACCCACAGACCTCAGGGACAGATGCTGGGAGGACAGGAGACAGCCTCCAGCTGACACAAAGTCAAGGGGTGAGATGTGAGGGTCTGCGTAAAGCAGGGAATCTTAGAGCTCTCTCCTGGCAATTTGGGCCACAAGCTGCCCTCATGAGGGTTTAGGCATTGCTGAGTCCCAAACCCCTAAGCTGAGAGTTCGGTTTTCAGAGATCTGGGGGAGTAGCATCAATGGAGGGGTTTGCTCATTGGATTCTCTTTACTCCAGCCCCGTTTCCAGGATTGATAGTGCCCCAGGTAACTAGCAGGAGCTCAGGCAGTTCCGCTTGGGATGAACATCCATCCTGGCCTCAAAGAGTTTTCATTCGTAACGTTCTCACAATGCAAGTTCACAATCAAAACACAGAACGTAAGGACTCAGGCACCACATTCATGAGAGTAAGCAGAAGCAATCAAGTCAGGCCTGCCAGGACCGCAGATGTTGGAATCATCAGACATACAGTATAAAATTAGTGTACTAAAAATGCTCACCCATGGCTAAGTTTGACTGACTAAATAAATAAATTAATTAAATGCTCAAAGAAACATTAAAAATAATCTAAAATAAGAATAGCTAGGAATTGAAGACCAGCCTAGGCAACAGCAAAACCCCAATCTCCACCAAAAAAAATTTTTTTAAGGCTTAGCTGGGCAAGATGCTACACACCTGAAGTCCTAGCTACTCAGGAGGCTGAGGCAGGAGGATCACTTGAGCCCAGGACTTGGATGCTGCAATGAACTATGATCACACCTCTGCACTCCAGCCTGAGTGACAGAGCAAGACCCTATATCAAAAAAAACAAAAAATAAGAAAATACCAGCCTGAGCAACATGGCAAAACCCCATCTCTACCAAAAAATACAAAAATTAGCCTGGCGTAGTGGTGCATACCTCTAGTCCCAGCTACTTGAGAGGCTGAGGCGGGAGAACCACTTGCTCCTGGGAGGTCAAGGCTGCAGAGAGTCATGATTGCACCATTGCACTCCAGCCCCAGGGACAGAGGGAAACCCTGTCTCAAAAAATAAAAATACATTAAAAAGGAACAAGAGCTAATAAGAACTGACTATACAGATTTGAAATAATCAAATAGAATTTTTGGAAATGAAAAATATAACAACTAAAATCAAGTAAATGGAGACTCAGGTTAGACAGAGCTGAAGGTAATGATAAAAGATCTGAAAGATGTTGCCTGTGATGTAACACAAAGCAGTAGAGGTGGGGAACACGAAGGATGTTAGAGACCAGACTGAAATCTAATCTCTCTCTCTTTGGCATCCTCACGTAGGGAAGGATTTTTTTAAAACAAGATACAATGCACAAGTCATTTTTTTTTTTTTTTTGAGACAGAGTCTCACTCTGTTGCCCAGGCTTGAGTGCAGTGGTGTGATCTCGGCTCACTGCAACTTCTGCCTCCCGAGTTCAGGTGATTCTTCTGCCTCAGCCTCCCGAGTAGCTGGGACTACAGGCACGTGCCACCACGCCTGGCTAATTTTTGTATTTTCAGTAGAGATGGGGTTTCACCATATTGGACAGGCTGGTCTCGAACTCCTGACCTTGTGATCCACCTGCCTCGGCCTCCCAAAGTGCTGGGATTACAGGTGTGAGCCACCGCACCCGGCCGATTTTTTTATTTTTAAGATATAGGGCAACACACTCCTCTACTACCACCAACAGCTACTTAATGCAGCAATTTGCTTCATCTCAGAGAGTGAGGCACAGACTATGACCCAGCAGCTGCTTTCCTGGGCATGAACCTGAGATTCCAACAACACCACGTCAGCAGGTGTGTGTTAGAGCGTCCATGGCAGCAATGCCCTAAGTGGTGAGAACAAACACTGGAAACAAATCATGTACCCTTGCAGCACACACGTGTGCCCAGCACATAGAAGTACTTCTAAGTAAATACACACGAAGAAACTGTAATGTGGTCCCTGAACAGAATGCTCTTCAGCTGTGAAAATGTGTGAAGTTCAGCTACAGGCATCCATGTGGATACACATCAGCTATGCTGAGCAAAAGATCACAGGATAATACAGTAAACAACGCATCCTCAAACTTTATCTCAGGACCTCTTTACTCTCCTAAAAATTAACGAGGACCCCAAACAGCCTTTGGCATGATCTCGGCTCACTGCAACCTCTGCCTCCCTGGCTCAAGTGTTTCTTGTGCCTCAGCCTCCCAAGTAGCTGGGATCACAGGCAAGCCACCACCACGCCTGGCTAATTTTTGTATTTTTAGTAGAGACAGGGTTTCACCATGTTTTCCAGGCTGGTCTTGAACTTCTGACCTCAAGTGATCCACCGGCCTTGGCCTCCCAAAGTGCTGGGATTACAGGCATGAGCCACCACACCCGGCTTGTATCAATAAATTCTATAGACATGTGCCAATCAGAGGTTCTGAGCTGCAGAGACTTTGTCCCTTGGGGGACATTTGTTAATGTCTGAAGACATGTTAGGCTGTTGCATCTAGTGTGTAGAGACCAGAGATGCTGCCAAACATCCTGCAATGCACAGGACAACCCCGACAGCAAAGACTTATCCAGCCTCCAATGTCGTTAGTGTCAAGGTCGAGAAACTATAAGCTATAGATAGATATAGATATTCCCAATAGTCAAAATTGTTTTTTGTTTGTTTGCTTGTTTTTTGAGATGGAGTCTCGCTCTGTCGCCCAGGCTGGAGTGCAGTGGCGCGATCTCGGCTCACTGCAACCTATGCCTCCTGGCTTCAAGGGATCCTCCTGCCTCAGCCTCCTGAGTAGCTGGGATTACAAGTGCCTGCCACCATGCCCGGCCATTTTTTTTTTTTTTTTTTTTTTCATTTTTAGTAGAGACGGGGTTTTGTCATATTGGCCAGGCTGGTCTCGAACTCCTGACCTCAGGTGATCCACCCACCTTGGCCTCCCAAAGTGCTAGGATTACAGGCATGAGCCACCGCCCCCAGTGGTTTTTTTTTTTTTTTAATTTGTTTGCTTTTTGTTTGGAGACAGTCTTGCTCTGTCGCCCACTCTGGAGTGCAGTGGCACGATCTCAGCTCACTGCTACCTCGACCTCCTGGGCTCCCCCACCTCAGCCTCCCAAGTAGCTGGGACTACAGGCATGTGCCACCATGCCTGGCTGATTTTTGTATCTTCTTGTAGAGACAGGGTTTTGCCATGCTGGCCAGGCTGGCTTCAAACTCCTGGTTTCAAGCTCCTGAGCTCCAGCGATCCACTACCTCTGCCTCCCACAGTGCTGGGATTACAGGCGTGAGCCACCCCGCCCAGCCAATATTCAAATTCAAATTGTTTGGAAGTTACTGATTAGCATATTTTTGAAAGAAATTAAAATTCAGAAATTTAAAAATAGGTATTAATTCATTAAAAGTAATAACCCAATACAGATTAACTTAACTCACTTTTTTTTTTTTTTAGATGGAGTCTCGCTCTGTCGCCCAGGCTGGAGTGCAGTGGCGTGATCTCGGCTCACTGCAACCTCCACCTCCTGGGTTCAAGCGATTCTCCTGCCTCAGCCTCCCAAGTAGCTGGGATTACAGGTGCCTGCCACCACGCCCAGCTAATTTTTGTATTTTTAGTGGGGTTTCACTATGTTGGCCAGGCTGGTCTTAAACTTCTGACCTTGTGATCTGCCTGCCTCAGCTTCCCAAAGTGCTGGAGTTGCAGGCACGAGCCACCACGACCAGCCACCAGGTTAATTTAACTCATATTTTTATGAAAAGTGACTATTTTCCAAAACAAAAAGATGGAGGAACGGCATTTTTTACATTTTTGTAAATTTCTTTAATGTCTGGCTTAATAGAAGATTCTTATATCTGCTTCTTTATATTCAGTCTGTTGTAACATATTGTTTTGATGGAAGTATGAAGAAAATCCATCCTGACACAGATATGCAGCTGGGAAAGGAGGAGGATTTTAATAGCCTATTCAGATAACTGAGGATATTCTTTTTTTTATATTATGCCAGAACTCACCAAGTCATGGTTTCAGAATAGTGAGTTGAGGTGTTTTCAGAAAGGTCAGATGCAGCGTGTAATCTGAAGGTATACCAGTGAAGTTGGCCTCCTCTGTTACAGTGAATCCATCAGTCCGTCTTCCATTTTGAATGGACCTTTTTCCTGGGGATGATTTTGTAACAGCAGGCGTTGGTCATTGAGAAAAACTGATTCACTGAGTTATGCAGGTTTTCCAAATGTGCTGTGGAAACAGCACTTCTTGTGAGAACAAAGAAGGCAAACTGCATCTTACTGTTTATTATGGCCTTTCTTTCTCTTTTTCTTTTTTTTCGAGGCAGGGTTTGCTCTGTCACCCGGGCTGGAGTGCAGTGGCGTTATCTTGGTTCACTGCAGCCTTCACCTCCTGGGCTCAAGGGATCCTGCCACCTCCTCCTCCCAAGTAATTGGGACTACCGGTGCATGTCACCACACCCAGCTAAATGCTTGTATTTTTTTAGAGATGGGATTTCTCCATGTTGCCCAGGCTAATCTTGAACTCCTGGGCTCAAGTGATCCACCTGCCTCAGCCTCCCAAAATGTTGGGATTACGGGCATAAGCCACCGTGCTTGGCCTAGTTTTGACCTCTCAGTCCCTTAATAGGGCCTCAGGATTCCTGGATGTCTCCAGATTACACTTTGATAAACTCCACATCAAATCATTTACAGATAATTCAAAAATATGCAAAATTAACAATATAATGTTTGAGATACACATGTGCTAAAAATAGAGAAAAGTAAGGGGAAAACGCATGGCATAAAAACCTCTTGAGAGGAGGGGAGATGTGGGAGGTGGATGGGGTCTCTAAGGGATGGCAGTGTGTAGGTTTCATTTTACGTCTTTCTGTCCCTTACTTCTACATATATTATACATATACATATATATTATATATATAACCTCACAATTTTCCTGACTGGGAAAGAAACCACAGACCAATTATAAAAGCATAATATTTAGAATAAAATGTAATCTTTAATGTAGATGAGGGCTGGGCGCAGTGGCTCACACCTGTAATCCCAGCACTTTGGGAGGCCAAGGTGGGTGGATCACAAGGTCAGGAGTTCAAGACCAGCCTGGCCCACGGGGTGAAACCCCGTCTTTACTAAAAATACAAAAATTAGACAAGCATGCTGGTAGGCACCTGTAATCCCAGCTACTTGGGAGGTTGAGGCAGATAATTGTTCGAACCTGGGAGTTGGAGGTGCAGTGAGCTGAGATAGCACCAATGCACTCCAGCCTGGGCGACAGAGCAAGACTCCGTCTCACAAAAAAAAAAAAAAAAAAAAAAAAAAAAGCAGGTGGGGAGATGTCTGTAGATGAGACTATTAATTGTGGGGTGAATTAGACAAATCATTTAAAGCAAATATTGGTCTGCATGGCTTTTTGCTTGAGGAAAGTGTAACAGCAAAAATAATGCCCCCACAGACCACAGACACCTCTGTTTGTTTTCTTTTCTTTTTCTTTTTCTTTTCTTTTTTTTTTTTTTTTTTTTTTTGAGACAGTTTTGCTTTTGTCGCCCAGGAGGGAGTGCAATGGCGTGATCTGGGCTCACTGCAACCTCCACCTCCAGGGTTCAAGTAATTCTCCTGCCTCAGCCTCCCGAGTAGCTGGGATTACAGGCGCCCACCACCACGCCCGGCTAATTTTTGTATTATTAGTAGAGACGGGGTTTCGCCATGTTGGCCAGGCTGGTCTCAAACTCCTGACCTCAGGCGATCCACCCACCTCGGCCTCCCACCGTGCTAGGATTACAGGCGTGAGCCCAGGCGGCCGGACAGACGCCCCTGTCTTAATCCTCAGCCGTGGCAGATGGGATTAAGTGAAGGTTACTGGGGCGGGGTTGGGGTGGGGTTTGTCCTGGATCATCTGGGTAGAGGCCGAAGTCTTCACAAGGGTCCTTATGAGAGGGAGGCAGGTGAGCATGAAGGCCAGAGGCAGAGGAGGAGGAGAGATGTGGGGTACCCACCAAGGCAGGCGCCCAAGAAGCCGGGAAAAGCGAGGGGCCGGGCCTGCCCCGCAGCCCCCACGGCGGCCCTGCGCCCTGGCTTTGACTCTGACCTCGGCAGTGGGACAGCATTGGTGTGTGGGTTTCATGCCACTGAGGTTCTGGTCGTTTGTTACAGCAGCAGTAGGAGATGGGAAAGGCGGGTTTGTTTTTCTAAAGGAGACACTCAGCTAACAGGGAGGAGTTGGTGGTGGGCGCTGGGAACCTGGTTGCAGGGCAGGGTGGTGGGGGCGGTCGATGCCACGGGTGTAGATGCCACCGCCGGCCACGCGCTCCAGGGGGCTCGCGGCCCCCGTTTCGGCTGCGCAACCACCTCCCTGGATCCCAGCCACCTGTAGGCCTTTCTGGGCAAAACCAGTTTAGACTGAGACCAGAACGCTGGAGCAGGAAGCCGCCAGCAGGTGTCTCGCTCCCCGGTCCCAGCGCCCTCAGGAAGAGCGCGGCCCCGCAGCCCCCGCCCGGCGAGGCCCCAGCGGATCCGCGGCGGGAGGGCGTCATAATTTTAACCAAGACTGGAGACATTTAGGGAGAGTAAAATTAAAACTTTCAAAAGTCAGAAAGGGATGTGAGGCTCGGAAAAAGAGGCGCGGGACGGGAGGAGAAGCCCTCTCTGATGCCAGGATCTGAGCTTTCCAAACACGTTTCCCGGCTGAGGGCTCGCTGGCGCCCCCAAGAGGCCGCTGAGAGAAAACGGCCTCAGCCTCAGCTTTGAGTGTGTGTGTGGGGGGGGGGGGTTGGGGGGGGGTTGTTGTTGTTGTTGTTGTTGTTGTTTGGTTGGGTTTTTTTGTTTGTTCGTTTGTTTTGAGATGGAGCCTCACTCTGTCGCCCAGGCTGGAGTGCAGTGGCGCGATCTCGGCTCACTGCAACCTCTACCTCCCAGGTTCAAGTGCTTCTCCTGCCTCAGCCTTCTGAGTAGCTGGGATTACAGGCGTGCACCACCATGCCTGGCTAATTTTTGTATTTTTAGTAGAGACAGGGTTTCGCCATGTTGGCCAGGCTGATCTCAAACTCCTGACCTCAGGTCATCTGCTCGTCTCGGCCTCCCAAAATGCTGGGATTACAGGTGTGCACCACCATGCCCGGCTAATTTTTGTATTTTTAGTAGAGACGGGGTTTCGCCATGTTGACCAGGCTAGTCTCAAACTCCTGACCTCAGGTCACCTGCTCCTCTTGGCCTCCCAAAGTGCTGGGATTACAGGTGTGAGCCACTGTGCCCGGCCTCAGCTTTGATTTTTAAAGTAATAAGAGGGAGCTACAACCGCTTAGAAAAGGATGATGAAGTCAACCTCACCCGAGATTCCACCTCACAAAATTTTATTTTCTTTTTCCTTCTTTTTTTTTTGACAAGGTCTTGCTCTGTCATCCAGTCTGGAGGGCAGTAGCACAATCATAGCTCACTGCAGCCTCAACCTCCTGCCCTGTTCAAGGGGTGCTCCTGCCCCAGCCTCCAAAAGTGCTGAGACTACAGGCATGAGCCACTGTGCCTGGCCACAAAATGTTTCCTGAAAGACAAATTCAAGTCAAAGACAAATGCCTGATATTTGTACCTTGGGGCAGCTTTGCTCTCTTATATTTTTAAAGTGTCACAGGAGGGAGAGCTTTTAGTTGACAGATTCCTAATCCATACATACCCCAGATCTATTCAAACAAATTCTGTATGATCCGAATTAGAGGCTACAACTGGAACCACAGGTGGGTTTGTCTGTATGGTGGGACAGGGGAATAAAGAAGGCTGGCCACGGCGAGGAGGGTTTGGGTAATTTTAGGGGTATTTACATTTTAAGTTCCCATTCATGAGGTCACTGTCATTGGTGAATTTACCATTCACAGCTTCAGCGGCTCCCAACCTCGAAGGCTCACAAGACCTAGTAACCCTGTGTAGACCCGAATCCTGAGTGCTGCAAGATCTGTATGTGGCACAAGCCACTCAGAAAGAACAGCTCCTGGCCTGTCATTTGTACTGGGGGCAGCTTTGCTCTCATATTTTTAAACCATTTTGTGGGGAAAATTCTGTTCCGGTGCTGTTTATAAACCTGGGATGTGTAGAGGTCACTGACTTCCTCCTCCCACCCAGGGGGGTCTCCTCCCACCCAGGGGTTCTGCTGCATGGCTTTGGGCTTCCCCATGGAGTCCGCTCTCAACCCTGGGGGGTTATTAAAACACAGAGGTGCTCTGGGAAGGTGCCCACTCTGCCCTCACTTCAGCCATATGATTCTGGTACTTTCCACCCAGTAGCCCCCATAAAATTGAACCAATGCTGCCTGCTTCTCCATTACCATAACTGTGTTACAGTGATGAGATGAGATTCTTTTGTCACCAGGTAACCATGGTGGCCTCCAGGGCGAGTGGGTCCCCACCACTCATCAGGGCACATCTATCCACTGAGCAACGGGGTCCTAAAATCCAGGCCCTGACGCCACACCAGACTCACCCTGAGTCCGGAACTGAAGGCAGATCAGGGACAGACGCCTCGTGGCTAATTGGACACAGTCGTAGTGTGTGCAAATGGGTCCTGCTGAAAGCATCTCTCTATCGATTAGCCACGGAGCCGCTCACAGACCTTAAACAGACACATAGGAGAATCTGAAGCTGGCATAAGAGCAGAGTGATGACGTGGGAGGGTTAGGAAGGCTCCTGAAGCCTGCCCCTCCCCCCATTGTCACAGGGCAGCCAGCACGTCCCCACTTGCTCGCCGCCGAAGAGGTCGGGAATAGCGAGAGTCACCTTCGACTTGTACAGGCTGAACCCCAAGGACTTCATCGGCTGCCTTAACGTGAAGGCCACCATGTATGAGATGTACTCCGTGTCCTACGACATCCGGTGCACGGGACTCAAGGGCCTGCTGAGGTAACACACTCCAGGGGTCACCTCCGGGGGTCTGCAGACTGCACAGGGTGTGGCACAGGCAGCAGTCCCCACCCTGTTCCTCTGGGCTCCCAGGCCGGCTAGCACTGTTAGGGGCAGTTGGAGTAATGTTGTCTGGAGGTCAACTCTTATCCCACAGGCTCATCTCACACAACAGAAAATCTCAAGCCAAAACAGATTTATTTCTTCCAAAGACCACTAACTATTCATTAGAAACAAAAGCTAAATAATAAATATAAAGAGGAACCACATTCATTTTAAGAACTAGAGCACTTAATTCTAGGTGATGATGACTAAAACCAGAGCCATGGAGGTCGTGGCCGGGTTTGTACAGAACGGTCACCTAGACCCTGGTGAATCACACGCCTTTGCATGTATCTCCTGTACTCCTGATAACTTCAGCCTTACCAGTAATGTGGCATGGGCGTGTGTCCTCTCCACATAATGCCAGGGCACCGTCATCCCAAAGACGAAGGCCAGGCTGGTTGCACAGCATCCCAGGAAACAGAACTTTTAGAAGACAGACTCCTGATCCAGCCATACCCCAGACCCATTCAAACAAATTCCATGTGATCAAAAGGAGCCTTCCTGGGTGTTCCTGCCCCATAACTGGGTGCCACCCCTGCCATTGAGCCTGGGACTGAGAGAAACACCAGCAGTCCCTGCTCTAAGGAATCAGCTGTGTGACCTTTCACAGACTCCTTAACTTCTCTGAGCCTTGCTTTTATCATCTTTAAATGAGAAGGTTGGTCAGGCATGGTGGCTCACACCTATAATCCCAGCACTTTGGGAGGCCAAGGTCAGCAGATCACTTGAGGCCAAGAGTTCGAGACCAGCCTAGCCAACATGGCGAAACTCTGTCTCTACTAAATATACAAAAATTAGCTGGGCGTGGTGGCGGATGCCTGTAATCCCAGCCACTCAGGAGGCTGAGGCAGGAGAATTGTTTAACCCCAGGAGGCGGAGGTTGCAGTGAGCTGAGATCCGCCACTGTGAGCCATAACCACACCACTGCACTCCAGACTGGGTGACAGAGCAAGACTGTGTCTCAAAAATAAATAAATAAACAAACAAAAAATAAATAAAATGAAAAGGTTGCTTCCAAGCTCTTTATGATTGCCAGGGCTCTAACTACACCTACTTCTACTCCAGTAAATTTACCGTTGATCCTTAAAGAACTAACCTCTGTGGAGGGAGTGGATGGGAGAGTGGCTGATTGCAGTAGAAAGGTCTTCAAGTCGAAAAGTTTTGCAGCTGCTGCCATTCCAGTGCCCCCTGCACGTCCCTGTGGGCAGGGCCGCCCGTTTCTCTTTGAGGGTGTTGTTTCCGTCCCCCGTGGCCTTGACAACTGCTCTGATTTGTGCTGAGCACAGCAAAGGGGAAATGCCCTCCTCTCAGAGGTCTCCTGGCCTCACCTGAGGTGGGCCAGGGTGTGTGGCTTCTCTGTGGCCTCAGTTTCCCATTCAGAGCCATCAGTGGCTGACTCTAAACTACAGTCACTGTCATAGTGTTGGAGTCTTGACTCCCAGGAGAGCTTCCTTTTTTTTGTCTTTTCCTTTTTGCCGGGTTAGGAGAAAATAGCTTTACACTTGGATTTTAAAAGTTAGGCAAGAGAGTTACAACAACTGAAAAAGGTAAGATGAAGAAAGCTAACCTCACCCAAAATTCCACCTCAGTGAAATCTTTTTTCTTTTTCTTTTCTTATTTTTTTTCTTTTTTGAGACGGAATCTCACTCTGCTGCCCAGGCTGGAGGGCAGGGGCACGATCTCAGCTCACTGCAACCTCCTCCTTTCAAGTTCAAGCCATTCCCGTGGCTCAGCCTCCCAAGTAGCTGAGATTACAGGCATGCACCACCACACCCAGCTAACTTTTGTATTTTTAATAGAGACGGGGTTTCACCATGTTGGCCAGGCTGGTCTCAATCTACTGGCCTCAGGTGATCCACCCACCTCGGTCTCCAAAAGTGCTGGGATTACAGGCATGAACCACATTCCAGGCCCTTTTTCTTTTTTTTTAAGAAAGAGGGTCTCACACTGTCCCCCAGGCTGGAGTGCAGTAGCACAATCATAGTTCACTGCAGCTTCCAACTCTTGGACTCAAGCGATCCTCCCACCTCAGCCTCTGAAAGTGCTGGGATTATAGGCATGAGCCACCACACCTGGCCACAAAGTCTTTCTTGAAAGACAAGTTCAGCCTTCTTGTTACTAATTTGTATTCTCTGATAAATCCGATGACACCACAAGCAGCCATGGAACTCACGACAGCCCCCACACTGGAGGCACCGCCTGCTAGGGACCCTGTTGTGGGTGCTGGGGGCAGTGGGCCCTCCTGATGAGACAGCTGCCCAGGCTTGGCTATCGCATCCCCATGGGCTCAGTCACTGCTGAATGTCCTGCTACTACCTTAGGAAGGGAAGGGATTTCAGTAGCAGGGCCCCTAGAACAGCCCAGCAGCCGAAGCCCAGGACACAGCACACCTGTGCGGGTGCGGCCATCTGCTCCACACAGAGCTTGCCAGCCACTCAACAAGCAGGCCGCACTTCAGGTGGCTCATGGGAGCCGTGCTTCTTGCGGTGGTCTTGGGCCAGCAGCAAGGGGGTCCTCAGGGAGCTCACAGAGACCTGCTCCTGGCCAGACCCACTGCCACGGCAGCTGCATCTGTGCCAGCCCTGGGACACGTGCACTCTGAGAGTCAGACAGCCATGCTCTAAATGTCAGCCTGGCCTCCTCCGAGTGCCTTTTGGTGGGGGGAGTGAAGTATTCCCATCCTGTCTGTTTCTCACTGGCCCAAAATCCCAAGCTAAAGCCTCCCCATCTGCCTCTGCCACAGGAGTCTGCTGCGGTTCCTGTCCTACTCCGCCCAGGTGACGGGACAGTTTCTCATCTATCTGGGCACATACATGCTCCGGGTGCTGGATGACAAGGAAGAGCGGCCATCCCTCCGGTCACAAGCCAAGGGCAGGTTCACGTGTGGATAGGGATGCAGGCTGTCGCCGGCTCTTGAGCCAAACACTGTGTTTCGTTTGGCTCAATGACGAATGTTGAAGATGCTTTTATGTTCTGAGCCACATGCACTTGGAGGCCGCTGGTCACGCTGCTCAGGAGTGGTGCCCAGAAAAGGAAAGGGCTTGGTGGTACATGAAGTGGGGGCAGTGGGCAGGGTGCCCTGGGGGGGAGGCATAGAGGGCCCTGGGGGTCATGGGAAGCGAGCACGCAGCAGGCGTGCCCAGGAGCGTGTGCATGTGTCAGAGCCATTTGGTCCATCATCTCCTGCAATAAACCCATCGCAAGAATGACCTTCAAGATGTGTGACACTTCCTGTGTCTCCTTTATCTCTCAGAAGAGCAAAAAGCAAACAAAACAAAACAAAACTATCAGAACAGCAAAAAAAAAAAAAAACTTTATATAGAAGCAAAACTCATCCAGGAATATTCTGCTAACAGATATAATCTCTCATAAGTCTTTATTAGTGCCACAAAAATAACAAGCTGCAAAATGTTATTGTATGTTTTTTTCAAACATGGATTTTTAACAGGCTCAAAGGGGCCCTCACACTGAAGGACTCAAATTGTGGAGGTCTTCAAGGACTTTTTTACTTTTTCACTTGTGAAAGTGAAAGGACTTTACTTTTTCAGCCTCTTTTTTCTTTTTCTTCTTTTTTTTTTTTTTTTTTTTTTGAGACAGGGTCTAGCTCTGTCACCCAAGCTGGAGTACAGCGGCCTGATCTCGGCTCACTGCTGCCTCGACCTCCCTGGGCTCAAGCCATCCTCCCACCTCAGCCTCCTGAGTAGCTGAGATTACAAGTGCACACCACCACCCCTAGTTTTTTTTATTTTTGTAGAGATGGGGTCTTGCTATGTTGCTCAGACTGGTCTCAAACTCCTAGACTCAAGCAATCCTCCTACCTGGGCCTCCCAAAGTTCTGAGATTACAGACGTGAGCCACCACACCCGGCCCAGCCTTTTTCTTAAAAACCAAAAAACAACTGCTGCACCCTCAGCTGCAGATTCTGCCTGCAGCCAGGTGGGGCACCGCGTTGCCAAGGTGGAGCTGTGCCTCATGCTGGCTCAGCTGCGAGGAACCTCCTGTCCGTGGCTGGGATCTCTAGCTGCAGGCACAGCTGGACGAAGGCAATCAGACAACATTGTAAGAATCTGTCTCCCACTCTCTTGGATCTGATTCCCTGCAGGGAGGGGGGACCCCCTCAAGTGGAAGCAAGTGCAGACCTCAGGCCCTGCAGCAGGAAGCTCTGGGCTACACCTTGTCCCCCCATTGGATGTCCTGGGTTACACCTCATGCTGCAGACACAGCAGCTGGTGGCTCTGCCAGGCTGGGCCACACACTGAGTCCTGGAGCCACCCCAAAGAGAAATAGGGTGCTGTTCCTAGAATCAGGGGGAACAGATGCTAGAAGAAAAATATTTCCTGATTAAGAAATGATGCCTTGGAGGCCTTTTCCTTCCCTAGCCACCAACTCTGGCCACAGAAAGACACCACAGTGTGTCCCGGAACCCTAGAGGAAGAAAAACTCTCCCCTCCCCTACCCCCTTCCCGGGGCTCCCAGCTGCTGCTCAGCCGTTCCCGGCAGGGATGGTCCTCCCTTCACAGACAGTTTGCAGTCCCCTTTGAGAGGCCCCGTGACCGGCGCTGAGTCCTGGGCTCTCACTGTGTCTGAGCCAGTTCTTGGAGAAGCTGGGCCAGGCCCCACAGCAGGACAGACAAAAGGAAAGGAGGTGGCGTTCCTCAAAGCACAGGCTCTTCTTTCACACTGCGAAAAAAACAGGCACTTTCAGTATTATCCCTTCTTGCCTTCCAGAATGAGCTGCGCTGCTGGTAGAGCGAGGGTTACAAAGAGTGTTCAGGCACAGGCCGTCTGCTGTGACTTCAAAACATTTCCTATATAAGGAGCTCCTGACCGCCCTGCCCACCTCGGGCCAGCAGGAGAGGAGGTGAGGAGGAGGGCTGTAGCCAGGCGTGTGGCCGGCCTGGCCGAGGGGCGCTCACTCCTGCCTCTCACTGACTCTGGGCTTGCGTCACTTCCCAAGGATTCCACCGGCCTGGGCAGTGACTGCCTGGCTTCCAAAAAAGGAATTTTCACTCCAGTGCCTGATCCTGTTGACTCAGCCCCTGCCCTCACTCGCTGAG
This sequence comes from Homo sapiens, assembly GCF_000001405.40. Lineage (NCBI taxonomy): Eukaryota > Metazoa > Chordata > Mammalia > Primates > Hominidae > Homo > Homo sapiens. The sequence goes on from NC_000018.10 coordinate 12,279,437, forward strand.
AGGCCCTAGGCCTACGTCCAGATGGTGGGGAAACTGTGGGGGCCCAACCTGTTCGAAGGGAGGAATTGGGGAAGGGACGGGCTGGCCTTCTCCCCATGGGAAAGGGGAGGACATTCAGAAGGACCTCTTGGCATTTGGGAGCTTCTGAAGGAGCTGCGGCCACCGCCGCCCTGTCTCCTGTGCCCATGATTCACGGAGTGGCCCGGGACAGAGCAGCCTCTTCGCAGAACCCTCAGGGAGGCTCCAGGCCTCAGGGAGGAGGCAGCAAAGGTTGGTTTTGCTATTGTCAAAGTCTTCAGTGGGCCCTTGGCCAGGAGACTGGTGGAATTGAAACCCACTCCCTTAGGGGAAGGGTCCCAGCAGGCGTGGCTGTCTTGTCTCTGGTTCGGATTAGGTGACAGGCACTCCAAATGTGACACTTTCTCGTTCTCATCTTAGTTTCTCTATCATCTGCATTTAGCCCGCTAGCTCAGACCAGGATGTGCCCCATGCAGGTGAGGGTGGGTGGGGAGAGCCAAGGCACTCCAGCGGGCTCAGGGCCTGGACCCTGTGAGGCCTGGATGCCGCCTCCACCTAAGCCTTCAGCTGAACCCCCAGGGTGGCGTGTGTGTCCCTTCAGGGGCTGAGTGTTCGTCTGTGTGTCTTTGATGGGGCCAAGCAGAAGAGCTCGAATTGGAAATTATTCACTTCTAGAATCACAATTCAGAAAAAAAGAAATGGTTCCCATGAGCCCAGGTTTCATGCTCCTGCAGTCACTACATGGACCTGGACGTCACTCCTATGACCTCTTTTTCAGGCGCACAAACACAGGTAGCTGCCATGAGCATCCCACGCGCATGCGTCCTGGTGTGTTTCTGCCACATGATCCGTAGGCTAGATTCAAGGAGCACTTTCTGCCAGCAGCAGGGAACAGAGTGCAGGCCTGGGATGAACTGAGGACATCAGAATGAAATGCTCTAAGAGCCATGATCTCATGGCCAGAGACAGACTCTGGCTAAAATCACCTGTAGTGACCAGACTTCACAGCCCAAACCACTGTCTTCATCCATAAAATCAGGATCCAATCGACTTGGTCCAGGAACTCCATTCCCAGACAGATTTTCTTGGCCCAGATTTTAAAAATGTAAACACGGTCCCTCTTCCAGCCAGCACTTTTCAGCTGGCCAGCCACAGCTTGCCCTTCTCCTGCACCCCAAGGAAACTGTCACCACCCGCCAGGTCAGGAGCCCAGCTCAAAGCCATGGCGTAGGCCTCTTCAGGACTAGGATTCTAAAACGGGGGTCCATTTCCCCAAAGGGAAGTTCTCCTTTCTCCTCATGTGATGAGGTGGGGGCGGCTCATCAAGCCACATGTGGGGGTGGGCCTCCACCCAGGATGGCACTGTCCCCACACAGGGTCTCCTGGCTCCCACTCCCTCCTGTGTTATAAATTGTAGGGAAAGAAAACTGTGGCCAGCACCTTTCTCTACCATCACCTCCACGGGGACAGCTATTCCTTGCTAGAATTACCAGGCCCCCTCCAGCAGCAGAGGCCATGGGGCTACCTGCCTGCCCTCCAGCTCTGACAGCCAGCTCTCAAGTCCCAGTGGGCCAGGAGGAGAGCTCTGTCTTCCCCAAGATTTTATTGTATTGTGGCAAAATCAACATAACTTTTTTTTTTTCTTTTGAGATGGAGTTTCGCTCTTATTGCCTAGGCTGGAGTACAATGGTGTGGTCTCGACTCACTGCAAACTCCGCCTCCTGGGTTCAAGCGATTCTCCTGCCTCAGCCTCCTGAATAGCTGGGATTACAGGTGCGTGCCACCACACCCAGGTAATTTTTGTATTTTTGGGGTTTCACCACATTGGCCAGGCTAGTCTTGAACTCCTGACCTCAGGTGATGCACCCACCTTGGCCTCCCAAAGTGCTGGGATTACAGGTGTGAGCCACCATGCCTGGCCAACATAACATTTTTTTAAATGTATCTTCCACCTCAGCCTCCCAAGTAGTTGACACTATAGGTGCACACCACCACACCCAGCTCATCATCTTTTTTTTTTTTTTTTAGATTTTTTTTTTGTTGTTAGCAACAGGATCTTACTATGTTGCCCAGGCTGCTCTCCAACTCCTGGGTGCAAGTGATCCTCTCACCTCAGCCTCCCAGAGGACTGGGATTATGGGCATGAGCTATTGCTTTTAAAATCTGATGATCAGTGCAGTGCCTTTTATTCTGAGCCTCCACTCCACTGAGTGGTCTCCCCCACTTCATGCCCCAGGGGCTCATGTGCCAAGGCAGTGGGGGACACACTCCGACTATGGGGAGTTGTGTCCCACCCAGGCCTCCCCTGAGATGCCCACTGGCTATGACTGTCGGAGGCCAGTCTGTGAAGGTCACTGCGGCAACTCCCCCAGCCCACCTGCAAGAAGGCTTCAGGCCACCACTGCTGGGAGCCAGGTTCTCCCTGCCACTCCAAGGCCAGGCCAGGGTACCAGGACCCCTGTGATATTGTGATATAATAAAAAATACGTTTTTGGCCTCTGCCCCCATTCCTGACATAGATCTCCTAAAATCTGTAATCTCCTGAGTGATTGGAATGGCTGACAGAATTCCTAAATCCTTTGGAATTTCCTGGGTTATGGGGGCATCTTTTCTTTTTTTTTTCAAGACAGCATCTTGCTCTGTCACCCAGGCTGGAGTGTAGTGGTGTGATCACAGCTCACTGCAGCTTCCTGGGCTCAAGTGATCCTCCCACCTCAGTCTCCTAGGTAGCTGGGACTACAGCTGCACACCACCATGCCTGGCTAATCATTTTTATTTTTTGTAGAGATGAGGTCTCCTTATGTTGTCCAGGCTGATCTCAAATTCTTGGGCTCAAGCGATCCACTTGCTTTGGCCTCCAGAAGGGCTGGGATGACAGGCATGAGCCCCCGCGCCTGGCCAGGAGCATCATTTTAGGAGACTCTTGGTGGGCTCCTGCATGGCCTCAGGATAGGGGCTGGTTGCCAGGGAACCAGCCCTGTGATTAAAGGGTCAGGACTTTCAGCCACATCCCCCAACCTCTGGGGAAGGGAGAGGAGCTGAAGTTTGAATCAATCACCAGTGGCCAATGAGGTAATCAATTGTGCCTATGTAATGAAGGCTCCAGAAAAATCCCCAAGCTACAGGGCTCAAAGAGCTTCCAGAGAGTGAACACGTACAGGCTCTGAGATCGTGGTGTCCAGGGAGACCACGGAAGCTCCATGCCCTGCCCCACATGCCTTCCCCATGAGTGTCTTCATCTGTGTCCTTTGTAATATCCTTCATAATAAAAGGCTAAACATACAGAAAGGATTTCCCTGAGTTCTGTGAGCTACCCTAGCAAATTAACCACCCCCAAGCCGGGGATCAGGGGAACTGAGATTTGTCACAGCTTGGGGCTTGCAATGGGCGTGAAAAGTGAGGGCAGCCTTGAGGACTGAGCTCTCAGCCCGTGGTGTTTGATGCTGTCTCCAAGAGGACTGTGTCAGAGTTGAATTGAATGAGAGGACACTCAGCTGGTGTCTGCTGGAGAACGGGTTGTCTGTGGAGAGAAATCCCCACGCATTTCGGTGCCCTAAGGTGAAATACTCTGTATTGAGAGTGAAAGCAGAGAGAAAAAGCAGTGTTTTTTCCACAGCCCCCCACGCACCCAGCCATTGTGATGTTACTGCTCGTGATGGTGACTTTACGTGTCCACTTGGCCAGGCCACGGCACCCAGTTTCTGGTGAAACACCAATCCCGATGTTGCTGTGAAAGATATTTTTGAAGATGAGACTAACATTTAAAGCTGTGGACTTTACGTAAAGCACATGCCCTCCAGGTTGCCCATTAGGGAGTGGCCTCATCCAGTCCATTGAAGGCCTTCAGAGAAAAAACTGACATCCCCTTAGAGAAAGAATTCTGCCCGCAGACAGCCCTGCGGGTGGCGCTGCGACATCAGCTCTTCCGGGGCTCCAGCCTGCAGCCTCCCTGCAGATTTCAGACTTCCCAGCCCGCACAGTCACACAACTGTACACACAGCTCATGGGAATGACATGTGGGAAGACAACTAAGGCAGGATCACTTTCAAGCCATATACCAACACCTGCCTCATTGGTATGTGGTTAGACCTCAAACTTACAAAGGCTGGGCACAGTGACTCACACCTGTAATCCCAGTACTTTGGGAGGCTGAGGCAGGAGGATCACTTGAGCCCAGGAGGTTGAGGCTGCAGTAAGTTATGACTGCACCACTGTACTCCAGCCTGGGTGACAGAGTAAGACTCTATCTCTTTTTTTTTTTTAAAAAAAAAAAAAAGAAAGAAAACCATGCAATCTGCAGAGTCCTAATGAGGAAAAAGGAGTCAGGTTGGTGGCACCAGGTGAAAACAAAGAGATAAAGCAGATGAGCAATGGGTCTGGCTTCCTCCATGGTCCAGGACAGATAAACAAAGAGAGGAAACAGACATGCTGTGGGTCTGTTTTTCTTTATGGTCCAGGACATGTGGCCCTCCTGAGCAGATAACGTACAGAGCTCACAAGCTTCCTGCTTATCAACAAACACCTTAATTTATCAAACACCTAGGCTGATAGAAAAATGGAAGTTAGTTATCAGTCAGCTCAAGTTCCATTCTATAAACTCCCCAGCCAGCCTTGGTCTCCTGGCAGGCAGCTCCTCTTCTGCTGATTCTGCCCACTGCAACCTTGCAACACATTTTCCTACTTTCTCTAATAAATCTGCCTTTCTTTACCTACAACTGTCTTGGTAAATTCTTTTACCCCTGCGCCACCGGCCCAGTGAGTCTCCGCTACCTGCCACACAAACACAATAAAAACCTGAAAGGTTTGACTCACTCCTATACCTAACAGAAGAATTAACAGTAATGCTTTGACTTATTCCTTTACCTAATTCACCAGGATTTACTCCAAATGATATTTTACTTTAGGAAAAAAATCATCTCTCTCCTCAAAGGATAAAATGTGCCAGGGTTGGGAGCTGAGTCTCAGATGTTATGAAGGTGCACAGAAACCCTTCTCCCCAAGATCCCCGTGCTGTTCACCATCCTTGGCTTGAACACTGAGATATGGCAGCCCTTGCAACAGGAGCTCGTTCAACTTGTGCAGTTTTGTCTGTCTTAGGGTGTGTTTTATTTTTTTAAGGTAAAGTCTTGCTTTGTTGCCCAGGTTGGAGTGCAGTGGCATGATCAGAGCTCACTGCAGTCTTGACCTCCCAGGCTCAACAGATTCTCCCACCTCAGCCTCCCAAGTAGCTGGGACTACAGGTCCACCATGGCCAGCTAACTCTGGGGAGGTTTCAGACAAATATCTGGGTCCCTAAAACTTCTACCCACAGGTTATAGTTCTGTCCTCTTGAGTTATTTTTTTTTAATCCCTCCTGTCCAGCTTCCCTACCGCAGGGCAGTGCCTTTGTGCTTGATCCAGCATTTCCCCAAAAGGACCCCACCCCACTTCCTCCACAAGCCAACATGTAGAGTCCTCTCAAGTCCACAAACTGGGCTCTCCAATGCTCTGCCCTGAACCTGCCCCAATCCTGCAGGGTGTATTTCTTTCATTAGCTTCTTTTATTTCCCTGCAGTCTCTGTCAGTGTGAAGCAGAAATGTTAAATGACAATACAATCTTTCAACAAGACCACGACAAATGGAAGGAGCCCCCTTCAGAGTGACCACTCCAGGGGGCTCAGGGAGGCAGCCCGGGTGCAGCTGTTGAACAGGGGATGTTAGAATGGGTTCCACCTGGGGGGTCCCCCAGGGAGGCAGGGCTGGCCTTGGGGCAAGCCTGATGGTCCCTTTGTGACCAGCCTTGGGATCTCTCTGAAAGCCACCTCTAAGATCCTGGGGATGTAGAGAAGAAGACAAACCCACCTGGTCCTCCTCCCCTCCGGGACTGGGAGAGACCATATCCACAGGTGCCTCCTCGGGCGTGCTGGGTCAGCCAGGCCTCTGGAGTGCCTGGGTTATGGGGGTTATCATCTTATTCAATTACCACTGGAGAGCCTGAAGTCTACGCAGGAAGCTGAGATGGGAGGATCACTTGAGGCCAGGAGTTCAAGACCAGCCTGGGCAACATAGAGAGACCCTTGACTCTCAAAAAATATATATATAAAGTGTTGTATAATGCAACAAAATATGTAAACCTGGAATCGCATCAGATTTTTTACTCCATAAACTTTTTATTTGCTCCCAGATATCTCTTAAGTGGCATGAAGAATCTACTGATGTGTCTGGCAAGCTGGGAGCTAGAGTAAGACTAGCTGGGCCTCAACAGGCAGGCTGCAGAGCCAAAGCTGAAAAGGCAAATTGGTTATTTTCTTTTATTTTCTTTTTCTTTTTCTTTTTTTTTTTTTTTTTGACAGAGTCTCACTCTGTCACCCAGGCTGGAGTGCAGAGGCACAATCTTGGCTCACTGCAACCTCCACCTCCCAGGTTCAAGCAATTCTCCTGCCTCAGCCTCCCAAGTAGCTGGGACTATAGGCATGCGCCACCACACCTGGCTAATTTTTTTGTATTTTTAGTAGAGATGGGGTTTCACTGTGTTGGCCAGGCTGGTCTCAAACTTCTGACCTCAGGTGATCCATCTGCCTCAGCCTCCCAGAGTGCTGGGATTACAGGTGTGAATCACTGCACCTGCCAAATTGTCTATTTCAAGCTTTGCATATTCACTCTAATTTTTAAATGGGGCCGGACGTGGTGGCAAGCACTTGTAGTCTCAGCTACTAGGGAAGCTGAAGTGGGAGGATCACTTGAGCCCAGGAGATGGAGGCCAGCCTAGGCAACATAGCAAAACCCCCATCTCTAAATAAAAATAAAAATAAAGAGCTTGGAGCCTGGATGGGGCTGGGCATATAGCAAGCACAGATGCTTGGGAAGTACACCCTTTAATTTTCACACTAAGGAGAAAGAAAGGGCTAAGAGTAGTTCAATACAGTATCTTCAAAAGGTTTGACCATTTATTTGCCCATTTTTTCCTGAAAAGAGTGAATGAAAACATTTACTATAACTCAGATACTAATACACCTTTTTGTTTCTTTTCTTTAAGAAACAGGCACAGTTGTTAAGATCTGTTTCAGATGAAGTTGGGTGATGGATACATGGGCTTTCATTAGTCTCTGATTTGGGTATGTTTTTAATGTTCTATAATGAAAAGGGTTTTATTGATTGATTTCTTTTCTTTTCTTTTTTTTTTTTTTTTGAGACAGAGTCTCGCTCTATCCCCCAGGCTGGAGTGCAGTGGTATGGAGTACAGGGGCGTGATCTCGGCTCACTGCAACCTCCGCCTCCCGGGTTCAAGCGATTCTCATGCCTCAGCCTCCCAAGTAGCTGGGATTACAGGCACCTGCCACCAGGCCTGGTTAATTTTTGTATTTTTAGTAGAGATGGGGTTTCACCATGTTGGCCAGGCTGATCTCAAACTCCTGACTTCAGGTGATTCACCCACCTCGGCCTCCTGAAGTGCTGGGATTACAGGCAGGAGCAACCGCGCCCGGCCAATTGATTGATTTTTTTTAAATGCTTCCTCCCTCCCAGGGAACTGTGAATGAAGCTCTTCTTTTAAATGTATATATTTCAGAGATGGGGATCTCACTGTGATGCCCAGGCTGGTCTTGAACTCCTGGCCTCAGCTGGTCTTGAACTCCTGGCCTCAAGTAATCCTCCTACCTCGGCCTCCCAAAGTGCTAGATGACAGGCATGATCCCGGCCAAGCCCTTCCTTTAACCACAGCTCTGGAGACTGTCACTTGGACGACCAGGGCTGCCAGGGTTTCCGGAGGGCACGGCCTCCTGACTGCTCAGGGCTTCCTCAAGGTGAGCTCAAGACCCGCAGGGCTTCCCTATGGCAAGCCGTCGAGGCTTTCTTTGGATGCAGGTGGCCGCAGAGCGCTCATGCGGCGTCGGTGCTGGCAGCCAGGTGAGCTGCGCCAGCTCAGCCCGAATGAGCGGTGTCAGGCTATGCACCGTGCTCCCGCCCGCCCTGCGCCCAGACCTCCGCCTGCCCTGGAGGTGAAGGACGCGGGCTCCCCACGCTCCCCCGAGTGATGGTGCAGAGGCGTACTCCCTCTCGGGGTCCCCACTCCACATTCCGGCGTCCTCGGAACAGCCGGCACAGGCAGGGCGGGCGTCAGCTGTCCGGTCGCACCTCCCTGCAGGGGCATTCCTTGGCCTGCTGCTGCCTGCCAGGCTGACCCAGGCGCAGGCGCTCAGGTAAAGGCAGTGGCCAGCCCAAGCTGCCGACCCAGCCGCTCCTCCCAGCAGAGGCCAGGTGAGGAGGCGAGGATGGTGGGGGTCGCCCAGGGAGAAAAATCTCATCCGACAAGGAAAGCCTGGTGACCCCCTGTCTGCCTGGGCAGAACTCCCCTCCCAGGAATGAGCTTTGGACAACGTGGTTCCTCCCGTTGAATCAGGTTCTGACCGAGTCCGCTGCAGCTGCAGGCGGGGGCGCCCTGCCGAGCAGATACCCAGCGGAGCTCCGGGGCCCCGTTTCTACTGTAAGCAGCTGGGGGCCAAATGTGCGCCCGGGCACGTCTCTTGGCCTCTCCCAGACTCGGCACCCTCATCTGTAAGAACGTGAACGATGTCCGCCCTGGACAGGACTGCGGTCGCGAGAGGTGCCCGGGCCAGGCAAGGGACACAGCGCGGATCTGCTGGTTTCCCCCTTGATTCCATGCGTGGGCGTGAAGCGTATTCTTGGGAGTCAGGCACAAATGTGACTTAGTAAGGAAGGGTGAGCGTTGCTGGGATGGGTGGGGAAAAATGTTTTCTGCATCACGGGGCCAGCTGGAGCGGGGAGTGGCCACCGCAGGATTCCTGGGTGCAGCTGAGACAGCTGGGGCGGGGCGTGCTGGGCTCACACTGAGTTCAACTCTCCAAATAGCCCTCGCGCCACTGTCCAGAACAGACGATAAGAATTTCACAGGACTTTCGTCTGGAAGTTTGCGGTTGACAATGCGTTTTTACCTACATGATCACAGTAACTTTCCCAGCAAGGCTGTTAGCTAAAGAAGGTGCCCTCCCCGCCCTGGAGCCTGAGAGAGGACGAGCTGCAGCCTTGTCCAAGAGAAAGGCCCGGGGGACCCAGCCATCCACCTCCCTGCCCACCACCACCCTTCCTTCCAAGGAGCACGCAAGACCAAGCCTAGGACTCGCTACAAAGCTCGGTTCCTAACTAGACCGGCGGGGACTGACTAGGAATGGAATCCAGGCAAACACCTGGCCGATCATAATCAGGTGCAAACCATTCTGATTCTATTTTTTAATGCCATTCTAATTTATAATATGTTAAACTCTGAGAAAAGCCTAGAGAGAGCCACTTTGCTAAGGCGTGCATTATTCAATTTTTCCTTATTCCAGTCATAATATTCTGGGTCCTCCTCTCATAATATTCTGGGTGCCTCCTGCAAGGCAAGCTTTCTGCCGTCCTAGTCTCTCCATTCACAATCACTCGCTTAGGGCATTGGCATAGAAAGTAACACACTGAGTCTTATGCACAACACGCAGGAGGTGTCCTCTTTAACCTTCAGGAATGTGTATTCTAGTGCCGGAGGTGGGACTTCTGAATGTGAAAGGCGGGATCCTCTGCTGGGACAGGGCTTGGTGAGTGCAGAGGCTGCGGTGGGTACAGACAGGAGGCGGTCGCTCAGCTCTCACAGAGCTGGCCTGGTGATATCCTGCCCACCTGGAATCTGGGACCTGAAAAAGAGCACATTGGCTCATCCTAGCCTGGAGGTGCAGACAGTGCAGATTAAGTTGATTCAAACCAATCCACAGGGGTAAAAATACCTCAAAAAAAGAATGAACCTTCCACTTGTGCTTTTAACTGAGAAAGTGCAGCACAGCTTTAGATATCTTTGCTGGCAGCTGTTCATTATGCAACAGTTCAGCTGGTGGCAGGAAAGGCAGGAAGAAAGATGAGCATATCCAAAAGATCCAGAGATGGGGAAGGGGCTGGAAGGAGGGGAGGGAAGTGGGCGAGGGTTTTGTTTTTGGTTTTTTTTTGTTGTTTTTTTTTGTTTTTGTTTTTGTGTTTTTTGAGACAAGAGTTTTGCTCTGTCGCCCAGGCTGGAGTGCAGTGGTGTGATCTTGGCTCACTGCAAGCTCCGCCTCCTGGGTTCACACCATTCTCCTGTCTCAGCCTCCCAAGTAGCTGGGACTACAGGCACCTGCCACCATGCCTGGCTAATTTTTTGCATTTTTAGTAGAGACGGGGTTTCACCATGTTAGCCAGGATGGTCTCGATCTCCTGACTTCGTGATCCATCCGTCTTGGCCTCCCAAAGTGCTGGAATTACAGGCGTGAGCCACTGCACCCAGCCAGGCGAGGGTTTTTTCAGAGGTGAAGGGCAGAAGTCCCAGAGGTGGATGGGCACGAGAGCAGGGTCCAAGCAGAGGACAGAGGTGGAAGTCTGGGACCAAGGATGGAGGTAGCAGCTGTGGGGAGAGCAGGAAACAAGAAGTGCGGGCTGCAGGGAGAGACTCCAGGTCCTGGGAGGGCTCGTCTGGAGTACCTAGGCAGGGTCTGAAGCCTAGGGGAACAAAGTTCTGTGACTAGAGCCAAAGGTCAAGGTTCTGAGTGGGGTCCACTGAAATTATGGCTTTTCCATGAATGCCATCACAAAGCAAAGAGGAAGATAACTAATCAACAGATGCAAGTTCTGACTTATAAAATCTGTGTCACACAAAGCTGTATCCTGGCCTGCATGCACACACTTTCTGGACTCACCACAGGCATGGTCCTGGAAACCACTGGCCTGCAAGGCAAGAGAAGGCAGAAGTCACCAGGGTGCCCCTGGGAAATCCTGTTTCCCAGAACCTGTGCCAGTTCAGCTGTGTTGCACAAAGTCTGCCCCTGCCCCCTGCAGGGTTGCATCAGGGCCCCTCTGCCCTGCAGACTGGAGCACGGGTGCCCTCACTGTTGGCTGTTGAGCCTCCCAGCCCTGGTGGAAGGCAGGCTGCCATTCCTTGCTAGGCACCTTCCACACCCTGCCCTCTTGCCCTCACCAGCAGCTTCCCGCATTCATTCTCAGCACTTCCATCCTCAGTATGGACAGGAAGAAAATGTGCCAATCCATGTAATAGTAAGAATGATGGCAGTCACTATTTGTTCCTGGAACAATTTTATAAATTATTATAATAATATTGGCTGGATGCCGTGACTCCCGGCTGTAATCCCAGCACTCTGGCCAAGGTGAAAGGATCACTTGATCCCAGGAGTTTGAGACCAGCCTGGGCAACATAGTGAGACCCTGCCTTTTATTATATTTAAAAATTAAATATACAAAAGAAAAATAGGCCAGGCGCTGTGGCTCACACCTCTAATCCCAGCACTTTGGGAGGCCGAGGCAGGTGGATCATCTGAGGTCAGGAGTTCAAGACCAGCCTGACCAACATGACAAAACCCTGTCTCTACTAAAAATATAAAAATTAGCCGGGTGTGGTGGCTGGTGCCTGTAATCCCAGCTACTCGGGAGGCTGAGGCAGGAGAATCACCTGAACCTGGGAGGTAGAGGTTGCAGTGAACCAAGATTGTACCACTGCACTCCAGCCTGGGTGACAAGAGTGAGACTCTGTCTCAAAAAAAAAAAAAGAAAAAGAAAAAAATATAGATAGATAGATAGATATAGTATCATATGATTATATAAGTTACAATAATTATTATGATTATTTTTGTCTGTTTCAGATGTTACTAAATATTCATAAGGATTACAATCAGCACCTAGCACAGTGTCTGGGACATGGCAAGTGCTCAATATTTATGGAAGAAAAGAGTGAATAAATCAAGAAATCGTCATTAAACACCAAAATTGTGTTTAACAGAACCAAACAGCGCCACGCACTTGTGACCCTGACCTGAAGCTTCTGGTCGAGAAGGCCCTTGAACTCCCAGGCCCTCCCTGTAAGCAGGTTGGGCAGTGCAGAGGGCACAGGGCACAGGGCGGAGCCACAGGGAAAGATGAGCAGGGTGCTACCCACAGGAAGGTGCCCTCCCGATCCCCCCACAGCCTCTGCCCCCTGTAAACACAGTGGCCTGTCTTCTCTGGGCCTCTTCCCTTTTCTCTGCATCCTGCCCTCTATTTTCTTCTCACTAACACAGAATGGAACATTTATTTTGTTTGTTACATGATCTTGGTAAATACTTGTTTGATTGTAAATAAAAGGTGAATGAGTATATCCTTCTCTATCCCAAAAATCCCACACAAAACAACAACCTTCCAAATCAAATAATCACTTAGATCAATATTTTACTTAATGTGACCTTTACTTTTAATAGCCCAGTGGCCCTCAACAAAACAGTTTCAGAACTGTCTCCTACAGCTTCAGGACTATTGGTGCAGGTATGTGGTGTGCATGCCGCCAAACATGTGACATGCCTGCCGCGTGCAGGACAGCAACAGGACGAGACTTACACACAGCACACAGCTACCCGACAGCCCCATACGGTTACAGTTACATCCCCCAGGTTCCCGTGTGGCAGAGCCCAAGTTAAGCCACAGAGCTGTGAGACGCGCTCATCCCAGCCACCCCTCTATTAGCAGGAGGGTTCTGTGCTCTGACAACCGCAAGGGCTAGACACTACGGAGTCACATTGAAGGGGACGGAGAATACTGCAAATGAAACCGTCAAGACAGTCCCTGGAAGAAGGGTGTGAGCAATACGGCCTGCAGAGCATAGAGCTGTATCTGTGTTATCTTTGGTTACTCTTCAGTGTTCTCCAATGTTTGTGAAGCTTGTCTATTACTCCCCTTCCCCCTTTACAAAATCGCACCACTGTACTCCATCCTGGGCGACAGAGCGAGACTCTGCCTCTAAAAAAAAAAAAAAAAAATTGTGGTTAAGGACCGGGCATGGTGGCTCACGTCTGTAATCCCAGCACTTTGGGACACCGAGGCGGGCGGATCACGAGGTCAGGAGTTTGACACCATGCATGGTGGCATGCACCTATAATCCCAGCTACTCAGGAGGCTGAGGCAAGAGAATGGCTTGAACCCAGGAGATGGAGGTTGTAGTGAGCTGAGATCGCGCTGCTGCACTCCAGCCTGGGCAACAGAGTGAGACTCTGACTCAAAAAAAAAAAAAAAAAAAATTCTGGTTAAAAAAACATATCAGGCCGGGCGCGGTGGCTCACACCTGTAATCCCAGCACTTTGGGAGGCCGAGGCGGGTGGATCACAAGGTCAGGAGTTTGAGACCAGCCTGACCAACATGGTGAAACCCTGTCTCTACTAAAAATACAAAAATTAGTTGGGTATGGTGGTGCGTGCCTGTAATCCCAGCTACTCAGGAGGCTGAGGCAGGAGAATTACTTAAACTCAGGTGGTGGAGGTTGCAGTGAGCTGAGATGGTGCCATTGCACTCCAGCCCGGGCGACAGAGCGAGACTCCACCTCAAAAAAAAAAAAAAATCTCATGCCGGGCGCAGTGGCTCACACCTGTAATCCCAGCACTTTGGGAGGCCGAAGCAGGCAGATCACCTGAGGTCGGGAGTTTGAGACCAGCCTGACCAACATGGAGAAACCCTGTCTCTACTAAATATACAAAAAAAAAATTAGCCTGGCATGGTGGTGCATGCCTGTAATCCCAGCTACTTGGGAGGCTGAGGCAGGAGAATCGCTTGAACCCAGGAGGCAGAGGTTGTGGTGAGCCAAGATCACACCATTGCACTCCAGCCTGGGCAACAAGAGCAAAACTCCATCTCAAAAATAATAATTATATATAAAATTATATATAAAATATAATATATATTATTATATCATATATATCTCATATATCTCTATATCTCTCTCTCATAAAATTAACCATCTTACCCATTTTTACATGTATAGGTTAATAGCATTAAACATATTCACATAGTTGTGCAACCGATCTCCAAAATTTTTTCATCTTACAAGACTCATCTATTATCATCTATTACTTTTTTCCTTCTTTTTTTTTTTTCCTGAGACAGAGTCTCACTCTGACGCCCAGGCTGGAGTGCAGTGGTGCAATCTCAGCTCACTGAAACCTCCTCCTCCCAGGTTCAAACAATTCTCATGCCCCAGCTGCCCAAGAAGATGGGATGACCGGCACCCACCACCACGCCTGGCTAATCTTTGTATTTTTAGTAGAGACAGAGTTTCACCATGTTGACCAGGCTGGTCTCAAACTCCTGACCTCAGGTGATCTGCCTACCTCAGCCTCCCAAAGTGCTGGAACTACAAGCGTGAGCCACCATGCCCAACCTCATGAATTACTTTTTAATGGAAAGGTAATAAAAGAGTATTTTCAAACATGTAAGCCCCAAGAGCATTTTCAAACATGTGAGCCCCAAAGGTAATAAAAGAATATTTTCAAATATGTGAGCCCCAAGTAAGAGAGTTGTCCTGCTTCTGCTGCTTTCAAAAATCCCAGGGTGAGGGTGCCTTTCCTTACTTCCCCTGCCCCTACCCTGAGTCTCGGGTTGGGAGATTCCAGAGTTGGTTCTCACCTGGCTCCCCCTGCCCATCCTGGAGCTTCTCTCCCCTCCTCTCGGCTCCTGCTTCAGCCCCCAGCCCCTGCAAGCGTGTGTTCAAGACCAGGGGCCAGGCTGGGGTGGGTGGAGGATGAAGGTCCACGATCATGTTGGGGCATGTGACAAGAAGGCTCTGGGGCAGCCCAGGAGTTTGGGATCCTCACATGTGGCTTGATTCAACCCCCCGGTGTTGCAGAGGAAGACGCTGAGGCTCAGAGATCACACAGCTAGTTAGAGGTTCATCAGGGACTAACCCAAGGGTTCCATCACCTCACTCAGAGCCCGTCCTACTAAAACGCGCTGAAGGCAGAAGGGTCGCGCTCTGCAGGGAAAAGCACTCCATCACAGCTGTGAGTGGGATATGCCCCCCGTATGCTGAACTGCTGTACAACAAGACAACCAGCCTGTTAGCATGAGACAGGTGTCAGGTCACATGTGTTACAAACCGGACTTGCTGCGCTCAACTGTCTACACAAATATTTATTCTTCATCGTGTACTTCATGGATAGATGCTCACTACCATCTTAGAAGAGGTGAAATGGGGTGGTGAGATGTTGGTCAAAGGAAACATAATTTCAGTAATAGGAGGAATAAGTCGGTGAGAGCTATTACAACATGGTGACTGTGCTTAGTAACAGTGTATCGTGTTCCTGAAACTTGCTAAGAGAATAGAGTTTGAGTGTTCTCGTCACAAAAAAATAAGTATGTGAGGTAATGCATACATTAATAGCTCAATGCAAGGCCGGGTGCGATGGCTCACGCCTGTAATCCCAGCACTTTGGGAGGCTGAGGCAGGCGGATCACAAGGTCGGGAGATCAAGACCATCCTGGCTAACATGGTGAAACCCCGTCTCTACTAAAAATACAAAACATTAGCCAGGCGTGGTGACAGGCACCTGTAGTCCCAGCTACTCAGGAGGCTGAGGCAGGAGAATGGCATGGACCCGGGAGGCGGAGCTTGCAGTAAGCTGAGATCACACCACTACACTCCAGCCTGGGCAACAGAGTGAGACTCCGTCTCAAAAAAAAAAAAAAAAAGATAGCTCGATGGAGCCCTTCCACAATGTATACCTCTTTCCAGACATGTTGTACACAATAAACATACACAATTTTTGTCCATTAAAAATAAATAAATAAATGTTTTGTAAAAGAGGAAGTCAAATAAATTCCTTGATATCAAGATCTTTTAAAATAGAATTGGCAAATCAACTATAATTAATAGAGAAATAGATAAAATAGAAAAAATGCGGCAAGCAGGCTGTAGCCTTGTAGAGGGAGTTGTATCAACTGGTTTTTGTTTTTTGCGTTTTTTTTTGAGACGGAGTCTAGCTGTCGCCCAGGCTGGAGTGCAGTGGCACAATCTTGGCTCACTGAAACCTCTGCCTCCCGGGTTTAAGTAATTCTGCTGACCCAGCCTCCTGAGTAACTGAGATTACAGGCGCCCACCATCACATCTGGCTAATTTTTTTTTTTTTTTTTTTTTTTTTTAGTAGAGACGGCGTTTCACCATGTTGGCCAGGCTGGTCTCAAACTCCTGACTTCAAGTGATCACTCGCCTCGGCCTCCCAAAGTGCTGGGATTACAGGCAACTGGTTTTCTTTAATTTAAGAAGCACTGGTATTGATTAGTCATAGGATGTGAGAGCTGGAGGGAATTTAAAGATCGTCCGGTCTTACTCACTGGCCAAGGAGGAAACTGATTTTGTCTAAACCGAGAATTTCCAGGATGCAGGGAAAGAGGCGCTGTGAGCTTTACAATTCATCTTCTAGGTGGATCAAAACCCTTCACACAGGACTTCCTCTATCGCTCTTGGGATTTAGCAGTTCCACAAAAACAGAAATATTTTCTAATCAGACATCCCAAACCTGTCTAGACTCTTGCTCTCTTGTCTAGGAAAAGAACATAAACAGGTTTTTTATTTTGTTTCCAACCCTACATGAAACCAACCCGAGGGGGAGGTGCAGAGGTATGGCCCATCCCCAGACCAATGCCACCGTCCAA
The DNA here is from genome assembly GCF_000001405.40 of Homo sapiens. NCBI lineage: Eukaryota > Metazoa > Chordata > Mammalia > Primates > Hominidae > Homo > Homo sapiens. Next base: position 12,295,910 of record NC_000018.10, read on the forward strand.
ATGTACCCAAACATGGAACCCCGGGTGCATTTCAGCGCACGTCCTCCCAGAGACCTCGATGGACTCGATGTCACCCCCACAGTAGTCAGCGGTCCACTGCCTCTCTACCCAGCACGAGAGAGGCTTGGTCATGCTGGTGGGGTGGAATTAGCCCAAAGGGGTTGTGCCCCTAACTGACCAGCAGAGCCCTAGAAGTGTAGAGGCCATAGTGTTCATGCTGGGGCCAGGCCACTGATCTTGAAGCTCTGGTTGAGAGCTGCCTGCGTGTGACCCCTGATATGGCAGGATTCATGCCCCAAACCCGCTCTATGGGCCCCATCCACCTCCTGACTCATCATCACAGGAAAGAGGCCCTTGGAGACAACTCCTCTGAAGTCACCCTGCAGCTCACACTGGGCAGGGCCTCCCGCCACCTCAGGTCTTTGTGAAATTGAAGCTCCTGCTTCTTAAAGTAAAACCAGAGGTGATTGCTGTCCTTTGAAATTCTGAGCCTGGAAGGACTTAACTCATTTTTAAAATGGGAATAACTGAAAATCCAATGAGCCTGCAGGCCTCTAAGGACATCGTCCTGGGTGGTCCCTGCCACACAAGGCACTATTGCCCCAGATCATAACCCAGAAGGCAGTGGCTGGACTTCCCAGACAGATGCTTCCTGCCCTGGCTGGGAGTGCCCAGGGTAGCCAGGGAGACTGGTTCCTGGGGACCTGGAAGGCTGGGAAGTGACCAGGGCTAGCACAGGGTGGGCCCTCCAGCTGGAGCACACCCTCCATTCCTCTCTCTCAAAATCCACACTCAGAGTCCAGTCACCCTTTTCCAAATTCTTCAAACTGTTGGTCACCTGTCAGTTGGTCTTAAATCAATGTCAGAGGCAAATTGCCTTCAAAAGGCTCATGGAAAATGTATATTATGAAAAAACTATGCATGGATTTCAAAATGTTTTTGTGCCAAAATAAACTCACATGAACTTATGTCTGAATAAGATTGAGTTTGAGGCACTAAGAAAGATAAGACACCAGTTTGACAAGAGCTTCTATGAGATCAACATGAATTTTGCTAAAAGTGAAACAAGAACAAATAACAAATTTACAGCGAAGCTTGAGTGAAAGAATGGTGAAATCACTGATGCTTTATGAAAAGGTTATGGGGGCCGGGAGCGGTAGTCACACCTGTAATCCCAGCACTCTGAAAGGCCAAGGTGGGCAGATCACTCGAGGCCAGGAGTTCAAGATCAGCTGGCCAACATTGTGAAACCTGTCTCTCCTAAAAATACAAAAATTAGCCCGGTGTGGTGGCACACACCTGTAATCACAGCTACTCAGGAGGCTGAGGCATGAGAATCACTTGAACCCAGGAGGCGGAAGTTGCAGTGAGTCGAGATCGCACCACTGCACTCCAGCCTGGGTGACAGAGCAGGACTCTACTTCAATAAATAAATAAATAAATAAATAAATACATACATAAGTTATGGGGACAATGCCCCAAAGAAATCAGCAATTTATAAATGGATAACTTAGCTGGGTGCAGTGGCTCACGCCTGTAATCCCAGCATTTTGGGAGGCCAAGGTGGGCGGATCACTTGAGGACAGGAGTTTGAGACCAGCCTGGGCAACATAGTGAGACTCCATCTCTACAAAAAATTTAAAAATTATCCAGCCATGGTCACGTGCACCTATAGTCTCAGCTGCTCAGAAGATGATAGGAGGATCTCTGGGCCCAGGAGTTTGAGGTTGCAGTGAGCTGTGATCACACCACTGCATACCAGCCTGAATGACAGAGCAAGACCCTATCTAAAAAAACAAATAGAAAACCAAATGAATAACTTGTTTTAAAAAGGGACAAGATGACGCTGAAAAGGAAGCCTGTAGTGGCAGATCATCCACATTCTTTTTTTTTTTTTTGAGATGGAGTTTCACTCTGTCACCCAGACTGGAGTGCAGTGGTGCAATCTCCGCTCACTGCAACCTCCACCTCCAGGGTTCAAGCAATTCTCCTGCCTCAGCCTCCCGAGTAGCTGGAATTACACGTGCACGCCACCACATCCTGATAATTTTTGTATTTTTAGTAGAGATGGGATTTCACCATGTTGGCCAGGCTGGTCTCAAACTCCTGACCTCGTGATCTGCCCGCCTCAGCTTCCCAAAGTGCTGGGTCTACAGGTATGAGCCACTGTGCCTGGCCATCCACATCCATTTTTGAGGAAAAAATTCATCTTTCTCATGCCATAATTGAAGAGGCCCAATGACTAATAGCAGAAACAATAGCCTATGCCATAGACATCTCAATTGGTCCAGCTTACACAATTCTGACTGAAAAATTAGAATGGAGCAAACTTTCCACTCAGTGGAAACCACTGTGTCCAGATCAGCTGCAGACAAAAGCAAAGCTTCTGATGGAAATTTTAAACAAATGAAATCAAGATCCTGAAACATTTCTTTAAGGAACTGTAACAAAGGAAATGTGGCTTTACCAGTACAATCCTGATGAAAAAGCACAACCAAAGCAATGGCTACCAAAAGATGGGAATGGTCCAGCCAAACACGAGTGGACCAGTCAAGAGTAAAGGTCAGGGCAACAGGTCTTTGGGATGCTCAAGGCAACTTGTTTGTTGACTTTCTGGAGGACCAAAGGATAACATCTGCTTATTATGGGAGTGCTTTGAAAAATTAGCCAAACTGGGCTGGGCACGGTGGCTCACACCTATAATCCCAGCACTTTGGGAGGCCAAGGCAGCTGGATCACTTGAGGTCAGGAGTTTAAGACCAGCCTGGCCAACATGCTGAAACCCCATCTCTACTAAAAATGCAAAAAAAAAAAAAATTAGTTGGGCATGGTGGCAGGCACTTGTAATTCCAGCTACTCAGGAGGCTGAGGCAGGAGAATTGCTTGAACCCAGGAGGCAGAGGTTGCAGTGAACCAAGATTGCGCCATTGCACTCCAGCCTGGGCAACAAGAGCAAAACTCCCCCTCAAAAAAGAAGAAAGAAAGAGAGAAAGAGAGAGGGAGGGAGGGAGGGAGGAAAGAAGGAAGGGAGGGAGGAAGGAAGGAAGGAAGGAAGTAAGGAAGGAAGGAAGGAAGGAAAGAAAGGGAAGGATAGGAAGGAAAGAGAAAGGAAGAAAGAAAAATTAGCCACACTGTTAGCATAAAAATGCCCAGGAAGCTTCACTAGAAAGTCCTGCATTACTACAATATCTCTGCTCATTCTTCTCATCAAAGAAGGGCAATTTTGTGAGGGTTTCAACAGGAAATCATGAGGCATCCACATTATAGTCCTGATTGGGCTCCTTCTGACTCCTTTTTGTTTCCTAATCTTAGAAAATCTGTAAAGGGCATCCATCTTTTTTCAGTTAACAATGTAAAAAACACTGCATTGGCATCGTTAAATTCTCAGGAGCCTGAGCTCTTTACAGATGGACTAAGTGGCACATCATCATTGACAAAAATGTCTTGAACTTGATGCCATTTATATTGAGAAATAAAGCTTATATTTTCTTTTTATCCTTTAATTCCATTTTTCCATGAACTTTTTGAATTCCTCTTATATACTAGAAATGGATGAGGTTTTTGGTATGTAAATGACCCTTGAGTAAAGCTGTTGGAAATCAGTTTGGGAAATTGTAACAGCATTTAAAAACTGGGATATGCTAGAAAAGAAAATATCAGAGTACATAGCACATACTAAATTTATTTTGTGAGGCTTGTATTCGTGTGTGTGTGATGTGTACATGTGTACTGAATCACTAATATATTTGAAATTATAGGTCAAGTAAAAAAAAGTGAAAACCACCAATTTAGGCTGATTTTCTTAGAAGAGCCTGCCTTTTGCTTTAGATTCTCTCTTCTCCTTTTTTCCCCAAATCTTCCAAGTCCCCCCATACAGGCCAGCTTTGCTGGGTCTTCCAATCCCAGCCCCATTGAGTTGGAGAAACCTTTTCCCTCATTGTCAGAGCAAGCTGAGTGTCACCTGGCATATGTTATCAGAGAGAAGGATACCCTTCTCCAACAGTGCCCTTAGCCCAGAGAAATCTGTCATTAATGACAGAGGTCAAGATGCCATGGTTCTCAGGGACAGGAAGATCATTTAGAGCCAGGAACCCATCCAGAGGTATCCAGGGGCTGGCAAGCATCCCTGTGCCCACAGATGAGGCTGGCCCTGCCCAGAGCCCCATGCTCAGCCCCGTGCTGGAAGGTTCTGTGTGCCTCAGGTATGTCCCATCCAGACAGACTGGAAAGATGCTAGACTGAGAGAGCTTTCATTAGAAGGATTTTAATAGACGTTAAAATATATTTCTGTCACTTGTGCCTCACTTCTCAACTTCTTCTCTACTAACAGTTATAATCATCATGACTGCAACTCAAAGTCCTTACCAAGACCCTCTTTGAATGAGAAAGCTCTGCCATGCCTTCCCTGTCATCATCCACTCTTGCAGCACAGCTGGCCCTCTGTATCTGCGGGTTCCACACCGATGGATTCAACTGACCGTGGATCAGAAATACCCAGAAAAAAAATTATATCTCTACTGAACACATATGGCCTTTGTTTTTCATCATTATTCCCTAAACTATACAGCATAACTATTTACATGGTATTTACATTGTGTTGGGTATAAGTAATCTAGAGATGATTTAAAGTATACAGCAGGTTAGAAGCAAATGCTAAGCCCTTTTATATAAGGGACTTGAGCATCCTTGGATTTTGGCATCCAAAGGAGATCCTGAAACAACTGCCGCAAGAATACCAAGAGCCAACTGACTGTCCTAACACCTCTGTGTCCTCCCATCTTCCACGTGGTGCTGTCATCCACTTCCTAAAATCTCTTCCATGCATTTTATACTTTCTATCTTGGCTGCAATTCCCCATCTGTTCACGTATGGTGTCCACTTTTCCACTAGATCGTCAACATGTTTGTCATAGTTGTTTTAAAGTCCTATTGGATAGTTCCGACATCTGGGCCAGGCCTGGGGTTGGTTCTGCCGATTGCTCTGTCTCCTAACAATAGGTTGGGTTTTCTCTTGCCTTTTCCTATAACTTTTGTAGAGAAAAACGGAAGAGATTGGGATGAATGATATTGATGCCTGGAAATGGGCGTGCCTCTTGTCTTGTATGGACATCACGTCAGTGTGAGAGTTGGAGTTCATCTGGCCAGTGGTGAGCTGGGCTTGGGTCTTATGGTGGTGGTAGTTACCCTCAGAGGCAAAATCCCCTCCAGCAGTGGCCGCTGTGACCCTGGGCTTTATTTATGTTGACTCTGGGCTGTCAGATGATTGTTTTTCTTTAAGAGCTTTACTGAGATCACCTACCATACAACTGACCCATTTAAAGCATTCAATGGTTTTTAATGTAGTCACAGATTTGTGCACCCATCACCACAATCAATTTTAGAACATTTTCATCACCCAAAAAGAAACCTCACTATCCTCGCCTGCACCTGCCACTTTCCTGACCCTACCCAGGCCCTGACGGCCCCTCCTCTACTTTCTCTCTGCTTTCTGTCCTGCTCCTTTCATAGAAGTGGACTCATATAGCATGCAGCCCCCTGCGCCTGGCATCCTTCACTCAGCACTCTGCTGTCCAGGCTCATCCTGTCTCGCACGCGTCAGTGCTTTGTTCCCCCTTATCGCAGCACAGTACTGCATTGTGTGGGTGTCTGTGGGGCGAGGGGTTCTCCCCGCTCCTGTTCCATCCTCAGCTCTCCTGTCCCTGCTTGGCTGGCCCCAGAGGAGGCCTCCCTCCATGCTCTGGCTTGGCATTCAGTGTTTAACTCCTGGTGGAGGCTGGGGAGATGCCAGGTTCTCCTGGTCCAGTCTTGCTCCTGGTCAGGCCCCCTGAGCCTGGGCCTGAGGCTTTCTCAGTGCCCTAGGGCACCCTCCAGGCCATCACACTCTGCCTGGCACTGTGGGGAGTGGCCTGGCCCTGCAAGGGAGCTCAGCTGGGGGAGCATAGCAGCCGCATCTGCACGCCTGCCCCTCTCACCAAAGCCCAGTGGAGGCCCTGGGAAAAGAGCTGCTAAGGGTTGGGTTCCCATGTCTGGGGCTTCCAGGCCCTATGAATGGTGGGACGAGCACACACACGTTGTTCATGGAGCCTGTTAGCATTTGAGACACTCTCCTTCCCACTTTAGGAGCCAGCTTGCCCCTGCTGGGCTTTGCCAAAAGTGGAATAGGTTGCATCTCCTCTCTCCTGGAAAGGCCCTGTCCCTCCTTGGAAGTTAGCTGGAACTCTATGCCCACCAGGCCTGTGCCCACTGCTGTCACCCTATCTGTGGCACTCTGGGACAGCTATTTGGGGCAGGGTCTAGCTCTTTGTATACCTAGAGCCAAGAACAATGCATGGTATGCAATTGACACTTAATATATGTGTACTGCATGAAAGAGAACTGATAAATTAGTGATTCTTAAACAGGGGTGCACGGCAAGATTTCCGGGGAGTGAACCCCCCACCACATCATCCCCACCCCACCTCACTTGGAAGCACTGTCAGCCTTTGATTCAAGCCAGGGGGTCCCTGGGTCGGGCTCCCCCAGCATGAGTTCCCCGCAGAGTGAGCCTCGTGCAAGGCCAAGGAGATTTGCCTCTGTGTTGTAGGCCTCCCTCTGGGCACCCACCCTGGAACTCTCTGAGCCCTGGGCCTGCACCAAGGGATGTGGGCCCCACCAGCCTCCCTGCAGCAGGCCTCACCACCAGCATGTGTGACCCCGCCAGCTCAGGGAGGGTAACCGCTTGGACGTATAGAGCCAGATGTTCACTGTGTTCAAACAGGGCCCCATGGTGCAAACAGGAGTTGCTAAAGATAAGAGGATCAGTTTGAGGGCTGGGGCCAGCTCTCCAACGTGGTCCAAATCAGCAGAGAATTCTGAACGACCCATCAAGAAGTTCTCAATTCAAACCTAGCCTACTAGAGTGACATGAAAGTACATGTTTGTCAAAGCATGAAAATAAAACATACTATTAGTAATATTCCATAACTTTAAACACAGTCATGTGCCCTGTGGGCCCCCATCTGCATACTTACCCTGGGCCCTGCAGATGTAGGGAGGGCCTGTGGTCCACACCCAGCCTCCAGCGAGGGTTGTCTTGCCTGTTTCACACACCACCCTCAGCGTTGGGTGCTCTGGGACCCCACGTTACAGCTGAGGGTCTCAAGGTGCACCGAGGCCAGTCATATGAACTACTGGCCCGTCATAAAGCACATGACTCTAGAGTCAGGCCCACCCCAGCAGTCTGACCTGACAGCCCCGCACTTTGCAGCTTCCCAGAGCCCCTTGTACTATGCTGGGTTGTCCCTGTCCCAGGCACTCCCTGGGACTCTCTAGAACAGGCTCCTCTCATAGCCATTTGGCCTGTGAGCATGGTTCTCTGGTTGATCAAATATTATTATTTTAATACTCTATGTGAAATATTATTTTTCTTTAAAAAAAAATTTTGGCCAGGTGCAGTGGCTCATGCCTGTAATCCCAGCACTTTGGGAGGCTTAGGTGGGCAGATCACGAGGTCAGGAGATCGAGACCATCCTGGCTAACACGGTGAAACCCCATCTCCACTAAAAATACAAAAAATTAGCCAGACGTGGTGGCGGGCGCCTGTAGTCCCAGCTACTCCGGAGGCTGAGGCAGGAGAATGGCGTGAACCTGGGAGGTGGAGCTTGCAGTGAGCCGAGATCACGCCACTGCACTCCAGCCTGGGCCACAGAGCAAGACTCCGTCTAAAAAAAAAAAAAAAGAAAGAAAGAAAATGGACAAGTCAACAGCCAAGTAGGGCGTGTACTTTTGTAGGTAAAAAGTCTACCCAGTAGCTGTTTGGGTGACAGTGTTTTTGCTTACCGGCATCCACTTCTGTCCTTTTTCCAAGATCATGAAATGCATCTCAAAAAAAAAAAAATTTTTTTTAGGCCAGGCACTGTGGCTCACACCTGTAATCCCAGCACTTTGGGAGGCTGAGGCAGGAGGATTACCTGAGGTCAGGAGTTCAAGACCAGCCTGGCCAACATGGTGAAACCCTGCCTCTACTAATAATACAAAAATTAGCTGGGTGTGGTGATGTGCGCCTGTAATTCCAGCTATTCGGGAGGCTGAGGCAAGAGAATCACTTGAACCCGGGAGGCGGAGGTTTCAATGAGCCAAGATTGCACCACTGCACTCCAGCCTGAGCGACAGAGTGAAACTGTGTCTCAAAATAAATAAATAAATAAATATGAAACGCTTCATGAATTTGCATGTCATCTTTGTGCAGGGCCACGTTAATCTTCTCTGTATCATTCCACTTCTAGTATACTGCTGCCAAAGCAAGCACGAAATATTATTTTGCAAAAGAATTAGAACCCAAGAGAATACATTTAACTTGACTGCGCAAACACAGTCTAGTGTTTAGCAGATCCCCGGGCCGCCTTTATAAACTTTGACTCCCCCATTTGTAACCAAGACTGCTCAGGCCGACTGACCTAAGAACACCATGGATCATGGTTACATTCATCCGCCCATCGATACTGGCCCCTGTGCCCACTCACCAGATCAGGAGGACCATGGCTGCTCTTTCCGGGAGAACCTGCAGAGAGTAAATTCTGACAACGCTTCACTGAAGGCGCCAGATAGCAGGAGAGCTTATTCTCAGCCTAACTCAGAACTGATGCCTGCTTGCCTGGCTTGCTGCTGGGAGCCGCAGGTTCCCTTCCCCAGCGAGGCAGTGGGGAGCAGGAAGTGTGTTCCAGTCCTTGAAGTCCACGTGGCAACTCCCAGGGCCTAGAGAGAGTCAACACTGGGGCACCCCAGCCTTCCCAGCCTCCCCATGGCACCCTCCCACTCTCCACTTCTTGTCCCGGCCTCTGCCTCTCCCTGCACAGTTGGCAGGTGAAATATCCACTTCTTTCTGGAGAAACTCCATATTTTATCTACCAAGAGGAACGTCACATAAAAACACCAGGGTCTGATGTCATTCATTTTTCCAGATTTGGGGGTTTAGTTGAAAATAACACCACTCACGGCCATTACCAGCCTAGTTCAAGAGCCCCATTGGCCCCTCCGGGTCCCCTTCCCCAGGGACTTCTCAGCATTTGGGGAGGACGAGACCCTCCTGTCTTATTCCTTGGTGCAGCCCAGAAAAGGGCGAGAGAGGAAGAAACACTCATCAGCCATCTCCTACGGTCCAGGTGTGTGTAAACACCAGCATTCAAATCTGGGCAGTGAGCCCGGAATCCTCTCTACACATGCATGAAACAGAAGGAGGCGTTCAGAGAAGCAAGACTGTGATCTAAGGCACAGAAGAGACGGGCAAGAGGAGGAGGAAAGTGAGCAGACAGGAGTGCACGGGTAATGTGGCTCGCCCAGAGCACCAAGTCATGAACGCCATCACTGCCTTCGACCCAGGTGAGGGGCCTTGTCCTTGCCTGCCCCCTCCCTACAGGGCCACTGGGATGAGCCCACAGCTCCTAGATGGCACCTCAGCCCCCCGGACCTCAGGAGTCCCTGCCCAGACCTCCCCAAACCTACTCCTAGGGCCCCTTCTTCCCGCAGGGTGGCCTGGGATGGCTGTGAGTGGCTGAGGACTGAAGTGTCCACAGGCATGTACTGGAGACCCATCTCGGCGTGGGACAGAATTGGAGGTGGGGAGAAAGGCGGGTGTTGAAAGTGAGGACTGCAGGCTGAGACCAGCCCCCGCACTTCCACGCCCTGATGCAAATCAACGAGGAGCCCAAGAAGTCTACCGATTTCTTTTTTATTTTATTTTATTTTATTTTTATTGAGACGCGGTCTCACTCTGTCACCCTGGCTGGAGTGCAGTGACATGATCACAGCTCACAGCAACCTCCACCTCCCAGGTTCAAGCAATCAATCCTCCCACCTCAGACTCTGGAGTAGCTGGGTACAGGCATGTACCACCATGCCTGGCTAATTTTTTAACTTTTTGTAGAGACAAGGGTCTCACTATAATGCCCAGGCTGGTCTCGAGGTCCTGGGCTCAAGCAATCCTGCCATGTCAGCTTTGGAAGTTTTGGGATTACAGGCGTGAACCACTGTGCCCGGCCTAGCCTGAGAATTCTAAACTGGAACCTGGCTTTCCAGATACCATGGTGTATTTTTTAAGGTAGGAGAAGAGAATGTGTCCTCTACGCTTTTTTAAGTTTGGTTTGCGGCTTGTGTGCATTTGGACACACCGCGTCACAAACAGCCTCGCCCAGGAGGAGTGAGGGCCACAGATCGGGAGGGTAGGGGGCCCAGAGCCTGGAGAGCCCCAGGCCGGGCTCACAGGTCAGGGTTTCACCTGCCGGCTCCCAGAAGGGAGTGGCCAACAGACACCAGGGAAGTCAGGGTTGGGATTCAAAGAGAGGCCAAGGCTGCAGAGAGACTGGGAGCCACTTTAGGAAAGAAACGTGAATTCAGGCTTTGCACAGCAGAACTGTCCCCATGTCCTGGGGAGGCCTTGGTTCATTCTGCGGGGAAATCCCTTGTGTCTTGCGGGGCCCCGCCTCTGATGAGAGGGAAGGGAGATAAGCTTTGCAGGGGGAAGGTTTCCTCCCGGTCTCCTCACTCTTCGAGCACTGAGTTTCTCCAGACAAAGCGCACTCCGCGGGCACCAATCCCTGCAGACAGCGCAGAGCGCACAGCGAGCAGGAGCCCAGAAACCAGCAGGTCGGCTTGTCCCTTGTCAAATCCAAGTGACAACGGACTTCCGGAAGCCACGCTGACACCTACTTTCTGGCTCGATCAGACCCCTGGACTTAAATTCCAGCCCAAGGGCTAGCACTGAAAGGGTGGCTATTTCAGCAAACGACCAAAGCTTCTAAAGTAGACACTTTCTTTTAAACCACTTGATGGCTGGATTTCTTAGAGAGAGAGACTAAAGCTGGAGGAAGGGTTCTTCCAGGGATGGCACAGGCCCTCCGCTCTCGGGCTCCCCACACTAGACTTCGGGCCGGCAGGATGGGTTAAGGTAGCACTCGTTGGAGTCAATAATTAAGCAATGGAAACAAACAGCCTAAATAAGGGTGTTGAGGACTCAGGAGAAGGTGGCTGATTAATCTCAGGCTCATAGTTTGAAATGGGAGCGCAGGGGCTGGGCTGTGGCCTCCTCATCTGCTCCCTGGGCGTGTGGCTGTGTAAAGAGGTGTGGGGACCCACAAGAAGGCCGAGGAGCAGCACTGGGGTGGAGAGAGCAGTGGGGAGGCGGGGACCCAAGGGTTAAAAAAAAAAATTCCTCAATTTGGAAACATTTGCAAAACTCCAGAAGAAAAACTTTTAAAAGTTCTCCACTCCCTTCCAAACGTACAAACATGCACACACACAATTAGGAATTTCCCAAAGTTTTCATCTGTCTAAAAAGAAAGTGCCAGTGCAAATTACAGAACATCGTCGCTTCCTCATGTGCGGCGTTTCTACGGGCCTGGGAGGGGACGCAGAGGCTACCCCGGTGGTCCCAGCCTGCAGCGTTCACGTGAGGAAACTTCCGCAAAAGCCCTGATGCATGCACATTCTGACTGCAGAGGCCAGAGCATCCCGCATTTTGGAGGCTGAAAGGCTCCCCTAGGATAACCTTTTCCGTTAACAGAGGAGTCCGCTGAAGCGCAGAGCTAACTGAAAACAGCTAGAATTAAAATCCAAGTCACCCGGCCGGCATCAGCAGTCATTCCTTTCCACCACACAAAACTGGCCAGGAAGACGGACTCTGGCGCGCCCTCCCAGGCCGAAGCGCATTTCTTCGCTAACGCGCGAGGAGTAGGCTGCATAGACCCGGCGCAGGAGGTGTTCATTTTCGGATCCAGCCCTGTAGTCACTTTAGCTAAACCCGGTTCCAAAGGGGTGGGAGTCGTCGGAGAGGAATGGCCTCTGTATCTCCGGAGACGGAAACACCAGGACGAAGAGGCCCTAAGAACGTGTGCCCGGGGTGCGACCGGGGGGTGGGGGGCAGGGGGCAGAGACCCTGAAAAGCTCCACCGCCGAACCCCAGGGCAGTGTCCCGGCTTGGCTGGACTGGGCGCGGGCGGCTGCAATGCTCCCGGGCGCGGCGCTGGGACCCCGCGGGCCACGTCGGCTCCGCTGCCCCGACGCCAGGGCCCGACTCGCGTCTCCCTCTGGCGGGGCACCACAAGGGGCAGCGAAACGGTGGTGGGGGCGGGCGCCGCGCTCCTTCCCGTCTCCTCCCCGCCAGCTCCGGGCCCGTCCTTTTCCGCCCGGCTCCCGGCAAGGGTCCCCCGACTGGCGCCCGCGCGTCCTCCCTCGGCTGCTGCAGGCCGGGCCGCGGCGTCGAGCGGGGGCGGCGGGGCGGGGCCCGCAGCCATTGGCGAGCGGCGGGGCGGGGGCGGGGGCGCGGAGGGTCGGCCCCGGGACGCGCGCAGCCGGCCCGCAGTTGCCGCTGTCGTCCGCAGAGCCAGTTCCTAGCGCAGAGCCGCGCCCGCCATGAGGGAGATCGTGCACATCCAGGCGGGCCAGTGCGGGAACCAGATCGGCACCAAGGTGGGCCTGGCGCGGTGCAGGGCCTCTCCGCGGGTCGGCTGCTGGCGGGCCCCGGGTCTCCCGGCGCGACCCCCGCCGGGGCGCGCACCCGCTGTGCGCCCCTGGGTCCTCGGAGCCCGGTGCGGACCCGCGAGGGCCGCAGGGAGGGAGCGCCCGGGGCGTGGCCGGCCGGGGACCTTCTACTCTTCGCTCCCCACCCCCATCCCAACTGGGAGCGGCTGCCGGCGGCTCAGGCGCGCCTGGAATTCGGCCGCCGGGGCGCCTGGGGTGGGCGCGGGTGGCGGCGTCCCGGGCTCTGGGTTCTGAGCGTCTGTCCCCCCGCCTTGCCCTGCCCAAGTTTTGGGAAGTGATCAGCGATGAGCACGGCATCGACCCGGCCGGAGGCTACGTGGGAGACTCGGCGCTGCAGCTGGAGAGAATCAACGTCTACTACAATGAGTCATCGTGTGAGTAGCAAGGCCGCCGCGCCCTGCCCGGCCGGGACCCGCGTGGACGCTCCGGCGCCGCCTCTTAGCGCGGCGAGTTTGCTTCGGGAAAAGTTCTCTCGGGGTGTAGCAGGATGCCCGGCCACTCCCTTCGCTCCTCCGGGGCGGGAAATCCGCCGTCAGTTTATTCAAACAGCTCGATTCAGCCTATCCTGAGGGTCTGAGCGCTTGAACGGGACCACCCGTTAGCGTTGTGAAATCAACGTAGCGGTTCCTGCCCAGCCTTCTCTGTCTAGCCGGGCGCGGTGGCTCAAGCCTCTAATCCCAGCGCTTTGGGAGGCCGAGACTGGAGGATCATTTGGGGCCAGGAGTTCAGGACCAGCCTGGGCAGCATAGGAGACCACCCCCCGCCCCCCTCCCGCCCCGATCTCTACAACAATTTTAAAATTAGCCGGGCTTGGTGGCCCACCCCTGTAGTACCAGTTAACTGAGGGCTTGAGCTCAGGAGGTCGAGGCTGCAGTGAGCTGTGATCGCGCCACTGCACTCCAGCCTGGGTGACAGAGCGAGACCCTGTTAGAATAAATTAGAGCGTTTCTCAAGGATCCTTGGGAAAAACAAAGCTTCCCCCCCCCCCCCCCCAGTTTAAAACGTATCTCTTATTGGGGATTCTTGGCTAAAAATTTGAGAAACGCTCTCTTAAGTGACTTTTCTGGTCCCTTGCAGACCTCTAAAAAGACTTTAACCTCCCTGGAAGCTGAAACTCCAGGCAGTTCTCAGCAACGAGTGGAGTTTTATTCATTTACGCAGCAATGACAAAAGGCTGGGAACATCAGGGCATGGAAGATGAAATTTCTAGAGGACACTAAGGATAGTTCCAGTATACACTGCACTTCATGTTAATCCCTCACCCAGCTTGGGTACATCCATTTTCGATCTTGGCGAGTGCACTGCAGGACAGGAGTTGAAGAGCAGGTCCTATCTGGAATCATATTAACCGTGTCCTCACCGGGAACAAGTTCTAGCCCAATTGGCATGAAATTTCCACACAAGAACACTCTGACTCAAAATGAGAGTGACTCTGGGGAAACAGCCAGTGGCGTGCTCCGGGTAACAAGGTTCTCAGACTGCACATGGGCACATGTATGTGTATGCATGGGGGAGGTGTCACAAAGCAGAGAATTTCATCCAAACCTGGCAATTTGCTGTAAATACCTAGTTTATTTCCATGGAGCTAAAGTTGTAAAACTTCCTAACAGGAAAGAGGTGTCAGGGTGAGCTGGAAAATACAGTAGGCAGGAAGTCAGGGGACTTGATTTCTCATCCTGCCTCTTCCTGGAACCTCCTCTGCCAGGTCATGCCTGGACTCGTTCCTCATTCCAGTGTTAAGGTTCTAGGATTTTTTTTCTTTCTTTTTTTTAAGAGACAGGGTTTCGGCCAGGCACGGTGGCTCACCCCTGTAATCCCAGCACTTTGGGAGGCCGAGGTGGGCAGATCACAAGGTCAGGAGATCGAGACCATCCTGGCTAACACGGTGAAACCCCATCTCTACTGAAAATACAAAAAAAATTAGCCGGGCGTGGTGGTGGGCACCTGTGGTCCCAGCTACTTGGGAGGCTGAGGCAGGAGAATGGCATGAACCCAGGAGGCGGAGCTTGCAGTGAGCCGAGATCACACCACTGCATTCCAGCCTGGGCAACAGAGCGAGACTCCATCGCAAAAAAAAAAAAAAAAAGACAAGGTCTCACTCTGGAGTACAGTGGCATAACCATGGCTCACTGCAGTCTTGACCTCCTGGGTTCAGATGATCCTGCCACCTCAGCTTCCAGAGTAGCTAGGACTAGAGGTGCACACTACCACACTTAGCTAATTTTCTTGGTTTTTTGTTTGTTTGTTTTTAGAAACAGGGTTTTGCTCTGTTGCCCAGGCTGGTCTTGAACTCCTGGGCTCAAGCGATCTGCCCACCTCAGCCTCCCAATGTGCTGAGATTACAGGGATGAGCCAGTGCGCCCAGCCAATTCTGTGATTCTAAGAAAGTTCCTGTACCCTTTCTGAAAAGACCCTGGTTGATCCATTCCAGGCAGCTAGAACTGGTGGGACTTGAAACGGGGAAGTCAATTACTTTAGAAACCTGAAAGTAACTCTTGTGGGTGGTTCTTTTCTCCTCCAGCTCAGAAATATGTGCCCAGGGCCGCCCTGGTGGACTTAGAGCCAGGCACCATGGACAGCGTGCGGTCTGGGCCTTTTGGGCAGCTTTTCCGGCCTGACAACTTCATCTTTGGTAGGTTCCATCTTTCTCACTTTCTTCTTCTTCTTTTATTTTTTTAAATCAAATATTTTATATGCCAGATTTAAAGCATCATGTGTCATAGAAAAAGTGTGAATGGAAATCAGTGGTTCCCAGCCCCACCCCTCCCATCCCTAGCTGGGTTCATCACAAGGAACAGTTTTTTTTAAATCTTGACTTTTTTGGTGGGAAGGAACCTCTATATCTCTAAATGAAATTCTTCTACTGGTAGTTCTTGATTAAAAAACAAAAATCAAGCCAGGCGCGGTGGCTCATGCCTGTAATCCCACCACTTTGGGAGGCCAAGACGAGCGGATCACGAGGTCAGGAGATCAAGACCATCCTGGCTGACACGGTGAAACCCTGTCTCTACTAAAAATACAAAAAATTAGCCGGGCATGGTGGCACGTGCCTGTAGTCCCAGCTACTCGGGAGGCTGAGGCAGGAGAATCGCTGGAACCCGGGAGGTAGAGGTTGCAGTGAGCTGAGATTGCACTACTGCACTCCAACCTGGGTGACAGAGCGAGACTCCATCTCAAAAATAGCAAAAAACAAAAAAACAAAAACCAAGAAACAATTTTAGACATTAGCTTCTTTTTCCCCATCATTATAAAGTTATTTTGCCATTTGTTTTTGGTTCCTATATTGGTTTTATCAGAATTAGGTAAATCCTTTTTTTCTTGCTTCTTCCACCTAAAAAATGATAGTAAAACATATCTTTCTGCAGACTTCTGAAGAAAATTATATAAAATTACATGAAGTGGTACCATTAGTGTTATCAAGTAGAACCTACAGGATAGGTGGCAGATTTGGAAGTTTCCCACCTATTTTAATGTTAGAGACCACATATCTATTGACATTATTGCTAAAAAAAAAAATTCCTCACTCAATCAAACATATTTCCAATACCTGTGAAAAGCAGTGTCTTCCAAGAAAATGTGAAGAATTTGAAGACTGATTCTGGCTTAAAAGCACTATGGTGTAGGAATCAAATACATCATGAAAAATCTACATTCTAACCCCTTTCTCAAAAGGCACCAGGAAGAGATAGTTTAATAGAGGGTAACAGACAATCCCATTATCCAAACCATTCCAGAGAGAAAATGATGGAAAACTTCCCAACATTTCCTATGAGGCTAGGTAGCTTCTACTAGAACATACAAGTGAAAGCTGTATATCAAACTTACTTAAAAATATAGATGCAAAAATCCAAAATAAAATACTTAGAATATCAAATGTAGTTGTGTTTTTTAAAAAATATATTAATAGCACATTGTGACCAAGTAAGACTGAGAGGCAGACAGTGTAATGGTTAGGAGTCTGGCTGTGCTGCCAGACTCCCTGGGTTTAAATTTTGGCCCTTCCACTCACTATGTGGCCTTAGACTTATTTAACTTACTTGTGACTTAATTTCCTCATCACAAGTGGGACTGTCTACCTCTTAGTGAGATGTAAGGATTAAATAAACACTTAGAATGTCTAGTACAAAATAAGTGTTTGAGAAATACTAGCAACATCCCAGGAATGCAAGGATGGTTCAACATTAAGAAGTCTACTAATAGATTAAAGACAACATCTTAATAGATGACCCAAAAAAGTGGGTTTTTTTTCTGACTCCCAGCAGGAAACAATTTTTTAAAAAAGATTAAAGTTTTGGAAGCCAGGAGCAGTAGCTAACGCCTGTAATCCCAGCACTTTGGGAGGCCAAGGCGGGCGGATCACCTGAGGTCGGGAGTTTGAGACCAGCCTGACCAACATGGAGAAACCCCATCTCTACTAAAAATACAAAATTAGCCCAGTGTGGTGGCACATGCCTGTAATCCCAGCTACTCGGGAGGCTGAGGCAGGAGAATCACTTGAACCCAGCAGGCGGAGGTTGGGGTGAACCAAGATCGCACCATTGCACTCCAGCCTGGGCAACAAGAGTGAAATTCTATCTCAAAAAAAAAAAAAAAAAGATAAAGTTTTGGATGTGTTCCTGATTTGTAGAGGACAAAAAAACTTCTATGTAAGCTGGAAGTAGAAAGAAACTTCCTTTATTTACAGATTATCTACCAGAAACCCATAGCAACATTACACTCCCTGGTGAAACAGAAGCATTTCCAGCAGAATTAGGTATAAGAAACAGATGTCCATTGTCTCTACAATTATTCCATGTTCTGAAGGCTTTAGCCAGTGCACAAAAACCAGAGAAAGAAAAAATGCAAATCATGTAAAGGAAAAGACAAAAGTGTTATTTGTTGATGAAATGATTCTCTTGGAGTTTCCAGATAGGCTATCAGCTGAAAAATGACTAGCACTTACAAGACTTCAGTAAGGGAGCCAGACACAAGATAAAATATTCAGAAATTAATAGTTTTGCGATCAGGTTACCAATCTTTCTGATTTGCCTGGAACTGGGAGGTGTTCCCCAGGACACTAGACTTTGAGTGCTAAAACTGCCAGGGTCCCAGGCAAACTGGAACAGATGAATCACATTAAAAGCAATAATCACTGGGGAACACATCCTATTCACAACTGTAATAAAAGCTATAAATACCTGGGGACAAAATTTACTACTAACTAGAGGCAAGAGGGAATTAAAACAAAATATTCTCCCACCAGATTGGCCAGTATTTCAGAAGCTGCTAAGACCTAGTGTTGGTGAAGGTGTTTGGGAAAATAACAGCTGTTCAGAGAACTACTTAGTAGATTGAGCAAATCAATAATTTCCATCCAAGAGTTCCAGTTCAAGGAATCTGTTCTGCAGAAATGCTCACACATAGAGATTGCAGATTGGCCTCCAGAAGAGCTGAATCCATTTGCATGCCCACGGGGGGTGTCTGAGAGCTCCTCTTGCCCAGTGTCATCCTTGTCAATTCAGAGGGACTGCTCTCTGAGTACTGTAATAAAGACCTGACTTGGATAACATTAATATTCTGTATTGTGAGAAAGGAAAAAGGACGATCCTACTTTATACAGATCAGCATTGAGTAACTCACTTACTAAGTAGGTATAGACTCAGCAGCCACAGCTTCTTTCTGGACCACATTCCCAGGTCACAGAGTTAACATAGCCAGGAAGAAAGAGCACCGCACCGGGAGAGGGAAACTGAGCAGCTGACCCTAGCTCTGTGCCCGCTGGCAGCATCAGTTCCCTTCTCTGGGGGTCTTCATTTTACTATCTGAAATGAAGGACCCCCCCCAAGCATCTTGGGGTCACAGACCCCTGTAAGAATCTGCGAGAAGAAATGGCCCTATCTCCCCCACTTGTTGTAGAATTCTGCCCAGTCTTCTCCTTGAGGTTCAGTGGATTTTTGGTGAGAATCTGAGCGAGCGGACAGCTAAGATTTCTTGAGTCTGAATTATAGTTGGCTGAGTCTACCGTAGTCTCAGTAAGCTTTACCAGACACAATTCATGTATTTCCAACTAATACACCTTTTAGAAATCACACCTCTTCTTTGATAGGCAGTGTGTGCACATGGTGCGTAGCTGGAAAGGCCATACAGTGAAAACCCACCTCCCTCCCTGCCTGCCTCCCTCGCAGGAGTCCTTCCTGAGATTGGGAAACAGTTACAAGCATATCTGTGAATTTTTATAGATAAAAAAGATCTTAAAGTTTTACATATGTAAAATATATACCTTCTTCAAAGAAGGATATGAAACAACAGTAAAAGACAGGCATAAATGTAGCAGTTTACAACACAGAGTCAACTGTGAGCTCAGCTGTGGCTGAGAATTAATTTTAGCTCTGGGTTTCTGGCAACTAAATCCAAAAAAGGAAGCACAGCAGGTGACACAGCTGACATTGTCTCATAAAGGGGAATATATGCTTTTAATATATTTAAAAGGGAGCTCTCCCCACCATCCTGAGTGATTCGTATTTATTTTTAATTTGTACTTTGCTTTGCTTTTTAAACTTTGCTTTTTTTTTTTAGCAAAAACTAATATAACCACACTCTTAAAAGTTTAAAACTAGAGTTAAAAAAAAATTCTGTATGTTCATCATCTTAGTGTAATTATTGTCAGCACTGAGGTATTTTTTTCACCTTTGTTTCTTTTTGCTGACTCTCATTATTGTAATCATGGTATCATTTATATCTTTTTCCATTGAACATTATATTATAAACCATATTTCACATTTAGTTTCTAAAATCCATAATTTTTAATAGCTCCATAATGTGTAATTAATTCTTTATGCAACTTTATAATGGCCAATAATCAGGAAGCTGTTTCTTTTCAGCTTTTTGCTCTTAAAAGGAATATTGAACATCTTGATTCACTTAAATTTGTCTGTTTCTCACTTTGATTTCAGAATAGATTCTCAAAAAGCAAAATTACTGGGTCAAAGAGTGAAGAGATTTAAGCCCTTTTTACACACTTCCAATTGGATTAATGCCACCAGCAGTGTCTGAGAGCGTAGTTTTTGCTGCACTTTTGCCTGAAATTAAACTTTTCAAAGAAACGTAGCAACTGAATGCTTATTTTATGAGAGACTCAGGGCTTTAAGAACTACTTTATAGGAAATGTAAGAACAGCTCTGAATTTGGCCCTTCTATTCTACACTGACGTAAATTGTCAGCGTAAAACAGAGAAACCTGCACACATATCACGCCAGGACTCACGCATAGAGGAGCCGGAAGGCAGGACATTAAAATGCAACTCAGCGCACGCTGCACTGTTTCCCAGGGGAAGGGTGGTTAGCCGAAACTCATGCCACACCCATTACTGCTTTTTGAGATAAAATAGGAAAAAAGTATATAATTCTACATAGTTGAGTAAGTTCACACTCACACTTGTTACACAGGGCTTCATGTACCAGTGGCCGGTTTTATTTCTTAAATGGGTAGTAGGTGTGTAGAGATTCATATTATTTTTCATATGCTTTTGCATGCCTTAACTCTGTCAAAAAAAAGATATCAGTTGTCTCAAAGGTGTGGTCACGGAAAAGGCAGCTTTCATGGAGAAGGTTTTCAGCAGGTCATGGCTGTCTGGCCCCGGCCCAGTCTGCCCCAGGCCTGGCAGCAACTGAGGGACCCAACCCAGTCTGGATGGGTGCCCCGAGGAGGCCTCACCCACCAGCAGTCAACGCAGTGCAGCCAGGACCTGGCCAGGTCTCAAGAGAGAGTCGAAGCCATGAACTGATCTTTATGACATGAGTGCATCACAAACTATTGAAGTGGTGAGAAGCTAGTTTCTCACAGCTGCCACTTTAGCAATTGTGAGTTTTCTTTGGTTTATTTGAATTGAACATTGGGAGAGTGTAAGGTCTTTCTAGCTGTTGACAAATGGGATCACGAAGATTAAGACAAATTAAGACAGACCTATGGTGCCCATTTAGTTATCTAATTGTCCCTGTAAGCCTTCAAAAATGTTAGAAATGACCTTTGGCACATAAAAACTGTCCCCGAAATTGCTTCTTGCATCTTTGCTTCATCTGACTTGCAACCCTATTTTTGATTCAGAATGTTTTAAGTTTTCAACAGGTTGTACTAACATGATATGTCTTTAATAGGAATTTTAGCAAGTTGACACCATTTTGAGTTAAGAATTGTGACTTGTTTAAATGAATATGCTTATTTGTTAAAATAACATATTATGGAGAATGGAGAAGTATCCAGAATGTATAAACATTCTATATTGTTTAGCTAAATAGTTTTTAAGTCGTTCTCCAGTAAAAGAGGCAGAATTGTCTGTGAACTGGAGATGATCCATCCTCACTGGCTTTATACCATATTGTTCCAGTTAGAGTTGGTAAATTACAATAAACCAGTGTCATTCCATTTCCAAATAGAGTTTGAAATGATTTAGGAAACACTCACTTACATTAGTAGTGTATACTTTTAAAAGTGAAAGTTACCTGTAATTCCAGCACTTTGGGAGGCGCAGACAGGCAGATCATCTGAGGTCAGGAGTTCGAGACCAGCCTGGCCAACATGGTGAAACCCTGTCTCTCCTGAAAATACAAAAATTAGCCAGGCGTGATGAGTGCCTGTAATCCCAGCTACTCGGGAGGCTGAGGCAGGAGAATCACTGGAACCTGAGAGGCGGAGGTTGCAGTGAGCCGAGATTGAGCCATTGCACTGCAGCCTGGGTGATGGAGTGAGACCCTGTCAAAAAAAAAAAAAAAAAGAAAACTTCCCAGTTGGGCAGTGGCTAATGCCTGTAATCCCAACACTTTGGGAGGCTGAGGCAAGTAGATCACTTGAGCCCAGGAGTTGAAGGTCAGCCTGGGCAACATAGTAAGACCCTCTGTACAAAAAGTTTTTTTAAATTAGCTAGGCGTGGTGGTGTGCACCTGGGGTCCCAGCTATTCAGGAGGCTGAGGTGGGAGGATCACTTGAGCTAGGGAGGTTGAGGCTGAGGCTGCAGTGAGCGGTGTTTGCGCCACTGCACTCCAGCCTGGGCGACAGAGCAAGACCCTGTCTCAAAAAAAAGAAAAGAAAAACTTCTGTAATGAATTGCTGGTTGCATAGCAGTCATACCTACTCTATTGTTGGAAAGTTTTGTGGGAAAAGAATGAAGCACCAGAAAGGTAAACGTTCTTCCAGCCTCTTTCTGTATTTCTAACTTTTTCTTCCAGATTCAGGGCTAGAAGAGGGGGCAGGAGTGCACAGACCCTTGACACTTATTCCATCACCCATTGTGAGCTTGAAACCAGAGGGGGGACTCAGAGAAAACCCTGGGGACCTGTTGCAGCCCCACTGCCAAAAAGCTTAGAGTTGGCAGCCTCCTGCTAACTGTCTGGAGTCACTGACTAACATCACACCGTATCAGTACAGAAGATGTTCAGTTCACAACTCCCAAATATTTAACTGGAACATCTGTTGCTATGAGACAGTGGCAAAATATTTTTCAGAAGTCACCAGCTTCCTCCTTTCATCAAGAGCACAGAAAACTTCATGGCTATTCATGCTATAAATATTGAGGAAGCTGGGTAAATGGTGTGAGCTGCAGAGGGAGTCAAGTTCAGCATCTCCGTCCACTTACAGCTAGCTCAGGTCTGATTGATTGGGGTTCTATGTTTGCCAAAAGCCACCTACTATTTTCAGTTGTTGGTTTCTGCTATTTTAATGAAATAGGTCCCAGGCTATTTTGACAGCTGCCCTGGGTCTTTCCTTTGTAAAATGTGACAGTTCTAGCACCGAGTGTGGACCAGCCCCGAGCTTGTTCCTCCCAATACCTATGTTGTAGTTTTGCCAGGTGCTGCCTGCTAGGTTGGGTGGGGAAGGGGTGGAGAGAAGTTGGTGGGGGCTTAGGAAGGACGGTGACCATTTTCTCGCCTACTAAGAGAAGGCAGTCAGCTAGGATTCACTGTGCAACACAGCTGGGCAGGAAGAAGAGAATCCCCTGTTTGTAAGAGAACAGTCACATACTAGATGCTGTCTACGGCTTGTGAAAAACACAAGGAAACGGCCACCTGAGAGTACTAAAGTGGCCAGGCCCACGGGGTGTGCTGCAAGCACACAGCAGGCATCTGCCTAGCCCGGCCCCTCTGCAGAGCCATAGGGCCTGCCATGCCAGTGACACTGGGCTTTGGACTGCCAAATGGGGCAAAGACAATAGGAGAGAAAGGCTGAGCTGATTTCTCAGTGGGACTGAGACGGAGATCTAGGGAGGCTGATGCTGCAGACAAGTGCAAGGGCCCTCTGTGGTCAGTTTCAGCTGGCCAGTTCTGCTCTCTGGAAACTTCAGTGTTCAATATTTAAATGTGTGGTTTTGTTTGTTTGTTTGTTTGAGATGGGGTCTCGCCTTGTCACCCAGGCTGGAGTGCAGTGGTGTGATCATAGCTCACTGTAGCCTCAAACTCCTGGGCTCAAGCAGTCCTCCCACTTCACCCTCCTGTGCTAGGATTGCAGGTGTGAGCTCCCATAGCTGGTCTTATACAAAAAAAAGTGTTTAATGTTTTCATGTCAAAGTTAAAACAAAGTGCTTGTACATGGTTTTTTCAAACAGTACACATAGATTGTGTATACAGTGCAGAAAGGGAAAGCTGTCATCCCTTCTACTGGTGGCCCCTGAGGTTTTATTCCCTAGGGGGATAACCGAGTGTGTAGACAGTTGTGCTGTGTCCTGCTGACATTTTTCCTTTTTCCTTTTTTTTTTTTTTCTTTTTTTTTTTGAGACGGAGTTTCGCTCTTGTTGCCCAGGCTGGAGTGCAATGGCGCAATCTCGGCTCACTGCAACCTCCACCTCCTGGGTTCAAGCAATTCTCCTGCCTCAGCCTCTGGAGTAGCTGGGATTACAGGCACCTGCCACCACACCCAGCTAATTTTTTGTATTTTTAGTAGAGATGGGGTTTCCCCATATTGGCCAGGCTGGTCTCGAACTCCTGACCTCAGGTGATCCTCCTGTCTCGGCCTCCCAAAAGTACTGGGATTACAGGTGTGAGCCACCGCGCCCGGCCCTGCTGACATTTTTCTGTGTCCATGTGCACCTAGGTGAGCACACAGAGCTGATTTTGTCTGGGGAAAATGGGATCCTGCTATACACACCATTTTGCAGCCTTTTGAAAAATTCATTAATGTATCTCAGACATCCTCCGTGACAGTCACAGTGCCTACCATTGTATATGTCATCATTTAGTAATTTCCCACTTACTGATGACATTTTAAAATTTTTCATTAAAGAAGAGCTGGGCTCAGGCGTTCACACCTGCCATCCCAGCACTTTGGGAGGCCAAGACAGGATGATCACTTGAGTTCAAAAGTTTAAGACCAACATGGACAACATAAGGGGACCCTCTCTACAAAATTTTTCTTTTTTTTGACGGAGTCTCACTCTGTCGCCCAGGGTGGAGTGCAGTGGTGCGATCTTAGCTCATTGCAAGCTCCACCTCCCGGGTTCACGCCATTCTCCTGCCTCAGCCTCCGGAGTAGCTGGGACTACAGGCGCCCGCCACCATGCCATGCTAATTTTTTTTATATTTTTGGTAGAGACGGGGTTTCACCATGTTAGCGAGGATGGTCTCAATCTCCTGACCTCGTGATCCACCCGCCTCGGCCTCCCAAAGTGCTAAGATTACAAGCGTGAGCCACCGTGCCCAGCCAAAAAAATGTTTTTTTAATTGTCCCAGCTACTCAGGAGGCTGAGGCAGGAGGATCCCTTGAGCCCAGGAGTTGGAGGCTGCAGTGGCTATGATTGCACCACTGCACTCCAGCCTGGGTAGCAGTGGAAGACCCCATTTCTAAAATAATAATAATAAAAAATTCCTTTTTTATACTTTAATATTCACTTATCATAAAATAAATGTTTTAGTTAAAATGTCATAAAGCTAGAAATGAACTCTCTTAGGACCCCATCCTTCAAAGACAACCTGTGCTTTCTTAATTGCATTGTAAATGTTTTAATAAAGTAATTTTTTTTTTCATTTTGCTAGCTAGCTAGGTAAAACATTTTCATGGTTTAGGACTTAAAAGGAACAAAAGGGTATATAGTGAAAAGTTGATCTCCTTCCTACCCCGAACTAGTGTTAAGATTCTTGAATGTCCTTTCAGGTATGTTCAGGCAGACGCATATATTTACACACATACAATGGAGCCAGCTGTATACACTGTTTAGTACCCTAGTGTTCCTCCCTGGCTCCCCAGCAACGTATTTTGAAGATCTTTCCATTTCACAAGTATGGCTGCCTCATTCCTGTTGATGGCTGATAGTATCCTCTGCAGAGATACCGCCGTGGATTTAACCAGTCTTCAGTTGATAGGTATTTGGGTTGTTCCCCTTTTTATTATTATAAATTGTTCCTCAGTAAACATTTGTATATATGTCATTTTGCACATGTATGGGTCTATCTAGAAAAACTTACAGAAGTGTAATTGCTGTGTCTAGGGGGATAATTTTGATAGCTGTAGCTCAGCTGTTCTACAGCCCACTGCCCTTGCTATCTCCAGTAGCTCCCGTGGGAAGTGGCCTTCCCCAAACCCTCAGCAGTGCAACTCAGGTGTTTGGATCTCTGTCAGTTTCACAGCAGAAAAATAGAATCTCCTTGTTTTAATTTGCGTTTCCCTTATGAGAAGGGTTTAGCATTATTTCCAGTACCTAAGCTATTGGAATTTCCTTTCCTGTGAGCTGTATGTTTATAGCCTTTGCCTGTTTTCCTAATGGCTGTTGTTTTTCTTACTGATTTAAGGACTTCTTTAGATATTGAAGGAGGGTATCCTTTATATGTGATATGAGTTATTAACAGTCCAGTACATACATTTTAACATTAAGTTCAGTACACTTAATGAAGAATCACAGAATTTGTTTTTTCTTGCACTGAACACCTACAGTGTGTAGCACTGATAAATGCTTCATCCCCCCCAAGAGTAGAGCCACTGTGTAAGGCTGCACTTGTTATGTACTGCAGAAGCCAGGGGTGCCATCAGTAGACCTCATTGTGAGCAGGCCCGTGTCCCAAATTGCATGGGAGCCCCTTGTCCACTAATTAAAGATTGACAAGTGAAAGGCAGCTTGCTTACCCGATGTAGCACTTGGCAGCTCTCAGAGGCAGCCTTGGTGGTTTCACTGCTTCATAGTTCAGTGCCCCCAGGGTGAGTGCAGCATCAGGGATGGACCTGCCCACGTGAAACCAGAGAGGCTGGTCTTTGGCAGTGGCTGTGAATTGTTGCCACCAGCCGTGTGTAGACAAAAGTCAAGTTGGAGTAAGTGGGGAGAGGTCTGTATAATGCAATGCAAGTTTTTATGACTTGAATTAGTTAAATCTGCAGCCCAAAATTTCATGAAAATAAATATTTAAAACATTTTATTAAAAATTAAATTGACAAAGTCATATTAGAAATTAGTATTTCAATTTTCCCAACTCTAAGTATACTGGAATAAATTGCCTTAAAGTGAAAGAGTGAGAGTGTATTTAGTAAGTCTTGGTTAAGCCTTTTTGGTTTACATTCAGAAACAAGAAAAGAATGACTGATGTAAAATGTCATGACCTGCAAGTTAGGTCGTTTCCAATTCTGCTTTCTTCAACATTGAGTTGTTGGCCAGGTGCGGTGGCTCATGCCTGTAATCCCAGCACTTTGGGAGGCCGAGGTGGGCGGATCACTTGAGGTCAGGAGTTCAAGACCAGCCTGGCCAACGTGGTGAAACCCTCTCTCTACTAAAAAATACAAAAATTAGCCGGGTGTGGTGGCAGCACCTGTAATCCCAGCTTCTCGGGGGGCTGAAGCAGAATTGCTTGAACCCAGGAGGTGGAGGTTGCAGTGAGACAATACCGTGCCACTGCACTTTAGCCTGGGCAACAGAGTGAGACTCCATCTCAAAATAAATAAATAAATAAATAAACAAAATTGAGTTAAGTGACAGATGATTGAAAATACTTTTTTTTTTTTTTTTGAGACAGGGTCTTGCTCTGTCACCCAGGCTGGAGTGCTGTAGCACAATCTTGGCTCACTGCAACCTCCATCTTCTACGCTTAAGTGATCCTCCCACCTCAGCCTCCCGAGTAGCTGGGACTACAGGCATGCACTACCAGACCCAGCTAATTTTTGTATTTTTAGTAGAGATGGGGTTTTGCCATGTTGCCCAGGCTTGAAAATACTTTTTGATAATAGCTCACTATTTGATTTTTGGGATGTAACTCTGAAGACAATCAAAGAACTGAATGACATTGTAGAACATAATTCATTCCCATTTACATATATCTGTGGACAAGATTTCTCATATATGTAAAAATTAAGAGGAATAGAATTGATCCCAAGCCTTGGCCCTTTCTGGCAGTATTTAATATTCACCCTTGGATAAATGAATTAATAGGAAAAAAATAGATATAGATAGGTAGATAGATAACATTTAATACTTTGTAATCACAGGAAATTAAAAAGAATCAACTTCAACTGATTGGAATTATTTCTGATTTTTAATATATTCTATCAATACATTTAACAGAAGAAGAGTTTTTTAAAGTGATTATATTGTTTCCAGAAATTAAAATTATATCATATGCAACTATTTGACTTATGAAAAATAATAGATGTTAACTTTAAAATAAATGAGAGGTATCTAGTATCTAGTTTTTTCAAATGTTCATTAGCCAAGTGTAGTGGCATGTGCCTGTAGTCCCTGCTACTCAAGAGGTTGAAGTGGGAGAATCACTTAAGCCCAGGAGTTCAAAGCTGCAGTCAGCTAGGGTGGTGCCAGTGTACGCCACCCTGGGTGACAGAGCGAGACCTTGTCTCTAAATAAATAAATACAGATGTTCACAGCAATGTATGAAAGCCATTGCATTATATGAAACTCGTAGTGCCCAGAAAACCAAAAACAAAAATTAGTTCCTCCCACTCCTACGTGCATCTGTTCATATGGACATACAAACCTGTGTAATTTTTACAGCTGGGAAAAAAATGCTTCTGCTAGTGAAATAATCCATTTTAAAATGAGATAAAATGAAAAATAGGATTTTAAATTTAAGAGCCAATCTTTCAGATTCAATTTTTTTTAGGTAAAGTAAGATATACATAAGCCTGTCTGGCAAAAATGCACCATTATGGGGCTGGCCCGGTGGCTCACACCTGTAATCCCAGCACTTTGGGAGGCCGAAGTGGGTGGATCACGAAGTCAGGAGATTGAGACCATCCTGGCTAACATGGTGAAACCCCATCTCTACTAAAAAATACAAAAAATTAGCCAGGCGTGGTGGTGGGTGCCTGTAGTCACAGCTACTTGGGAGGCTGAGGCAGGAGAATGGTGTGAACCCGGGAGGCGGAGCTTGCAGTGAGCCGAGATCGCACCACTGCACCTCCAGCCTGGGTGGCAGAGCAAGACTCCGTCTCAAAAAAAAAAAGCACCATTATGCAGAAAACAGACTAGGTCTCTTTCTTGTTACTTGAACTCTGCATAAAATACAGAAGTCTTTCAGACATATTAAGCTCCTTTTCTCAACTGGCCTGGAAACAATTTGAGGGCAGGAATTACTTCCTGTGCTTAGTATTTAATTATAGGGGCAGAATAAATAATTGGTTCTGCAAACATTTTGCAACAGTAATTCTGGATGATGAATGAGGGGCTCCATTAACATGAAAAAGTGTCAAGTTTTAAAAATAAAATACTTGGGCCGGGCGCCGTGGCTCACGCCTGTAATCCCAGCACTTTGGGAGGCCGAGGCGGGCGGATCACAAGGTCAGGAGTTCGAGACTATCCTGGCTAACACGGTGAAACCCCGTCTCTACTAAAAATACAAAAATATTAGCCAGGAGTGGTGGCAGGCGCCTGTAGTCCCGGCTACACGGGAGGCTGAGGCAGGAGAATGGCGTGAACCCAGGAGGCGGAGCTTGCAATGAGCCGAGATTGCGCCACTGCACTCCAGCCTGGGCGACAGAGTGAGACTGCGTCTCCAAAAAAAAGAAAGAAAGAAAAGAAAATACTTATACATAGTACAGTATAAGATTCAGAAAGCCCAAAGGAGAGAACTTTTTTTTTTTTTTTGAGCTGTAGTCCCATTCTGACGCCCAAGCTGGAGTGCAGTGGCACCATCTCAGCACACTAGAACCTCCACCTCCCAGGTCCCAGGTTCAAGCAATTCTCCTGCCTCAGCCTCCCAAGTAGCTGGGACTACAGGCTCCCCACCACCACGCCCGGCTGATTTTTGTATTTTCAGTAGAGATGGGGTTTCCTCATGTTGCCCAGGCTGGTCTCTAACTCCTGACTTCAAGTGATCCACCCGCCTCGGCCTCCCAAAGTGCTGGGATTACAGGCATGAGCCACGGCGCCCGGCCAGTAACTTATTTTTTTAATGTATACCTTTTGTTCCCTTTGAATTCTACCATGTGCAAGAATTACCTCTTTAACATGGAACAACCAGGTCAAAATGTATATACATCTTTAAAATTGACCAGTAGCTACTTTGACTTGCCTAAAAACGTACCAGTGCATCTGCTCAGCTGCACCGTTGGTGGGTGCCTGTTTCCCCGGCCCCTCCCTTTGGCTAACAGCACATCATGGAATCACTTCACACCCTCCTTGTCGGTGACCAAGCATGGTGATGGCGCAGCCCTTTCCTGTTTAAACGGCACGGGACTCTCTTTGTTGCAGGCCAGACGGGTGCAGGGAACAACTGGGCGAAAGGGCACTACACGGAGGGCGCGGAGCTGGTGGACGCAGTGCTGGACGTGGTGCGGAAGGAGTGCGAGCACTGCGACTGCCTGCAGGGCTTCCAGCTCACGCACTCGCTGGGCGGCGGCACGGGCTCAGGCATGGGCACGCTGCTCATCAGCAAGATCCGTGAGGAGTTCCCGGACCGCATCATGAACACCTTCAGCGTCATGCCCTCGCCCAAGGTGTCGGACACGGTGGTGGAGCCCTACAATGCCACACTGTCGGTGCACCAGCTGGTGGAGAATACAGACGAGACCTACTGCATCGACAACGAGGCGCTCTATGACATCTGCTTCCGCACTCTGAAGCTGACAACGCCCACCTACGGGGACCTCAACCACCTGGTGTCCGCCACCATGAGTGGGGTCACCACCTCGCTGCGCTTCCCGGGCCAGCTCAATGCTGACCTGCGCAAGCTGGCGGTGAACATGGTGCCCTTCCCGCGCCTGCACTTCTTCATGCCTGGCTTCGCGCCGCTCACCAGCCGCGGCAGCCAGCAGTACCGGGCCCTGACCGTGCCCGAGCTCACCCAGCAGATGTTCGACGCCAGGAACATGATGGCCGCCTGCGATCCGCGCCATGGCCGCTACCTGACCGTGGCCACCGTGTTCCGCGGGCCCATGTCCATGAAGGAGGTGGACGAGCAGATGCTGGCCATCCAGAGTAAGAACAGCAGCTACTTCGTGGAGTGGATTCCCAACAACGTGAAGGTGGCCGTGTGCGACATCCCGCCCCGCGGCCTGAAGATGGCCTCCACCTTCATCGGCAACAGCACGGCCATCCAGGAGCTGTTCAAGCGCATCTCCGAGCAGTTCTCAGCCATGTTCCGGCGCAAGGCCTTCCTGCACTGGTTCACGGGTGAGGGCATGGATGAAATGGAGTTCACCGAGGCGGAGAGCAACATGAACGACCTGGTATCCGAGTACCAGCAGTACCAGGATGCCACCGCCAATGACGGGGAGGAAGCTTTTGAGGATGAGGAAGAGGAGATCGATGGATAGTCGGAATAGAGCCGCCCCAACTCAGATCCTACAACACGCAAGTTCCTTCTTGAACCCTGGTGCCTCCTACCCTATGGCCCTGAATGGTGCACTGGTTTAATTGTGTTGGTGTCGGCCCCTCACAAATGCAGCCAAGTCATGTAATTAGTCATCTGGAACAAAGACTAAAAACAGCAGAGAATTGCGGGTTCTACCCAGTCAGAAGATCACACCATGGAGACTTTCTACTAGAGGACTTGAAAGAGAACTGAGGGGCCACAAAATAAACTTCACCTTCCATTAAGTGTTCAAGCATGTCTGCAAATTAGGAGGGAGTTAGAAACAGTCTTTTTCATCCTTTGTGATGAAGCCTGAAATTGTGCCGTGTTGCCTTATATGAATATGCAGTATGGGACTTTGAAATAATGATTCATAATAAAATACTAAACGTGTGTCTTCATCTCTCTAGCCATGTGCATAAATGACGTAAGTTACTTTGTATGGTTACAATGGCTACTTGGGTCACTGGTCTCTCCCTGGGGTGAACTCCTCCCCACTTCAGTTCACGAAAACAACAGAGGAAAGGGCTCTTCTTTAAATGGAGGCTTTAAGGGGGGCAGCCAAAACTGTTGCTAGCTGGAAGGCAATGCAGTACAGACAAAAGCCCCTCCTCCATCCGCAGCCACCTTTTAGACTCCCACAGGATCTTGCATTTTCCCAAGTCAGGTCCTGGGCTAGGGTTCCCCAACCTTGTAGGGGAACAAACAGCCCCAAAAGGCCTCCGGACAAAGCCAGGGGTGCTGGGTGGGAGCTGGGGTGCCAACAGCCAGCCCTGCATGGAAGGGATGGGCCCTTTTCTGCTGTGACCCATCACACCTGATGGCTTCTACCACCGGCCACACCTTTGGAGTTTCCAAAGATAAACTCCACGGGGCACGCACAGTAGCCCTGCTAGTGCCTGGTACAGACCTCACTGTTGACAATATTTTTGCTTTACTTCTTCCTGCCCTCTTGAAGCTGTGAACGTGGGACTTGCTCTAGCCATAAGAATGGGCATAGTGTGTCACCCCCGAGTGGAAGCGTCATGTGCCAGTGCCAGCCCTCCTGCTCTGCCTCCCACGTGGGCAGCCCCCCCGATCCCTCCTGTCCACCCGTCCAGGTTCCTGAGTGACCATCCTGGGCAGAGCCCACTCTGACCTGTGTTGGACAGGGAATAAGAGACAGACAAAGCTTTGTCATTCGGGACCACTTAGGGTTAGGGTTCCCCACAGTACAACCACAACACCACCCTTGGTCTGTGATCCCAGGCCTTACATTGACTAGCTGTATTTATTTTGTGTTAAGCCCCAGCCTTGGGCAGATGGAAAGTTCATCACTAAACACAGCAGCATGGCTTGAGGTGATCACAGATCTTTTTGCAGAAATCTGAACTATTCTGAGACCACAGTAAAAATAAATCTTACCAGCTCACCACCCACATCTGTCCTGAAAACATGTTCTGTGTGACCGTGGAAAGATCTATGCATGAGCAGGCCCCACAAGATGGTGGCACAGGGAGCCACGGTTGCTCCTAGCACAGAGGGCCACTTGCACAGGTTGAGCAGCCATCCAGGGCCCAGAGCTTAAGGTTGCTCACCTCACCAGAAACATGGGTGTTGTCGGTGCTATCTGGCTTTGTCACTCTTACTGTATCAAGCCTGACAGACAGTGGGCCCCACTCTCGTCCCCCGGGAGGTCTCACAGCCAAGGCCTGTGAGAGGGCAGCCCACGCTGGCTCCATGCCTTGCAGTGGTTGGATAAGGAGTAGAGAGCGTCTCCTAATCGTCTACTGCCTGTATGGTAAAAAGCACACCCAGCACCCTCACAACTGTGTGAGCCTCAGCCTGGAAACAATGCTTCATTGGGCACCTCCCAAAAACACCCTATGAGGAAAGGAAGTGGCCAGTGTGGCAATGCCTGCAGGTGCAAAGGTCCAGCAGGGGGCGCCTGTTCTCCTGGCATGCTGAGCTGTGGAGTCCAAACAGCTGCTTCCACGGCCTGCCGGGGACAGGTGGGTATCTCAGGCTGCTGGGAAGTAGCCATGGGTGGAGCATGCATGGCCTGGGGCCATGGCAGGGATGCCACTAGATTGTGTTAATTCTAAAGCCACTGTTCCGACAACATCAACACCACACAAGGCAAGCTGGAATAATGCTAAAACAGACTGCTAAAAATGTAAATAGTTAAAAATGCCAGTGTCTCCTCCATGTCCAAATAACAGCAATTGATAGAAGACATAGCAAATCTTCCTCATGCCATCTTTTTTAAGGAATTTTGATATAGGTTTGCAACACTACAGACTCACTTTTCTGGAAGCACATAACCAATAACTCCCTTTCAATAGACAATAGGAGCAGCTTACCAGTCAGACCACTCCTGAGATGTCCCCAGAGAGCCAGGGCCCAGGGGACTCCAGCTTAGTTCCACTGTTCCTTCTCTAAAATCCAGGTGACGGCTCAGGTCAGCCTGCCAGGCCCGCTACAGTTATACGTTAACTTCTATACCCAGAAGGTGTGGCCAACATCTGGCCATGACTGGCCTCTTGAGGACCTGCACTGGGGTGGTTATCACAGATTCAGGCCATGACTAACCCCTCAGGACCCATGTACTTTATATCCAGAGCTCAGTGCATCTTTACAGGACACATAACTCTAGAAGGTTCCAACCTCCTGTGGGAGCTAATGAGAACCAGCGAGGCTGAGATTTTGAAGGATTCTCCTCTAAAAAGCAAGAAAATTTAATTTCTTGCCATTATGTTTTCTAAAAATATCCAGAGCATAAATAGGGACCCTATGTGTGTTCAGAAAAGTACAGTGTTGACATTTTATTTTTTATGTAAAGAAGCCATATTTACATAATACATTCATATTTTTAAGTATGTTACAGCTCCTGTAGAAAACCATTCCATTAAGACAGCAACAAGTGATCTGGATTCAATCTTTAAAATATTAAGTCAAATTAAAATGTTCTTATCAAGACTCCAATTTAATTTCACAGCCCATCTGCACAGGGGAACTGAGGAGAAACAGGAATGAAGAGTGGGCGACAAAGAGAAAGCATCCCTTCCCACACGCCAAGAGTCCAGTGCAACGATCCCTGCCACACGGTCAGCCGACCCCACTTGGTGCCACAGGGTCCAGCCTCGGCCACTCTGGGCTCAACCTTTCCAGCACGTCTGGGAGCCCAATGAGGCTATGGGACAGTGTGCATTTCCCTCAAGGCCTCCGGAAAGTCACCTGCCACCCACTGTGACCTCTGAGGCTGAAAGGACTAAGGACTCCTTTCCCCATCATTTCAGCTGGGCCAGTGGCTGGCTAAAATCAGCGCAGCATTCCCATTCTTCTGAAAGCCACAGCTGAAATAATGCACCAGCTGAAACCACAGTGGACAGACTGAGATGGCCTCCCTCTGGGCCTCTAGTTGGCAACTTTCTCACCCGGGGGCTCCTCTTTCTCCTTTTCCCGCTCCTTGTTCCAGTCCTTAAGGCCTTCTGGAAGTGAGGTGTCCTCATCCAAGCTGCCAGTGCCTTCCACAAATTCTTCATAGGTAGATTTTTCCGCAAATGGTCTGGGGCCCAAAAGTTCAACCATATCATTCTTATCTAATACTTCTTTTTCTAACAACAGAAGAGCAACCTGAAATATGAACAATTTTCATTAAATACAGTTACTCAGCAAAGTCTATTCAGAAATATTAATTTTTTATTTACAGGTGACCCCATTCCAAAAAAGGATTTAAGACCAATGAAAAAGATGTCTCATACATAAGGTTGCATAGTTTTAGAGTAAGATGTGCAAAATATCAAAGCAACCAATGTCCATCTGTAAGGGATACATTTCCATACTAGACATATTTCCACACATCTGCACAATGAATGCTGACCATCTATAATGAGGAGGAAGCTGGCCGGGCGCGGTAGCTCGCGCCTGTAATCCTAGCACTTTGGGAGGCCGAGGCGGGTGGATCACAAGGTCAAGACCATCCTGGCCAACAGGGTGAAACCGTGTCTCTACTAAAAATGCAAAAAAATAGCTGGGCATGGTGGTGTGCGCCTGTAGTCCCAGCTACTTGGGAGGCTGAGGCAGGAGGATCACTTGAACCCGGGAGGCGGAGGTTGCAGTGAGCCAAGATTGTGCCACTGCACTCCAGCCTGGGCGACAGAGCGAGACTCCTTCTCAAAACAAACAAACAAAAAAAAATAGGAGGAGGCTGTGTATGTTCTATATACATCTCAGAGATACACACTTCAATTAAAAAAACAAGATGTTCAGTGTGCACAGCATCTTACGTTTGCTTTTCTGAGGTGATAAGAATGTATCTTTTTATGTGCATTAAAGCAGAATAGGCAGCCAAGTGCAGTGGCTCACACCTGTAATCCCAGCACTTTGGGAGGCCGAGGTGGGCGGATCACCTGAGGTCCGAAGTTCGACACCAGCCTGGCCAAAATGGCAAAACCCCGTCTCTACTAAAAATACAAAAATTAGCCAGGCGCAGTGGTGGGTGCCTGTAAGCCCAGCTACTCAGGAGGCCGAGGCAGGAGAATGGCTTGAACCCAGGAGGCAGAGGTTGCAGTGAGCCGAGATCGCGCCATTGCACTCCAGCAGCCTGGGCAACAGAGCAAGACTCGGTCTCAAAAAAAAAAAAACAGACTAGGCAGGAGCCATCAGCTTAGGGCTTTTTCTGTACCCAGAACCCATCCATACACAAACTGGAACTTAACCTAGAGGCATTCTTTGTAACTAACTTCAAATTAAGCTTCTACCAATCATAAACAGCCAACCAGCCAACTGTGGCAGAACTTGGGACCATGCATTGGACCACACAAATAAGGCAAATGCCCAGCAGTAGCCAATCAAGCAGTCATGCACCGCTAAGAGCAGTCATGCACTGCTAACAACGTTTCAGTCAATGATGGGCCCCATGTAGATGGTGGTCCCGTAAGATTATAATACCTTATTTTAACTGTACCTTTTCTATGTTTAGATGTGTTTAGATACCATTGTGTTACAATGGCCTGAAGCATTCAGTACAGTCACATGCGAGCAGGTATGCAGCCTAGGAGCAATAGGCCACACCACACAGCCTAGGTGTGCGGCAGGTGTAGCGCACTCTGATGCCTGCACGACGACAAAATCAACTAACAGCAAACTCCTCAGACCGTATCCCCATCATTAAGCAACACATGACTGCAGTTTCTTTCTTTGCTTCTAGGCTCAGCCTACAAAAGCTTGCTGCTCATGCTGCCGGAGCAGAGCTCTGAACTTCTAATTCTGAGGGCTGCCCGATTCCCAAACTGTTCTTTGCTCAAATAAACTTATCTGTTAAATTTACTTTGTCTAAAGTTTCTTTTAAATGGTACATAAAAAATATATGGCCACGCGCAATGGCTCACGCCTGTAATCCCAGCACTTTGGGGCGGCGGATCACCTGAGGTCAGGAGTTCGAGACCAGCCTGCCCAACATGGTGAAACCCTGTCTCTACTAAAAATACAAAAATTAGCCTGGCGTTGTGGCACCTGCCTGTAATCCCAGCTACTCAGGAGGCTGAGGCGGGAGAATTACTTGAACCCAGGAGGCGGAGGTTGCAGTGAGCCAAGATGGAGGCACTGCACTCCAGCCTGGGCAACAGAGGGAGAGTCTGTCTAAAAGTAAATAAATAAATATATATATATATATATATATATATATATATATATATATATATATATATATAAAACAAGGGCAGAGATACAAAATGAAGGCAGGAAGGTTAATGTGACAGTAGTTTACTTTGAAGTTCTATTCATTTGTTACAGCTGGACCATAAATTTGACATTACACGTTTTAACAGCCTACAGAAAAAGGGACCCCTACCGGAGTACACACATGGAAGTGTGACGGTATCATGAGAAGAGGGAACAGTGTTTATGTTAGATCATATACCTAGTGTAAAGAAAATTAAGCAGTTTAAATTATAAGTTGATCTCATAAAATGATTTTTTTTTTTTTTTTTTGAGACAGAGTCTTGTTCTGTCACCCAGGCTGGAGTACAATGGCGCGATGTTGGCTCACTGCAACCTCCGCCTCCCAGGTTCAAGTGATTCTCCTGCCTCAGCCTCCCCAGTAGTTGGGATTACAGGCGTCCACCACCACGCCCAGCTAACTTTTTGTATTTTAAGTAGAGATGGGGTTTCACCATGTTGGCCAGGCTAGTCTCAAACTCAGCCCCTCAAAGTACTGGGATTACAGGGATAAGCCACTGCACCTGGCCAGACTTATTTCTTGAGATAACTCCTTACTCTGAAATTTAATCTATTTGTAGTTTGCAATAAATGTTATGTTTTTAAAGATATAAAATTATGAAAGTTTTGTCTTTTCAGTTTTTAAAAATTTTATTATAAAATGCTTCAAATAGGTACAAAAGTGGAAAGAATGGATAATCCCCATGTAACCACTATCAACAGTGATCAATTTAGAAACATTCTTGTTTCAGCTCTCTAGATTATTTTTAAGAAAATCCCAGATGTCATATCATTTTATCCATATATATATATATATTTTTTGTCTATATCTCTAAAAGATTAGGATTGTTTAGAAAACCAGAATACTATAATGCTCTGATTTTAAAAATATATTGTCTGCATATACGTAAGGGAAAAAAGCTTTAGGATTCATTCTTAGGCCATTTTTAATTCTCAATTTGCTTATACACACACACACACACACACCATAGTTGTGGGTGATCACTTACATTTCAATAATTTAATCCAATATATAAAAAATATATATTATATATAACATATACTATATAACATATAATATATTATATACTATAATATATTATATATTATATAAATATATTATATAAATTATATATAATATAAAATATATTAATAATATATAAAAATATATAATCTATTATATAATAGATTATAATCTATTATATAACTATTATATAATAGATTATAATCTATTATATAACTATTATATAATAGATTATATATATAATATATATAATATATAATAATCTAATATATATAATAATAGATAATATAATAAATAATATATATAATAATCTAATATATAATCTATTATATAAATATATGATATATAATTATATAAATATATAGATTATATATTATAAATATAGATTATATATAATATATAAATATATATTATATATTATAAATATATAATATATAAAATTATATATATAATATATAATTATATATATATATTTTTTCCCCCTGAAACAGGGTCTCACTTGTCACCCAGGCTGGAATGCAGTGACGTGATCACAGCTCACTGTAGCCTCTAGCCTCAACTTCCTGGGCTCAGGTGATCCTCCCATCTCAGCCTCCAAGTAGCTGGGACTACAGATGCACACCACCATGCCGGGCTAATTTTTTATATTTTTAGTACAAACAGGGTTTCACCATGTTGCCCAGGCTAGTCTCGAATTCCTGGGCTCAAGTGATCCACCCACCTCAGCCTCCCAAAGTGCTGGGATTATAGACATGTGCCACAGTTCTTGGCCAAAATATTATTTCAACATGTGACGACACAAAACATGATTGAGGTTTTTTTACATTCCTTTCTTCATGCTGAATCTTCAGTAACCAGCATGCACTTGACATTTAACAGTTCTCGATTCACAGCGGCCACCAAGTGCTCGGCAGCCCTCCGCAGCTGCCTTACAGGGCCACACAGGCTCAGGGAGAGGGGAACGACCAGGGCTCTGCAGGCAGGACACCTGGGTCAGACCCTGGCTGTGCTGCTTACCCACTGTATGACCCTAAGCAAAGCTACCTGACCTCTCTCTGTTAACAGCTTCTTCACCTGAAACTGATGTAAGAGGTCACTAATGTTAGCCACCTCATGAGGTCACAGGGTTTTCAGAAAGGAACCCTCAGGCAGTGCCTGGTACACAGGTGTTGGGTGAATGCTGGCAAGCCCTCAGGTACACACTCCCTGCCCTCGCAGAGTCTGGAAGGCAATGGTTTCAGGAGCACAGGCCCTAGCCCCTCTCTTCTCCATAGCCTCCCTACCTCCTGGCTGGCTCTGCAGTATTCTGCACGTGGCTCATTCTCTCTGATGGACCAGAAAGTACTTCAAAACTGTCCAGTGTTTCAAGAGCCTCACCATGCTAACCCAATTCTCCTTTCAATAAACAGACCTTAGTTGTGCAGCGTGAGTCGTGTGAGTACAGACACTGAGACTGTGGATGGGTGGGAGAACTGGGGAGATTCTCACATCACTGCAGACCTCCTCAGTGCCTCACAGAGGGCTCATCTGGACTGGGCTCTTCTGCATTCCTGTCTTTCACAGCTCAACACCTGGCTATCTGGCAGCCCTGACCTCTGTTCATATTCTGATTGCAAATGCGCCTTGCTCAAATCCTCTTGGGTGTTGAGACCAAACCGTTTATCACTCCCTTTCCTCCCCCTGCCCAGGGATGCCTTGGAGTCATTCTTGGGCTTTCTTCTCTTTTGTTCTCTATGAAGTCTTGGTTTTACAGCTCTGCCTTTGCCTTTTTATTTTCATGGCCACCCCTGCAGGCACCACCTGAGGAGTGCTGAGATGCCCCCACTGCTTCCAAGCTGGTCTGGTCTGTGTTCCTGTTCCAATCCAGCTGGCATGCTGCCACCACACTCTCCTGAAATGATCTTTTCATCATTTCTGCTCAAGATTCTTTAAGGACTCCTTTAAGAACTACTACAAAATAAGGAGGCTGGGTTAGATCATTTTTAAGATCACTTCTACTTCTAAAGCTGTGTGCCTCAACTTTCTACCTAGCTCTGGAGGGCCTGGGACTTATGAAAGGAAAATAAAATCTCGGGACCCTAAACGCATTATGCCAAGGGGAAAAGTTAAGCTTGGAAACTGAGTTGCACAAGAGCTGCCTTCCTATTGTTCCTAAAGAGATGGCTGCAAAGACAGAAACCATTTATCTCCCCAGGTGGCCTCCCTCACTCATTGCTCACAAGGAGATTCCTTGTGGGCCCTAAAACCTTTACCCTGAAACAAAGTTCTGCTGGATCTCACCCTGACAATGTAAGTTAACAGCTTATCTCACAGGAATGGACAAAGACCAGACCAGAAATCATCCCTCTGCCAACCTGAGACAAATGTGTATTTGACTCTTTCTTCTACTCTATGTTTACTTTATTGCATGTAAAATGAGGATTTACTGAACAAGAGATGCATGCGTAACTGACATCCCTCTACTCCTCCTTTCACATGTCACATGTGGATTCAATGGGCAAAAATCAAGAATGCGACCACTCACCTTCACCACCTACCCTCCCCTTTTCTCCCTTCCTCCTTCCCTTCCTGCCACTCTTTCCCCTTTAAATATTCAAGCCCTCGAAGCTCTCTCTGGAAAAAGCAGGGACCACAGATCCCCTGTAACTGGTGTTTCTTTTTCCCTGGGTACATCCTCAACCTTGACGAAACAAACCTCTAAGCTGACAGAGATCTGTCTCAGCCACTCTTGGGTCTACAGGGTCCACCACCTGCAAGTGCAGCAGGCTCAGGGCTGCCCCCGGGCTCCACGCCGCACACTCTTCCTTCCCCTTCCTTCAGCTCTATGACCTGCTCATCCTTCTGGGTACCTCGGCCCTATCTCCTGCAGAGCCGTCCTGGACCACTCTGCCCATGCTGGCCTTTTCTTCCTCAGAGCCCTGCTGCATGCTTTCCAGTGTTTTGGGGATGCTGGTGCTCACTCATTTCACTGCACACTTTTGTGCACCGACAGCATGGATTCTTCTGAAGTCTAACATAGGGGTTATAGTCGGCTTCTTGAAGACTTGCTGATTGAACAGCATAATCTTAGTGAAGCTGCCTTTGCAAAATTATAACAGCAAGAGAAATTTGGCATGGCTGACTCCATCTTGCTTCTAGCCTCACACACTGTCCTCACTTGTTCCCGGGTGTGGGCCAAGCTAGCTTCGGGAGGAATTTATAGTTTAAATGATAATAGCACTTCCCCAAAACTAAACTACCCTTGTAAAACTAATGAAAGGCCACCAAATTAGGAGGATAAGAGGAGACTGCATTCTACTAAGATGTAGGCATGGTTAAATAATTACCAGCCATTATTATGGAGGTCAGATTTGCAACTTCCCCAATTACTCCTACAGATAACATCTACTGTAAAACTTAGGCTTGGCCTTTTGCGATAGCTTTTCAGCTTTTTGCATTTCTGACAACCAATGGCTCCACCTGGACTTACCAACTGGTCCTGTGGCCCCACTCAGAAACTGACTCAGCACAGGAGGATAGCTTCCATGCCCTATGATTTCACCTCTGCCCCAACCAACCAGCCAGCATTCCTCACTCCCTGGCCCTTACCTGCCAAACTATCCTTGAAAAACCCTGGTCTCCAAGGAGACCGATTTGAGTAATAATAAAACTCCAGGCTGCCATTCAGCCAGCTCTGCATGAATTAAGCTCTTTCTCTACTGCAATTCCCCTGTCTTGAGAAACTGGCTGTACCTGGGCAGCAGGCAAAATAAATCTATTAGGCAGTTGTGTCAATCCCTTATAAAAGGCTTTTACATTTGTGTTTTTCTCATTACAGTATAGAATATTCAAAGTTTTTTTTAATTCTAATTTTTTTCACATGGACTCTGGAAAATTAAGAAGTTACCAAATGCAAGAAATCCACTGAGTTCAGAAAGGGTCCCTTCCTTTTGTAGGTGCTATCAAATGAGGTACAACAACGACAAACACAATGCTTTCTTGTGGAAGTTCATGAGCAAGCCACAAGCAAGGTAACTTTCACGTACCAATTTCCTACTTAGCAGTTTGGCTGCTTCTTTTACTTGCCCTTTCATCTTTCACTACCTATTTATTTTAGAGGTGAAACACAATGGTAAACCAGGCAATCATGCTTCTCATTAGGAGTACTGTGAACTATCTGGTGAGGGAGAGTCCTGATTTGTTTACTTTGTGGTTACTGACAGACTTCATTAATCATTCAGTCACATTCCTAAGAGCCACAGGAGCCGGGACAGTGTCAACTTCTGCTCACCACATTGCAACCCCCGCTTGAAGACAGAGCAGACAACGAAACATCAGAACGAACGGACCCATGGGTGAGCCAGAGAGAGGGAATTCTGCAGTCTACACACCAACCAAAACAGTCTATCTATCACTTCAATCTTTTTTTTGCAAAACTGTAAAGAATTATTCCCACAACTGGCACCTACCTTCTCCACGTCAGCTTTCTTTTCTGTGAGAAGAGCTACTGTTCTTTTATAAGCATCATTAATAAGTATTCGTACTTCATCATCTATCAATCTTGCAGTGGCTTCACTGTAAGGTTTCTCCAATACCATGTCCCCCTGACGTGGGAGGTCAAAGGAGATTTGCCCAACCTTTTCATTCATGCCAAACTGAACAATCTGAAAAATACATAATTAGTGGTGATTACATATGATTGTTCTTTAACCAGACAAAATCTACACAGCAGCCTGGAGCCGGCTAAAGTGCACAAAGGTGCTCTGTGTAGCCAGCAGCAGCAGCAGCAGCAGCACAGTGCTTTAAACTCATGACTAGAAACACAGAGCCAGAAGCCCAGGCATAACACCTACAACAAAGTTAGGACGCAAATCCCAACTGTATGATATTATTACCTGATTTCTCTCTTTTTTTTTTAGACAGAGTCTTGGTCTGTTGCCCAGGCTATAGTGCAGTGGCACCATCTTGGCTCACTGCAACCTCCACATCCCGAGTTCAAGCGATTCTCGAGCCTCAGCCTCCCAAGCAGCTGGGATTATAGGCACCTGCCACCACTCCCGGCTAATTTTTGTATTTTTAATAGAGACGGGTTTTTGTCATGTTGGCCAGGCTGGTCTTGAACTCCTGACCTCAGGTGATCTGCCCGCTTCGGCCTCCCAAAGTGCTGGGATTACGGGCATGAGCCCAGCCACTACCTGGTTTCTTTTTGTTTTTGTTTTGAGACAGGGTCTTGTTCTGTCGCCCAGGCTGGAATGCAGTGCATGATCATAGCTCACTGCAGCTTTGACCTTCTGGGCTCAAATTATCCTCCCACTTCAGCTTCCCAAAGTGCTGGGATTACAGGTATGAGCCACCGTGCCCAGCCTGATATTACTATCTGCACAAGAGAAAGTAGAGAAGCAGCAAGAAGCATCTGATAGACCTGAAGAAACAAGAACCCCCAGCTGCCAACAGGTTCTTCCCAGAAGGATGGCATGCCACTCACGCTGAGAACATGTGAGACCAGAAGGGCAACTGCATTTCCCCGTTCACTGAGTCCATGGGGCCCAGGGAACAGTCTGAAGAAGCTGATCCAGTCTGGACCCATGAGCCCCCAAAACTAACCAGCACCACAAAGGAGGAGGCTTCTGCAAGTAAGACCCAAACTCACTGGAAAAAAGAGAAGGCCCAGATAAGAGTGGGGATCAAACAGCCAGGGATGCTTGGAAGGTAGGAAACCACATTCCTAACATTTCATGAATACAGTCAGAAAAGCTCCTAGACCTCCTCCCACCTAAGAGAGCAGCAGAACAAATTTCATGTAAAAATAGGCAATAGAAAAATCCCTTATAAAGTTATTATAAGAAAAAAATAAGCTGAATAGTTTCTCCAGAGATAAGAAAAGTGGGATGAAAAGACGTGTCAATATTAAGAGGAAATCCGTATCTTCTTATTTCAAAACAGGCTAAAAGAAATCAGGGAAATGACATATGATATGAAAGATCTACTTAAATCAGAACTAGAAAAGCTTCAATGAGGTGCTAGAGAAAAAATACATATCAAAGCCACCACGCCCAGCCTGAAATAAACTTTAAATACTGTACTAAAAAAAGGTTTCTCGGGGCCGGGCACGGTGGCTCACGCCTGTAATCCCAGCACTTTGGCAGGCCAAGGCGGGCGGATCACCAGGTCAGGAGACAAGACCATCCTGGCTAACACAGTGAAATGCCTGCCTCTACTAAAGATACAAAAAATTAGCCAGGAGTGGTGGCGGGCACTACTTGGGAGGCTGAGGCAGGAGAATGGCGTGAACCTGGCAGGCGGAGCTTGCAGTGTGCCCAGATGGCGCCACTGCACTCCAGCCTGGGCGACCGAGACTCTGTCTCAAAAAAAAAAAAAAAAAAAAAAAAAAGGTTTCTCAGCCAAGCACAGCGGCTCATGCCTGTAATCCCAGTGCTTTGAGAGGCCGAGGCGGGCGGATCACCTGAGGTCAGGAGTTCAAGACCAGCCTGACCAACATGGAGAAACCCCGTCTCTACTAAAAATACAAAACTAGCCAGGCGTGGTGGCACATGAATGTAATCCCAGCTACTCAAGAGGCTGAGGCAGGAGAATTGCTTGAACCCAGGAGGCAGAGGTTGTGGTGAGCCGAGATCGCACCATTGCACTCCAGCCTGGGCAACAAGAGCAAAACTCCAGATCAAAAAAAAAAAAAAACAAAAAAGCTGGGCGCAGTGGCTCACGCCTGTAATCCCAGCACTTTGGGAGGCTGGAGGATCACAAGGTCAGGAGATAAGACCATCCTGGCTAACACGGTGAAACCCTGTCTCTACTAAAAATACAAAAAAATCAGCCAGGCGTGGTGGTGGGCGCCTGTAACCCCAGCTCCTCAGGAGACTGAGGCAGAAGAATGGTGTGAACCTGGGAGGCAGAGCTTGCAGTGAGCCGAGATTGCACCACTGCACTCCAGCCTGGGCAAGAGTGCGAGGCTCAGTCTCAAAAAAAAAAAAAAAAAAAAAATTAGCCACATGTGGTGGCGCATGCCTGTAATCCCAGCTACTCAGGAGGCTGAGGCAGGACAATCACTTGAACCCAGGAGGCAGAGGTTGCAGTGAGCCAAGATAGAGCCACTGCACTCCAGCCTGGGCAACAGAGGGAGACTGTGTCTCAAAAAAATAAAGTTTCTCTTCATAAGTTTTAATTGCTTTACTTCTTTTAAGAGATAATCCTTGCCTAAAAAGCCTAAAACAGTGAAGCACAACTATATTGTTTCAGAGCCATTCATAGAATGTCAATTTCTCGTGCAAATATGAATACA
The DNA here is from genome assembly GCF_000001405.40 of Homo sapiens. Classification (NCBI taxonomy): domain Eukaryota; kingdom Metazoa; phylum Chordata; class Mammalia; order Primates; family Hominidae; genus Homo; species Homo sapiens. Next base: position 12,340,169 of record NC_000018.10, read on the forward strand.
TGAGGAGGAAATGCACTCTTTCATATACTCACTTGGGCATATGCACTCTGAGTTACTTTTCTCAAGTCATCTTGAGCACCAGTTGTAATTCTTCCAAAGAAGATTTCTTCAGAGACTCGACCACCTAAAGTCATACACATCCTATCCAAGAGCTGCTCTTTGGTATAGAGGTATTGTTCTTTTGGTAAATACTGAGCATAACCTAGTCCTTTGCCACGTGGGATGATGGATACCTGGTAAGTAGAAAACAGTGTTGAAGATCCTACTACAGATGAAGACTTGATCAAAACATCTGTGTATAAACAGATAAACTCATTGACTAAAAATAAGCACAACAGCCGCACAGTTCATCAGCCTTAGTGGGATGTGATCTAGCAGTGACTGCTCAGGAGGAGTATTTTCTCTCAGGATAAGTTCACCTTAGAGTGTTTTTTTTCTTGAGATTGAGATTGAGTCCTGCTCTGTCACCCAGGCTGGAGTGCAGTGGCACGATCTCAACTCACTGCAACCTCCACCTCCCGGGTTCAAGTGATTCTCCTGCCTCAGCCTCCTGAGTAGCTCGGATTATAAGCGCCCACCACCAGGCCTGGCTAATTTTTTATTTTTAGTAAAGAAGGGGTTTCACCATGTTGGTCAGGCTGGTCTCGAACGCCTGAGCTCGTGATCCTCCTGCCTCAGCCTCCCAAACTGCTGGGATTACAGGCGTGAGCTACCACGTCCAGCTTCACCTTAGAATTCTAAATGGCTTTTCTTTTTTTTTTTTTTTTTAAGTAAAAACAGGGTCTCACTTTGCTGCTCGGGATGGTCTTAAACTCCTGACTACAAGCAATTCCCCCACCTTGGCCTCCCAAAGTGCTAGGATTACAGGCATGCGCCACCACACCCAGCAAATTTCTTGTCTTTTTGTAAAACTCAATTGAAAGTATTCCATCTTGACATTCTGACAGTTCTGATGTTGTGCAAGCATGCAGGCTTCATTCAACTCTGCTGTCGGACGTGGCCACACCCTCCTTTGAAGGAAGAGGGGTACAGCAGGCCAAGATGCTCGGCAGCCTTTCCTTTCCAGTCCTCTTTTGCAATTAAGTAAATTCCTTTAATTTTTAAAAAATTCAGTTTATTGAGAGATGACATATATGGTAAAATGCACCCATCTGAAGTGTAGAGTTCAATGAGTTTTGACAAACATAACATCAAGCCACAATGAAGATACAGAATATTCTCATCATGCCCAGAAAGTTCCCTTGTACCCACTGGTAGGGAGTCTTTCCCTCCACACCCAACCCCAGGCAACCACAGACATGCCTTCTGTCCCTATGGATTAGTTTAGCTTCTAGAATTGCAAATAAATGAAATTGTATGGCACATACTTCATTGTTTGGCCTCTTTCCCTGTTTTTGAGATCCATAGATACTGCTGTATGTATTAATAATCATTCATTTTTACTGCTGTGTGGCACTCCACTGCTACAAACATACCAAATATCCATTTCATTCTTGATGGAAGTCAGGGTTATTTTCAGTTTATTGATATTATACATAAAGTAGTAACAGTCCTTGCATGGACATAGGTTTTTATTTCTCTTGGGGAAATAAAAGTTGAATTGTTTGGTCACATGGAAGTGTTCGTCTACCTTAATAAGAAACTGCCAAACTGTTTTCCAAAACAATGGTACCATTTTACATTCCCTATTTTTGTTTTTGGCAGAGCTTCATTCTGTCCCCCAGGCTGGAGTGCAGTGGCACGACTGCTGCTTACTGTAGCCTCCGCCTCTTGGGTTCAAGTGATCCTCCCCATCTCCAGTGATTCTCCTGCCTCAGTCTCCTGAGTAGCTGGGATTATAGGCGTTCACCATCATGTCTGGCTAATTTTTCTATTTTTAGTAGAGACAGGTTTCGCCACGTTAGCCAGGCTGGTCTCAAACTCCTAACCTCAAGTGATCCGCCTGCCTCGGCGTCCCAAAGTGCTGGGATTACAGGCATGAGCCACTGTACCCGGCCCCATTTTACATTCCTATCAATAACGTGTGAGCGTTTCAACTGCTCCATATCCTTATCAACAATGAAGACTGTCTCTTCTTCATTTTAACCATTCTAGCAAGTATGTTCAGGTAGCTCATGGGTGAATTTGCATGTCCCTGATAAATAATGATACCCTGTGTGTGCTTAATGCCCACTCATATACCTTCTGGGAAATGCATGTTTAAATCTTTCGCCCATTGTTTTACTGGGTTGTTTTCTTATTATTGAGTTCTAAGAGTTCTTTACAGGTTCTAGAAATAAGTCCTTTGTCCTGTATATGTACTGCATGTATTTTTGGAGGGCGTGGCTTGCCTTTTTATTTTCTTAACTGTCTTTCAAAGAAAGAGAGTTTGAAATTTTGATGAGATCCCACCTATCAACGTTTTCTTTTGTGGCTCATGCTTTTTGTGTCCCAAGAAATTTTTGCATGGTCAAGGCCACAGAGATTTTTCCCTGTATTTTCTCCTAGAAGTTTGATGGTTTTAGTTCTTATGACCTGTTTCAAATAATTTTTTGCATATGATGCAAGGGTTAACGTTCACCATTTTTCCTGTGAATACTCTGTTGCCAGAACCACCTGTAGATAAGACAATTCCTCCCCCTTGAATTATCCTGGTACCTCTGTGAACCAAAAGTTTGTGGTTCACTTTCCGGGCTCCATTCCACCCCACTGGCCTGCGTGCCAGTCCTCTTACCAGCACTACACTCTCATCACTGTAGCTGCACAGTCTTAATACTGGGATGAGTAACTTACTGTTTTGGCTACTCTTACTCATTTGTATTTCCATATCGGTTTTAGATTCAGCTTCTCAATTTCCACAAAAAAAAAAAATCTGCTATAATTACCAGAGATTGCACTGAAATTATCAATTAGTTTTGGGAGAACTGATGTAACACTCCATGAGCAAAGTCCACCTCTATTTTTATTTAGGGCTTGTTATCAATGTGCATGTCCTACAAATATTTTCTTAAATTTATTCCTCCATATTTCGAGTTTTTAGATGCTACTGAAATTGCTAATGAAATTGAATTTTTAAAATTTCATTTTCCAATTGTTTATTGCTAATACACAGAAATACAATTGGTCTTTGTATACTGACCTTGAATTCTTCAACCTTGCTAACTTTACTTATTAGTTCTAGTGGGTTCTCTGTGGGTTCCTTAGGATGTTTTATGGACACTCTAATGTTGTCTTCTCTATGGTTCCCTTGCTTCAGGGGACCCCCACACCCCTGGCCCGCCTCAATTCCCAGCAGCCCTGATACCCATCGCAAGGCAGGGAGGCAGCTGCTTTCTGTCATCTGTGCTGCAGCAGTTCGGGAAATGCCTCAGTTGAAAAGCAAAAAACTTAAAAATCTCACATGGTTCCCCCGTCTTTCAGGGGTAGATTTCTCTTTGGTCTCTGCTTACCCTTTTGCCAGGTTCTCTGGGATTGCCACTGTGCATGTGTAGTTTAGTTGTCGGCCTGAGATTTGGGCAGTTCCTGCTCAGATTCGGGCCTCACCACTTGGTAGTTTTCTTGCTTCTGGGATTTTCCTGTTAAATTTCCAGTATTCTTTAAGTCCTGGACTATCTCCTCTACCACCTCAGGATAATAAAGACTATGTCTCATACCACTGTAGTGTGGAGATTATGAAAAACCCTTTGGCAAGAAAGCCACAGGCTCCCAGTTCAAACCCACTGCAACTGCTGCTTTATAGGAGCAAACTCTCCAGCTCTCGCCTGCTTTTGGACACTCTGTGGTCCCTTTAAATAATTTTCTGTCCAAATTTTATATTTATCTATGGGACGGTTTGTGCAACTATGGTTACCAGAAGTTACCAGAAGTTTTGGCTAAAGCCTTGTTTCTTTCTCCTTTGCAGGAGTGTAGCTTGCTTCTTGAGTGACTGCAGCGAGCATCTGCTCACCCATGCACTGGCTGCCTAGTGCAGCTACCCTGCTTCACCTTTAAAAGCGGGTCTGCGTGCTCCAGATACCAGCCGGCAACCGCATGGCCTGCTTCGTGGTATGCCACAGTCTTCTTCTCCTCAGGCTGCAGAACCTGCGTTTTCTTCTCTAAGCCTAACAAAATAACAACAAAAAAACCCAAGCCATTGTTACAGTGACACTGACATTAAAAGACAGTTATACAGTGCTATACATTGCCTTACCTAAAATGGGGTTTGGAGACTGAGCTGCCTATCACAATCCAAAAATTCCTAATCAAGGCCAGGCGCAGTGGCTCATGCCTGTAATCCCAGCACTTTGGGAGGCTGAGGTGGTCCAATCACTTGAGGTGAGGAGTTCGAGACCAGCCTGGCCAACATGGTGAAACCCCGTCTCTACTAAAAATACAAAATTAGCCAGGCGTCGTGGTGAGCGCCTGTACTCCCAGCTGCTAGGGAGGCTGGGGCAGGAGAATCACTTGAACCCAGGAGGCGGAGGTTGCAGTGAACTGAGATCATGCCGCTGCACTCCAGCCTGGGCTACAGAGTAAGAATCCGTCTCAAAAAAAAAAAAAATTAAATTAAGTTAAAAATTTTTTTAAAAAATTAAATAGAATTCCCAATCAAGGTCAGAATAAAAGCAAAAGGTCAGGTTCAAAATACAACTACAGCAAAAATGCACTCACTCCCCCATCCCCAGGCCTGCTTTCACCCTAACTCTCTCACTTTTAAGCCACACACCCTGTGTTTTGGGAAACAAATAGAAATGTAAAATAAAATTCAGCATTAAGGTCATTTTAAAACACGCAAAATTACAGAAACCAAAACTCTGGAAAGGTCCTCATTGCATAGTCTAGGTATTCAGAATTATCAAATACTGGGCACGCGAAGATGGCTGCCATAAGACACTACCTGCTGTCTGTTCTGCTGGAAGGCAGAAGAGAGTCTGAGAAAGCAGGCAGCCAGTTCAACACCCGGAGCTACCTAGGTGGAGCCAGCCAGGCTGATGCTGGCGCACCCTCACCTAACCAGCCGGCCCTATGGCTCAGAGCAAGCCACAGAAGTGGCAGAGCAGACCCAGAGGGCAAACCCCAGCGACACAGGGCCCACAAGACCCGTGCTGCAGCCTGCGTCCACCACAGTGCTGACCGGACTCTAGTCTGAGCGTGATTCTTCTCTGGCCTGGATCAACGTGGGCTCTGCCCCTCACTCCATACCTCTGTGCTGTAAAAACTAACTGCGCCATTTGTACTAAAACAAATCATCACACAGTGGCAAAAGTAGTTTTGCCATGTTCATGGTAATCCACCTGAGAATTTCTCAGCTGATGTTAAGGAGACTGGAAGACAAAAACAAAAGCTGTGTTCCCAATGACACAACCCAAGACAAGCATATGCCACAGGGCGGGAAGTTACAAAACAGGAGTTAAGTCTGTCTGCCGATGAACACTTCTGGCTTACCTGTAAAAGCAAAGAAGCCTTCTTTCCCCACAGTTCACCTTAGGAGTCATTCATTTTCTCAGTGCCTATCTCACTACACAACACTGCCTGCGGGGCCCAGCAGCTGCCTCAGAGCAAAACCTGCGGCTGCGTGGCTGCCCGCTCTGCCCTGCCCTCTCTGATCACTTCTCCTTAACCTAAAAAAAAGGCATAAATACACAGTTTTCACCTGTCTCTACAGTGAATTATTATATTTTGCTTCATTCCATTCACAACTCTTACCATCTGAGGTTTACCTTTTCAATAACAAATTTATAGAATAAAAGGGCTGGTGATTCATTCATTCAACAATTCATTGTTTACTGGGCACCTATCCCCGGCAAACCACATTGCTCTACCAGCCTCTATGTCCTCACTGGAAGCCCCACTCGTCTGGTTTTGTACCCTCTACTCAGATGAACTGTCAAAAGTCACCCTAACACGCTCACTGCCAAATCCAAAGTTCCTCTTCCTCCTCCACATCCCTGTGCCTCGCCCTACTGCCAGCGCCTCATTTCCTGTCCCCTCCAGCCTACAGGTCCCTGTTACTGGCACATCTTCCTCGCTTGTCTGCTGATGCACCTTCAGTGCTTGTGGTACACCATGAGCACGGGTGACCTTGCTGACTCACCTTTCTCTCCTCTTACCAAATGTGAGCACTGGGTAACATTTCCTCTGCAACTCCCTCTCTCCCAGGAGGGTGGCTCCAAGTGTCCCCAACCGCCCATCTCACTCCACCTGGCACACCCTGGGACCACCACTGCCTGTTCCCAAGTCACACACGCATACCCCTGCCCCGGCTCACATGCAGGACAGCTCATTCTCTACGAGCCAGCTGCCTCTGCAAGCGCCCCACACTCCTGCGGTCTCTCAGTCTGTCCTCATTTTTTTTACGGCTGTCACTGGTGCTCCCCCCTGATAAGCTGTGGGCTCATGGTGCTCACAGTGATGACTGCAAGGTTCTCTGCCTCCATCCAGAGGCTTCCCTACTCTTCAAAGCCAGATTCATTCTCCTAAAATACCATCGATCATTATGTTACTCAGTGGCTCACGCCTGTAATCCGAACACTTTGGGAGGCCGAGGCAGGCAGATCACCTGAGGTCAGGAGTTCGAGATCAGCCTGGCCAACATGGTGAAACCCCATCTCTACTAAAAATACAAAAATTAGCCAGGCGTGGTGGCACGCACCTGTAATCCCAGCTGTTTGGGAGGCTGAGGGAGGAGAATTGCTTGAACTCGGAAGGTGGAGGTTGCAGTGAGCCAAGATCAAGCCACTGCACTTCAGCCTGGGGGAGAGGGCAAGACTCCATCTCAAAAAAAAAAAAAAAAAAAAAAAAGGAGTTAGAGACCAGCCTGGCCAACGTGGTGAAACCCCATCTCTACTAAAAGTACAAAAATTAGCCGGGCATGGTGGCAGGTGCCTGTAATAGCAGCTACTCGGAAAGCTGTTTATTTGAACCCTGGAGGTGGAGGTTGCAGTGAGCCGAGATTGTGCCACTGCACCCCAGCCTGGGTGACAGAATGAGACTCTGTCTCAAAAAACAAAAAAACAAAACAAAACAACAACAACAAAAAACCCACCTTAATTCAACACTGGCCATAGGACAAAATTTTAAAAGTCTTTGAGCTTAACATTCAAGACTTTCCAAAACTGACCAGTTTACTCTCCCTCAACACAGGGTAGACTGCCTCAAGTCCATCTGCCAGGCCACTTCCACGTCACACCCCAGTTTCATCCTGAGCCTGGGGCACACCCCTCCTCTTCCGTGGAACTCTGCCTGGTGCAGGGCTTCCCCTTCCTTTGAATGCCCAAGTTCTTGAATTGCTACTTGCCTTTAGGGATTAAATCAGAAGCCCTATGGAATGCTAAGAAAACGCACTGTGTGCGCTCCCCCTATGCTGACTGAGGAAGCACTTCCAGCTCTACGCCTGTTACAGTTATTTTATTTTATTTATTATTATTATTTTTTTTTTTTTTGAGACAGAGACTTACTCTGCTGCCCAGGCTGGAATGCAGTGGCACGATCTCGGCTCACCATAACCTCTGCCTCCCGGGTTCAAGCGATTCTCCTGCCTCAGCCTCCCAAGTAGCTGAGACTTCAAGTACGAGCCACCATGCCTGGCTAATCTTTGTATTTTTAGTAGAGATGGGGTTTCACTATGTTAGCCAGGCTGGTCTCAAACTCCTGACCTTGTGATCTGCCTGCCTCGGCCTCCCAAAGTGCTGGGATTACAGGCGTGAGCCACCGCACCCGGCTGTTACAGATATTTTACACCCATCACCTGTATCTAGCACAGAGCACCTCTAACTCATGTGATGAAACTTTTGTAAACAGGAAGGTTGTGAGCTTTTTAACAAACTTGATTGGTATAGTTCATGGGTAGACACCTCGCTGCTGGCTGCCTGTGCAAGCAAAGCATTCGTGAGCTGCCATCTCAAACTCACCCAGCACCATGGACCTCCATGCAGAGGGCAGGTGGCAGGGGACGGTGGCAGGAAGAAGGAGGAGAGGGAGGAGAGGCATGGGAGGGGCCATGACACCAAGAGAGCACAAATGTGGTGGGCCCCAGGGCTGAGTGGATACACTTTCTTTGCTTCTAGTTCTTGCCCAAACAGAGAAATCCCTGGCCTCAAATTCATTTTATCAGCCTTTCCACTTGAGTTATGTTCAGTTTCCTTACCACCAATCACTCGTTCAATTGCCTGTTCAAAGTGTTTCTGATTTATGGAATCTGACAGATGCCTTGCAGCAATCAACGCAGCTTCATTACAGACATTAGCAACATCAGCACCTAAAAAATGAACACAGAACAGCTTACCCACCGAAATACGCCCAAACTGATCAGTCACACAATATGGACAGCCAAATCCATAGTTAATTTTTAAATCAGCAGTACAATGAATAAAGGTTTTGTGTAAATATAATTCTGTTTTGACTCATGATAACCCTAAGCTATTCTAGCGTTTAATGTAAGCCTGGTATAATTCTGGCCCTCTGAACTAAGATGAAAGTATTAGTAGTCAATAGATAATTACAGGCAACTATTTACCTTAATAGACAATATAGCTCACATAATAGCAAACTAAGACAGCATCTAAAAATGCTCATTTAAATAACTTAGTTCTATCACCTGTGTTGGAAAAATGGCTTGCATAGATATTAGGTGAAGTACTGATATATGATGAAAAATCTAATTTTTATAATCACCTAGTACATTCAGTGAAACAACTAAATTTAAATATAGCTAAAAGCTTGTCAAATGCTTTTTAGATCCATCTCTTTAAACTAACTTTTCAGTTAAGTATATGGTAGCATAAATAAGCTACAGCATACCATCTGTGTTAAATAAACAAATATTAAAACATTATAAATTTCAAAGTCCAAAGACAAGTAAAAAGTTAGGATCCCTGGAACAAGATGATCATCTTCTGACCACACTATTGTATATAATCTTTTCATACTTCTCAAACTGTTCTTTTTTTATTTCATTTTGCGTTCAGAAGGAGAGAAATAGGGAATGGGAAAGGATCATATTTTACATTAAAAAATTATTGGAATAAGCACATGAAAAGATGCTCAACATCACTAGTCATTAGAGAAGTGCAAATCAAAACAACAGTGAGATGCCAAATCACACCAGCTAGGATGGCTGTAATAAAAAGACAGTGACGAGTGCTGGCAAGGATGTGGAGAAACTGGGACCCTCACAGGTTACTGGTGGGAATGTAAAATGGCACAGGTAATTAAAACAACCTGGCAGTTCCTCAAAAAGTTAGAGTTACCATATCACCCAGCAATTCCACTCCTAGGTATATACCAAGAGAAACACTATGACCACAAAAAATCTGTACACCGATGTTCATGGCAGCATTATTCATAATAGCCAAAAAGTGGAAACAGCCCAAATGGCCATCAACTGATGGGTGGATCAACAAGATGTGGAACAGCCAAACAATGGCACATTTACTTGGCCACAAAAAGGAATGAAGTTCTGATGCCTGCCACAATTTGAATCAATCCTGTTCATTATGTTAAGTGAACATAAACCAGGCACAAAAGACCACATGTTTTTATTTTTATTTTTTTGAGGTGGAGTTTTGCTCTTGTCACCCAGGCTGGAGTGCAATGGCGTGATCTCAGCTCACTGCAACCTCCACCTCCCAGGTTCAAGCGATTCTCCTGCTTCAGCCTCCCGAGTAGCTGGGATTACAGCACCCCCACCACCACGCCCGGCAATTTTTGTATTTTTAGTAGAGACAGGGTTTCGCCTCATTGGCCAGGCTGGTCTTGAACTCCTGACGTCAGGTGATCCACCTGCCTTGGTATCCCAAAGTGCTGGGATTACAGGTGTGAGCCACCGTACCTGGCCAAAACCACGTTTTTATATAATATGTACAGAATAAAAAAACCTAGAGAGACAGAAAGTTTGATTGTCTTGAGATGGAATCTTGCTCTCTCATCTGGGCTGGAGTGCAGTGGGGTGATTTAGGCTCACTGCAACCTCACCTCCTGGGTTCAAGCCATTCTCCTGCCTCAGCCTCCCGAACAGCTGGGATTACAGGCATGCACCACCATGCCCGGCTAATTTCTGTATTTTTAGTAGAGACAGGGTTTTGCCATGTTAGCCAGGCTGGTCTCGAACTCCTGACCTCAGGTGATCCACCTGCCTCAGACTCCCAAAGTGCTGGTATTACAGGTGTGAGCCACCGTGCCCAGCCCAAAATGTTTTAAAATTATAGTGATGGTTGTACAACCCTGTAAATATACTAGAAACCATTAATTGTACACTTTATACGGGTGATTTTTAGTTAACTTTATTTCAATAGAGCTTTTAAAAAAACGCTTAGGAATAATTCCTACAATATTTATAGAAAAAAATGATACACTGTCAAGAATTTTTCACAAAATACTCCCGAGGAAGCAGAAAGAGAAGAGGGTATAGATAAAAGTAAGGTCAGATGTGAATTAGTAATTGTTCCTGAAACTAGGTGACAGGTACAGATGGGTTCATTACACCATTTCCTCAAAATCTGTGTATGTTTGAAATTTCCCATAATAACAAAGTAAAAATAGTCGGGCACAGTGGCTCATGCCTATAATCCCAGCACTTTGGGAGGCCAAGGCAGGAGGATCACTTACAGCCAGGAGTTTCGGGCCAGCCTGTGCAACATAATAAGTAAGACCCTGTCTCCACAAAATCAAAAAATTAGCTGGGCATGGTGGTACATGCCTGTAGTCCCAGCTACAAACAAGGCTGAGACAGGAGGATCACTTGAGCCCAGAAGGTTGAGGCTACAGTGAGCTATGATTACACCACTCAGTCCATCCTGTGCAATTAAGTGAGACCCTGTCTCAAAAAAAATAAAAATGAGAATATAAACTTAGGAAGCCCACAGTAAAGAAGTGAAAAGGTAAGAAAGTAAACCGGTACCTGGTAACTGTTACTGATTTTAATATGCTTCTAAATAGGGTCCTCGTTATTTTCCACTCACCTGAAAACCCTGGAGTTAAAGATGCCAGTTTTCTTGCCAATTTATCCTTCTCCAGGGTACTGTCCAGTTTTAGCGGTCGGAGATGAACTTTGAAAATAGAAGCTCTTCCTTTTATGTCTGGTGGTCCTTTAGAAATCATTTTTAAGGAAAAGAAAATCATATTGAAACAGTCACACCTACACTCATGAGCACTGGACCTGCCCCAGCAAACATCATCTCACCAATAAAGATCTGCCTGTCGAAACGCCCCGGCCTAAGCAGCGCGGGGTCCAGGATATCTGGTCGATTGGTGCCGGCCAAAATGACGACATTTGTTGTTGTATTAAAACCTGAAAGATAACAAAAATGCAAACACTATTAAATGACAAGAGGCAGAAAGCAACAGTGCACCATCAGGAACATATGAGCACTGCAAATTCATAGCTACAGTAAACACATTTTCTATTCATTATCTAGTGTTTTTTGTTTTTTTTTTTTTTGAGACGGAGTTTCACTCCTGTTGTCCAGGCAGGAGTGCAATGGCGTGATCTCAGCTCACTGCAACCTCCGCTTCCCAGGTTCAAGCAATTCTCCTGCCTCAGCCTCCCGAGTAGCTGGGATTACAGGCATGCCCCACCACACCTGGCTAATTTTTGTATTTTTAGTAGAGATAGGGTTTCTCCATGTTGGTCAGGCTGGTCTCGAACACCTAACCTCAGGTGATCCACCCGCCTGGGCCTCCCAAAGTGCTGGGATTACAGGCGTGAACCACCGCCCCTGGCCTATCCAGTGTTTTTTAAGTTACAAACTTGAATTATTTTTTTACTATTCAGCTCGTCCTTGAAAATAATCATATATTAGACTTAAAAGTTTTACGAGTAAATTTCCTAAAGACAAATGACCAAATATTTAAATTTAACTAGAAATTTAACAGATAATGTCAATTTTAAAAATGTCTTAAAATCAGATTAAATTGGCAAAGGATGTGTCTGACACCCTGGGCCACAGGACAACCAACTGCCTATCTGAAGGCAGAGATCAACCTCTACCTCCCACCTCTTCTCCACACTCAAATGGCTCAGTGTTACTGCCCATTTCTCAGTGTAAATGCCATGGTCCCAGGCCCTTCACCCTCAGGACCCTGGCACGGCAGGAGCTCCTGGGTGAATTTCCCTCAGATGTGGTGCTCCAATGTGAACGCAACAGGGGCTGACCATCGCGGGACGGAGGAGGCTTTCTACCTCCTTATTCTGCCCCTATGCCTGGCTTCATCATTGAAGCCAGTTCAGTACTGGCACTGTGCTTCCCCTTTCTGCACAAACAACCAAGCATCCACATTTTTATCTTCCAGCAGGAAGAACACATGACATCCTGAGAAGTGGCTTTCCTAAATGAAATAAAAGCTGGCTAGCATGGAAAGACTGCTACTCTCTTAGTAAAAAAGTATTCAAAATTTGCTAAATTCACACTTGGTTAGGCTTAGATTTTCCTTATGCTTCAGAGATGGTGATGATTTAGAGAATGAGATGGTAATTCTTTTGTGACTCATTTCACCAATTCTTCTCTTATTCAAACACCAGACACAAACAGCATGTTAACACCGATATTAAGTTATGCAGGCTGCCAGGAAAAAATATTTTGCTATTATTTGTATTAGTATAAAAGGGCCTTTTAAAAGAGCTGTTTGTTTTAGGGAATGCTTTTTTTTGTTTGTGATACTCAATATTGGAATAAGGACTCTCATTTTGGGGACATGAAAGGCATAAAAAGTGCAGCTTAAACTCAGGAGACTGAGGCAGGAGGATCGCTTGAACCCAGGGGTCAGAGGATGCAGTGAGCCGAAATCACACCACTCACTTCAGCCTGGACGACAGAGTCAGACTCCATCTCAAAAAAAAAAACAAAAGTGCAGTTAAAGATACAAAAGCCTTGACCACTCACCATCCATCTCCACCAGCAGCTGGTTGAGTGTGTTCTCCTGCTCACTCTGCCCTCCAAAGTTGCCTCTTCCTCTCTTCCTTCCCACCGCATCGATTTCATCGATGAAGAGGATGCAAGGGGCATTCTTCCGAGCAAGGGCAAATAAGTCTCGGACCTTGGCAAAAACAGAAAGAGAGTCACCTGACCAGAGAATATTATGTATTCTCTGAATAAGAAATGAAATAAATCGGCCGGGCACAGTGGCTCATGCCTGTAATCCCAGCACTGTGGGAGGCCGAGGCTGGTGGATCACCTGAGGTCAGGAGTTCGAGACCAGCCTGACCAACATGGAGAAACCCCATCTCTACTAAAAATACAAAATTAGGCAGGCATGGTGGCGCGTGCCTGTGATCCCAGCTACTCAGGAGGCTGAGGCAGGAGAATCGCTTGAACCTGGGAGGCAGAGGTTGCAGTGAGCTGAGACTGAGCCATTGCACTCCTGCCTGGGCAACAAGAGCGAAATTCTGTCTCAAAAAAAAAAAAAAAAAAAAAAAATGAAATAAATCTTCAGCTTCCCGTCCCATGTGCAGACAATCTTTTTGTGATACACACTGTAAGGTACATTTTTTAAAAGAGTTACAAGTAGCAAAGCAGCAGCAAATGAGGAGTAACCTGGGTAACCGACTTAAGGTGAGCAAATCTTTCTCAGATCCCATAAATTACTGTATATGTAATAAACACTGATAATATCTGCTATTTTTGTAACATCAACAAATTAACATTACATATATACCTAAACAAAGACAACACAGTAGAGCTGTAAACTTTACATTCAGTTGAAAAGTTCAGACTTCTCTAGAGTTCACATTTCATGCCTAACACAGTTATTAACAAGCTGAGGCTACTAAGGAGTCTATGCAATCACACATATACAGTGAAGCCAAAGACCATCCAAGCCCATCAGCTCATCCCCAAAGAGGGGGTGACAGCCTTCGTCTGCCACCCACCCCACCACAGACCATCCTGATAGCACATACCCTCAGACAAACCTGCAGTCAGGAAGAGGAGGAAGAGCCACTCAGCACCTCACCATCAGTCACCTGCCCCTTCAAGGAGAATCAGAGACAACTCTCCACCTGCCCACTCCCACCCCCCCCCCCCCACTTCACTGGACAGAAGTCCAGGTCTTCCTGCCTGGATTTCTGGATGTTCATTCCTACACTGCTCTGAACACATCCCCTAAAATAACTGGTATCCTTCTCCAGCCTCCCCTCTGAATTCCAGATCTGTGACCTACAGACCCACACCTTCATAGTACATCCATCCCATCCCGGCATGAACAGGAACTCAGCCATTCCAGCAAGCCTTAAGCAGGAGTCTGCATCTTCCCCTACAGGCTAACTGGAGCTGGGGTCCACCTCACACCCCACTGCTGCTGCCAAAATAACTGCTGGAAAAGCCCCTGCTTGCTGAGGCTCAGGCCTTGTGGCAGGCACTCCACCCCACTGTGCCATGGGTCTCCCCCAGCCTGACTGCCACTAGGCATGATGTCCTCAGTGATTTCCATCCATGTGGCTCTCGGTCTCTCAGTTCCCTGACCACCCCTTCATTCACCTTTTACTTCACTCTGACAAGACCAGCACTGCCAAGGTTGCCTTTTAAACCACCATCTTCAAGTCATCTACTCTCTGAGCACCCCCTCCTATCATCTGGACCCACAGACACACTCAGGTATCTCACGCCAACTCTTTACCACTTCTCAGCTCTGCAACCCACCAGGCCCACCCTTCCCCACCACCCCCCACAGCTCCTCTCCTGTCTTCAATTTCCCCCCATCCACTTTATATCTCATGGCCCATCATCATTAACACCCAACTCCCCCTCATTCCCTATTTTTCTATGACTTATCTGCACAACAACAGCAAAGTGTGAAATAGATGTGAAGGTGAGGCCGGACAAGGTGGCTCACGCCTGTAATCCCAGCACTTTAGGAGGGCAAGGCAGGGGGTGCATCACCTGAAGTGAGGAGTTCAATACCAGCCTGGCCAACATAGTGAAACCCCATCTCTACTAAAAATACAAAAATTAGCTGGGCATGGTGGTGGGTGCCTGCAATCCCAGCTACTAGGGAGGCTGAGGCAGAATCACTTGAACCCGGGAGGCAGAGGTTATGCCGCTGCACTCCAGCCTGGGCGACAGAGCAAGACTCCATCTCAAAAAAAATTAAAAAAAAAAAAAAAGAACTCTTACAATTCAACAACCAAAAAAACCCAATTAAAAAATGAGCAAAGGATCTGAATAGACAACTCTCCAAGGAAGATATACAAATATACAAATGGCCAATAAGCATATACAAGATGTTCAACATCACTCCTCATCATGGAAATGCAAATCAAAACCACGAGATACTACATCACACCCACTAAGGTGGCTATCATCAAAGTGTTGGTAAGGGCGGGGAAACATCAGAACCCCTTACACATTGCTGGTAGGGATGGAAAATGGGCAAGTAGTTTGGAAAACAGTCTGGTGGTTCCTTAAAATGTTAAACATGGAGTTACCATTCAAAAACATGTTAAGTGAAAGAAATCAGGCATAAAAAAACCACATATTGTATAATTTCATTTACATGGAATGTCTGTACTAGGAAATTCCTTTGGGTAGTTTGCTTAGGACTCCCGATTTACATATTTTTTTTTTTTTTGAGACGAGTCTCACTCTGTCACCCAAGCTGGAGTGCAGTGGCGTGATCTCAGCTCACTGCAAGCTCTGCCTCCCAGGTTCACGCCATTCTCCTGCCTCAGCCTCCCAAGTAGCTGGGACTACAGGCGCCCGCCACCACGCATGGCTAATTTTGGTTTTGTTTTTTTAGTAGAGATGGTGTTTCACCATGTTAGCCAGGATGGTCTCGATCTCCAGACCTCCTGATCCGCCTGCCTTGGCCTCCCAAAGTGCTGGGATATCAAGTGTGAGCCACCACGCCCGGCCACGATTTCTTCTTGATGTAATGGAAATGTTGTAAAACTGATTGTGGTGATGGTTGCACAAATCTGTGAATTACTAAAAGCTACTGAACTGTATACTTTACAGGGATCAATTGTTTGGTATGTCAATTATATCTCAATAAATGTTGTCACCAAAAAAAAAAAAAATCCACAAATAAAGCAAAATTTTTTTTTTTTTTTTGAGACAGCGTCTCACTCTGTTGCCCAGGCTGGAATGCAGTGGTGTCATCTTGGTTCACTGCAACTTCTGCCGCCTGGGTTCAAGAGATTCTCCTGCCTCAGCCTCCGAAATAGCTGGGATTATAGGCATGCGCGACCACGCCTGGCTAATTTTTCTATTTTTAGTACAGACAGGGTTTCGCCATGTTGGCCAGGCTGGTCTCGAACTCCTGACTTCAAGCGTTCCACCCACTTCAGCCTTCCAAAGTGCTGGAATTACAGGCATGAGCCACCGCGCCCAGCCGTCAATTCTTTAAATTGGTCTACTATAGGTAGCAGACTGCAGTCCTAGCTGGTGCGAGGGAAGGTGGGGTGGAAGTCACAGGCCTTGCTGAAGTCTTAGGCCTGGAGGAGAGCTCAGGCCAGGGACTGGTGAGAGGTCACTCTAGCACTCTAGGGGGAAGGGCCATCTCTAGCAAGTGCCTCCATCTGTGGTGAAGTGGTGGGTGCAAGGAAGCTGTACCATCCGAACAGAATGAGACTCACTCTAGCAGGGCCCACACCAACGAACATCTCCAAAAACTCAGATCCACTAACGGTGATGAAGGGGACATTGGCTTCTCCGGCTGTGGCCTTAGCTAGCAGCGTCTTCCCAGTGCCTGGAGGACCAGTGAGAATGGCACCCTTCAGATATGAAAAAAGAAATTACATTTAATGAGAATTCCAGAAAAGTAAATTGTGTATCCACAAATAATTACAAGATATAACTCTGTCTCTAAATCTTATTGATATATATTAAATATTACTTAAACATCTGAGCTATGGTAGAACATTTTTATATTAGTAAGAATAAAAAGATTATCAAAAATAATTTTGTTTCAAAAAATTTGGTAAGAATGTGAAATTTAAAATATTTCCTTTTTTTCCTAGGGCTGATTTTTAGACCTTTAGTCTAACAGTATGTAAAGGGTGACTTGGGCTAGGAATATACTAATAAATCTGCTAAGGTTTACTTAAATAATTTAAGAAGACACCAACACCACACTCCTGATTTATGTAATTCTTTTACTCTTTACAAGTAAAATTGGTTTTTGAGCTCAAATAATTAATAAACCCAACTTCTGACTTCTACTTTCATGTACAAATCAGTACATTTTTAGCATGGTTGGACGTGCAACTTAAAACCTAACTGTGAATTTGTTTTTATTTCCACTGACTACCCACAAACAGTATCCTCTCTTATTTATAGACATACTACCACACTACCATATCCAAATACTGTGAGGAGGTAGATAATATGGTCAAATGATATTTTTTCTAGGCTTTGTAATAAAACCTTAAGGTATTTTTAAAATTTTGCTTATTTTCTTCTTTAAAAGTTTCACAAATGAAGTAGAAATCTAACGACCAATGATGAACTTAACTTCAAAGAAAGATGTGTTTGCTCAAACAATACACTTTTTTTTTTTTGAGATAGAGTTTCACTCTTGTCCAGGCTGGAGTGCAATGGCACGATCTCGGCTCACTGCAACCTCCACCTCCCAGGTTGAAGCGATTCTCCTGCCTCAGCCTCTTGAGCAGCTGGGATTACAGGCGCACAACACCATGCCCAGCTAATTTTTTGTATTTTTAGTAGAGACAGGGATTCACCATGTTGGCCAGGCTGGTCTCGAACTCCTGACCTCAGGTGATCCACCCACCTCAGCCTCCCAAAGTGCTGGGATTACAGGAGTGAGCCACTGCGCCTGGCCCTACACAACTATTATATTAAGTTGTAGAGACAGTTAGGTGTAATGCAAACGGGTACTAAGTAAGTTATAAATTCATAAAATATGACTTTTTATCTATAGAAGTAAGACATAAAAATCAAGGAAATGATTATCTTTCAAAGGATTCCTTTAAAGTAAAATTTATTCATGGACTTTTAAAAGAATTATACCTTTTTATTCATTTACTTAATAGCTGATCCATTTAACAAATATGAAGTTAATGCTCCACGCCTAGCCCTAGGGGCACCAAGCCCTGTAGGGTACAGCCCACCACTAGCACAGTGGGCAAGAGCATATTTGCTGGAAAGGGGAAGGTGATGGTGAGTGCTGTGTCCTCTCCACTGGATCCTGTGCCGTGAACCTCAGCGCCAGCACAGGTGTCCTGTCCACATACATCCCTCGAAGGGACACTGGGTGACAGCAGAGTGTGACATTGTCAGTGAGCTACAGCGGGCCTACAGTTGCTGAGAGATAGGGCATCTAAATCAGATTGGAGGGAAAAGGAAGACGAATCAAGAAAATCTTCCAAGAGGAGGTGACACAGATATTTTCAGGAATACATACACTATACAAGACACATGCACACAGAACTGACCCAAAACGATCCTCGAGTTGGGCAGAGGCTAGCCTAGTAAGCTGAGAAAGAGGAAGGACAGAAAAACAGCTATCTATAATAAGTAATCAAACTTCACAGAATTATAACTTCAGAGATCAAGAAACATTTCAAAAAGTTAATCTTAAATTTCATTTTACCTTTGGGATTTTTGCTCCTAGGTCTTGATACTGCTTTGGGTTTTTCAAGAAATTCACAAATTCCATGATCTCTAGCTTGGCCTCCTCACAGCCAGCCACATCTTTGAACTTCACATCAATTTCATCCTTTAAGACCTTGGCAGTGGTTTCTCCGACACTGAAGAGTCCGCCCATCCCTCGGCCTGTCCGGCCAATGCCAGCAGGCCCTCTTCTGATGGTGTAGAGCAAGAAGGCGATGATGAGCACCGTAGGCAGCATGCTCAGCAGAAAAGAGCTGGGGACACACAGCGCAACACGGGTTAGGACTGGCTGCTCACCTCCAGCTTTCACATGTGGTGCAAGATATCAATATAAATATATATAGCTACACCAAGGTATACCTTCTGCACTTAATACAAAGGAGGGTAACTTGCAAGTGTTCTTCAAAGGCAACAGAATTCCCAAATAAGCTCCATGGCAACCAACTCTTCGAAATAAATGGAGCATCTGCCCAGACTTTAAGTGGGGTTACTAACATGGTCTTATTAAAGACAACCCCCAAAGAAGAAGTTCTGATGAGAGAAGAATCACCTAAAAATCCTGGAAAACTGTGAAATGTAAACATAAATGATAGTTCAAAGATGGGAATGGCACTCTTTGATACAAAGGGGTTCTTTATGCTAAAATCCTACCAAAGGTCAATGCATTGAATGTTAATACCCTAAACCACTGCTTCATCAAGATAAGTATAAATGTGTACAAAAGGAATGAATCAAAAATAAAAATAAAAATAAAAATAAAGATAAAAAGCCAGGTGTGGTGGCTCACAACTGTAATCCCAGCACTTTGGGAGGCGGAGGCAGGTGGATTACCTGAAGTCAGGAGTTCAAGACCAGCCTGGCCAACATAGTGAATCCCTGCCTCTACTAGAAATACAAAAATTAGCTGGGCATGGTGGTGGAAGCCTATAATCCCAGCTACTCTGGAGACTGAGGCAGGAGAATCGCGTGAACTGGGGTGGGGACAAAGGTTGCAGTGAGTCAAGATCATACGACTGCACTACAGCCTGGGCGACAGAGCGAAACCCCACCTCAAAAAAAAAAGAAAATGAATGAGTCATGCAAAAACTAGTGAGTTACTAATAGTTTTTTAAAAATCTGGCCAAACTGATAAAGGCCTGTTTGAGAATATAATGTATAGCCCTGCACCCAGGGACAGAACACAGTGAACCACAGGCAGCACAGTCAACAGTCTACAAAATATTATATTTGAGATTACCCATCACTTTCAGCAATGTAGACAACAGGCACCCGATTTTCTCCTTCTATGCCCAATTCCTGCTGTAAAGTTTCCAGATTCCGTTCAAAGGTGTCCACACTGCCAATATTAAACCAAACGTATTGCTATAAAAACAAAAAAACAAATATCCTAAGAATGTAGTGAAACTAAAAGGTTCAATTCACTAAACGGTTCAACTTTTTAAGAATTTTCCAGAAATACTGAAAATTTATAAATTAAAGAATAAACAATAATAAAAGACTGGCTTTAATAATGGTGGTGATTAAATGTCACTCATTGAGAACACTTGGCAATTCTTGGCAAATAAGCATTTCTTTAGCAGCAATATCTCAGTGGCTCTAAAATTATAAACTCAAAAAACAGAATGAAAAACCTATTTGAAAACGTAATCCTTTTTAAAATAAATATGCATTATTTCCCTCTTCCTCTATTTCCTAGGTATTTTAGCTCCCTATTCCCAAATTTAAAACTACTGTGAAACAGGGATAAGAGCTAAAGTTTACTGGGCATGTACTAAGTACCAGGCATTGTTCTGGGCCCTTCAGATGCATTAGTTCATTCAATCCTGAGGACCATCCTAAGAAGCAGGTGCCATCACTGGGGGTGATGTTCAAAATCCGAGCACCGCACCCCACTGTGCAACTGGAACAGATGCGCCTTGCTGTGCCAGGCACTCCCTCTTTATTCTCTAGAGCTGCAGAGACCCAGAGGGCCCAGCACAGGGACACCTCAGGGGCCAGGTCAAGGCTATTCTACCAATCAGCACATAATTATTTCCTATTGTACTCGTGTCTACTGACTGAATATGAGCCCTGACTCCTGTTTCCATTCTACAGATGACAAAACTTGCTCATGGTCACACATGAAATAAGAGGCTGGGATCTGAACCCAGACAGTCTGGCTCCTGAACCAGTGTCCTAACCACAATGTCACACTGCCTTTACACAACCATGAGGACACTGATTTTAACAGCTCACATTTATGGAGTTTACTAGCTAGAAGACCCCATTTCAAGCACTGTGCATGTATTAGCTCCATTTTATAGTACAAAAAAACTTTGTTTCTCCTCTAACCTGCAATCATCTTTTTTTAGAAAAGTATTTTTTAAATCAAAACAGTAAGTCTATCATATAAAACTCATTAGAGAGGCTGGGCACAGTGGCCAGTAATCCCAGCACTTTGGGAAGCCCAGGTGGCAGATCACCTGAGGTGAGGAGTTTGAGACCCCCCTGGCCACCATGGTCTCAAACTGTCTCTACTAAAACTACAAAAATTAGCTAGGCATGGTGGCACCCACCTATAGGCCCAGCTACTTGGGAGGCATGAACCTGGGAGGCACAGGTTGCAGTGAGCCAAGATTGTGCCACTGCATTCCAGTCTGGGCAACAGAGCGAGACTCCATTTCAAAATAAAAAACAAGGCCGGGTGCAGTGGCTCACGCCTGTAATTCCAACACTTTGGGAGGCCAAGGCGGGTGGATCACAAGGTCAGGAGCTCAAGATGAGCCTGGTCAAGATGGTGAAACCCCGTCTCTACTAAAAATACAAAAAATTAGCCAGGCATGGTGGCAGGCACCAGCAATCCCAGCTACTTGGGAGGCTGAGGCAGAGAACTTCTTGAACCTGGGAGGCGGAAGTTGCAGTGAGCCAAGATCGCGCCACTGCACTCCAGCCTGGGCGACAAAGTCAGACTCAGTCTCAAAAAACAAACAAAAAAACAAAACCTCATAGAGAGCAACAAGTCATCGCATATCCTTCCAACCAGTGTTACTGAGTGAGGAACATTACTTTGGTATTTCTCTCCAAGTATCTAAAAATAAAAGATGAAGAGTAAGTTTTATATTATATAACAACATAACAGTATTTGGTAAATTATTCACCAACAAAGATACAAAATTCACATGGTTACAAAGCCCCAAAACCTGCTCAGAATAGATTAACCACAGAGGATGGAACATTCCCCAACTCAGCCCCTGCTATCAACTGGGCAATGGGCCAAACGCCTGGCTCCCATCACAGAAGCAGTGTGAACCCAGGACCAGCAGCATAGTGCCACCCAGCAGCATGTTAGAAATGCAGATTCTCAGAACACAATCTAGATAAGAACCTCTGTGGGGATGGGGTCCCAGGACTCAAGTTTTAATAGCTTTCTAGACAATTTTTATGCACACTAAAATTTGAAAACCACGACTGACTCACCCTATCTCATTTAAGCATTAAGCCCTTCTCTACTGTCACAGAGAAGGTAAGCCATCTACTAGTCAAGAGTAGAACTGATGTAAGGCTAAAGGCTGTGTGTGTGCAGCACTGCACAGTGATTAATACTGCTGCTCCATTCACAGCAAGACACTGAAAATCTGTTTCTGAAAGCTCAAAACAAGAAGTCTTTAGTAAGCAGGTAATATACATTCGCTGTAAAAACTTGGGATATGCACATACAGAAAGCAAAGACATCCATAACCCCAACATTCAGACACAAACAACATCAGCATTTCAGGCCTGTCCCTCAAGACTGTATAATGCCACCTTTACAATCTTGAAATACAATTTTGAAAAGAAATCAATATAAACCTTAACTGTAATATAAAAGAGAAATACAAAGAAAGCACTTTATATACAATGGTATGAATTTCAACACATAAATGCTTGTGCATGCCAACACTGGAAAACAAGTTCCCGCCAATGTCAAAATCACCCGTAGGGACGGCACTGCCCCCAAGGACAACTGCTCAGCCGGAAACAGAACAGGGAACAAGGATTCCCTGTTAACCCTGTGCCTGACATGGGCCGCTGGGCTATTTCTCATTTTTTGCTACGTATAGACAATGTGTGAGAGGACGTCCTTGCAGAGACATCCCACACACATCCCTACTTTCTCCCTAGGCTTCCCTCCTAGAAGCAGAGGGATGGGTGTGTGTGTGCTTCCCACAGTGCTGGAACACACGTTGCCTACCGGCCTCATGAGAAAGTGCCAACTTAATTCCCAGCACTAAAGTCTGAGGATAAAGCACGGTTATTAATAGGCATTGCATCACTAGGTAGAGGGAATGGGAAATCAAGACAATTAAAATACCTTCCCAAACACAGGGCAACACCAGAGCCCTGTGACTTTACAGACATTCTGCTATTTGCTGACATGCAATTAAACAGAGAGATATGGTCACCATCACTTCTAGTTGTCCTTAAATGTTGCCCTGTCCAGGCGGGATGGCTAGAAAATGGTTAAACACAATTATCCTAAGGGAGCCTAGCAAGTCCTGGGAGCCTCAGCTTCACCTCTCTCCCCTCCCCTCCAGAATTCCCTCAATGCATTCAGCTTGCTCTGGGGTCTCTGGAAGTATATTCCAGACTGGTTGGAGAGGAACTACAAATTATTTTTAAAATAGGAAATCAAATGGAAATTAAAACAATATAATATCACAAAATGGTTGGGAGATGGTGGGGATGCTTTTAAACTAATTTGATAAAAGCTGTCTCAAAACATAGGCAATTGAGATTTTAATTTTTTTTCCTAATCAAATAACTACTTCTCAGTCTTGAAAAGTCACAGACTATTCTGGAATACTGAAAACTGGGATTTCACTCACTGTCTTCTTAATGTAGTCAAAATGATTATCAGAAACAAAACAAAACAATGACCCAATCCCTATATCAATAATCCATACACAACATTCCCATTTCCACTGATGTTAGTAAGATCACCCCTGCCACACTGCCCAGTTCTGATATATCTGGTGCGTATAACTCCTAGAGTATGAGGCAGGTTTTCCTTTCAGCTTTAAATCTGAAAAAGTTAATTTACAACTAATTCACATCAATTAATAAAATGATTTACCCCATCAACAGGAGTTTTTCCTGGTGTAAAGGTCACTCGAACAAAACGCTTGTTGACGACTTCCAATCTGTCTACCTAGAATTTTAAAAATAAATTCACACATAAATTCACAGAAAATACTTGAGATACTCTTTTAAGCTCATTTAAAATGCATATGATGTTTCAGCCACACAAGGAAAGAATAAAGAATCAGATAAAGATGCCCCCATGTTCCCCCCTATAATTCTGCAGAAGCTCCCAGGCACATCCCCTCCCAAAGGGGGCTATGCTCTCATTTAGGGGCTGCATTGCCCAAACCACATCCTTACACTTGCACTACACATGAAGGTAACCCTACACGATATGCACATTCCCTTCTGCCTGTTTTTAACTTTAAAAATGGTCTTGTTTTATATATAAGTATTCTTCTACAACTTTCTTTTTCCCTCCAACATTGCATTTGTGAGGTTTACGCAAGCTGACACTTCCGTGCTGCAGGGTACGCCATGCTATGACCACACCCAAGGTACTGATCCATCCTCCTGTTAACAGACAGCTAGCCTGTTACACATTTCTCACAAGCAATGCTGTTACGAACATTCCCATATCTACCTTTGTGGGCACATCTTAAAAAACTTCTCCAGGAAACACACCTGTAGATAGACACACTAAGGCTGTGTTGCAGGGTATACATACCTTTGACTTTACTAGATATTGCCAAATTGCTCTCCAAAATGGCTCCCCAATTCACACTGCCATGAGCAAAACATTATTATTGCTCTATAGGACATAGCCTATCGCTCTATAGGACATACCAACATTTGGTAGTATAAGACTTCTTAATTTTTGTCACTCTATAAATATAAAATAGTTTAAGCTTTTTTTTAAATTGAATCACCTAGTTATATAGGATCCTTTTTTTATTTGTTTTTAGACAGGATTTCACTCAGGCTGGAGTGCAGTGGTACAATCATAGCTCACTGCAGCCTCAACTTCTCTGGGCACAAGAGATCCTCCCACCTCAGCTTCCTGAGTAGCTGGGACTAAGAATGCAAGCCACCACAGATGGCCAATTTTTTTACATTTCTTTGTAGAGATGGGGTCTCCCTACATTCCCCAGGCTGGTCTCGAACTCCTAGATTCAAGTGATCCTCCCACCTCAGCCTCCCAAAGTGCACAGATTACAGGTGTGAGCCACCACGGCCAGCCTACATAGGATTCTTAGTAACACTGTTAAAACACCACATCCCAAGGACTGTAACTGGTTTAGGAGCATGAGCGCTCTGGGATGTGCTTATTTCTAACTGCTTGCTTTGTCAGCAAGTCTGGAAGGCAAGAATGACAAACAAAAAGCAAAGGAGCCCCAGAGCAATCCCAGAGGGGCTGGAATCGGGGAGCAACTGTTCTTAAAGGCAGTCTCTGTCAGAGAGGAATGACTGGCACTGCTCCACCCCACAGACACCCGCTGGGGAGACAGCAGACTAATGCCAAAGAGCCAGAGGGTCAGGAGGAGCTGCAGCTATGGAGAAGCCACCTCGAGGACCTGCCATCCCAATCAGAAGGACGGCTGCAGCCCAGTCCACACGCAATGACCACTGCTTCTGAGCAGCTTCTGAGTGGGAGTCCCCACTACATCTGAGAATTACACATATAAGATCCTCACTTTCATAAGATAAACATGTTTCAAAAATCCAACTAGATAAAAGGACTCTGGAAGATGGTGGCATAAGGAAGCACCAGGAACCCATCTCCCTACGCACAGGACAATGGTACAGGCAGGATCTGTCCGATGTAAGCATTTTGGAATTCTGGAGTCCACTGAAGGTTTCCAACTTCCAGGGGAAACATAAACTGAAGTTAATCTCAGTCAACTTCAGCTCTTAGCACAGTAGCAGCTGCTCATTTGAGTAGATAACCATTTCTTACATCCTTACCTTCCTGCACAACCTTCAGAACGAATTCAAATTCTTTACACTACCTCAGTAAGTATTCATGTCGTCTTACTTTATCCATTTCATGGATGAAAACCCAAGTATTAAGAGGTTAAGGGGTTTCCCCAAGGCTACACAGCAGGCCTAATTCTGGTGTCTATCACTACACTGCATCAATTCTTTTTTTTTTTTTTTTTTTTTGAGATGGAGTCTCGCTCTGTCGCCCAGGCTGGAGTGCAGTGGTGCAATCTCGGCTCACTGCAAGCTCCGCCTCCCGGGTTCACGCCATTCTCCTGCCTCAGACTCCCAAATAGCTGGGACTACAGGCACGTGCCACCACACCCGGCTAATTTTTTGTATTTTTTAGTAGATTCGGGGGTTTCACCATGTTAGCCAGGATGGTCTCAATCTCCTGACCTCGTGATTCACCCGCCTCGGCCTCCCAAAGTGCTGGGATTACAGGCGTGACCCACTACGCCCGGCCACTGCATCAATTCTAAGACACACATTTTTCATATTTTAACATCAGAAATGGAGATCCATTTTACAATTGATGGCATGTCATAATTTCATCAGCATCTTATTAGATTTGTCTTAGCAACTTATAAAATACCATGTGTCTTACAATCAATAGCATCTTAAATATGCTGAAATATGGTCTTACTTATTTCCCATTGGTTGTGGTGAATATAGTCACACATGGGCAAGCCCAGCAGACAGTAACAAAGGCTGCTCCGCAGACAGAGAAATGGCAGGGACCACGCACCCACTTGGCCCTCCCTTAGAGCCCCATCTGCTCTGACAACACACGCTGATTAGCTGCCACGCCCACAGGTGACTAAATGTAGTAAAGACCCACAGAGGGCCCAAAGAGGCTGGCACACAACAGCACAAAGCAGGGGCAGACGCTGGCACATGATAGCACAGAGCAGGGGCAGAGGCTGGCACACGACAGCACAGAGCAGGGGCAGCTGAGGGCACGTGAGAAAAGGGCGCAAGCAGAGGACTGCCAAGACCATGGTCAGAAGCAGTGGTTCCAAAACCCAGTTCTGGGAGGTAGTGAAATAAAAGAATTTGTGGGTAAATTT
The DNA here is from genome assembly GCF_000001405.40 of Homo sapiens. Classification (NCBI taxonomy): domain Eukaryota; kingdom Metazoa; phylum Chordata; class Mammalia; order Primates; family Hominidae; genus Homo; species Homo sapiens. The sequence goes on from NC_000018.10 coordinate 12,366,780, forward strand.
GAGGACACCAGGTCAAAACACGGGTTCTCTAGTTGCAGTACTTCTCAGCATTAGAAAAATCTGAGTGAAAATAACAATTTTACAATGGACGAGCCAGGTTAACCTGCTGACTGTCACTTCTTTGGTCTAATCTGATGAATTTCACCTTTGAACCACAACAGCCACCAATCCCATAAAATACTTACTACTCCTTTTGAAAGATAGTTATTGACAAAGTCCTTCCAAGTGATTTCTCTCCCGGATCTCTTGAGCAGCAAGTAAAACATGACTCCACCCCAGAACAGAGCAGTCCAGAGGAAGAACATCCTGAAATCCTTGTCGTCCCATGGAATGTCACCCTGGGCAGAGAGGGAGACAGCTTCTGTGAAGAATGAAATTCCACAATACGATCTATGCTCTGTGAGACACAAATCCCTCCAACACTACACTAATGCCTCCCAACCTTCTCTGGGCCACCATCATAACCTCAAAATTCACACAATGTATAGCATCAAACCTTCTGAAACCTGGACCACCAGTGAGAATCATCTTTCTTGCCACCTCGTTTTCCACCGCCACCACCTCCTCCTCCAGAAGAGCGTGTGGTAGCAGCTGGCTTTGATTCTGTTCATAAACAAAGAGCACACACAGAAGCACGGCAAGGTTTTAGCTCTCTCAGCAATGTCTTCATGTATACGGTTTAATAAAAGACTCATTGCAGAATACACTGTGGCAACTGATCAGTTACTAAGTGAAGCACTATGAGAAAGAATACAAATACAAAGCTTACCAATCAGGGAGGCTCCCAAGGGCTATACTTGCATCATCTCATGAAATATGCACAATAACCCAATAACCCAAGAAATTATAGGACTGTTATACCCTTCACAGAGGGAGAAAGTATAGCTTAAGTAACTTGTTGGATGGGTGGCAGTGTTAGGGGACAGTGAATAAGTCACAGAGTTGGGATGCAAATTCCTCAGTCCCCACTCAAAGTTTAAAGTGTGTTCTGGCCACGCACGGTGGCTCATGCCTGTAATACCAGAATTTCGGGGGGCCAAAGCAGGAGAATCCCTTGAGCCCAGGAGTTCAAGACCAGACTGAGCAACAAAGCAAGACCCTGCCTCTGGCCGGGCGCGGTGGTTCACGCCTGTAATCCCAGCACTTTGGGAGGCCAAGGTGGGCGATCACCTGAGGTCGGGAGTTTGAGACCAGCCTGTTCAACATGGAGAAACCCTGTCTCTACTAAAAATACAAAATTAGCTGGGCATGGTGGCGCATGCCTGTAATCCCAGCTACTAGGGAGGCTGAGGCAGGAGAATCGCTTCAACCTGGGAGGCGGAAGTTGTGGTGAGCCAAGATCACGCCATTGCACTCCAGCCTGGGCAACAAGCGTGAAACTCCGTCTCAAAAAAAAATAAAAAATAAAAAATAAAAAAATAAAATAAAAATTAGCCAGGCATCGTAGTGTGCACCTGTGGTCCCAGCTACACAGGAGGCTGAGGCAGGAGAATCGCTTGAGTCCTAGAGTTTGAGCCTGTAGTGAGCTGTGATTGTACCACTGCACTCCAGCCTGGGCAACAGGAAGACCTTATCTCAAAAACAACAGCAACAACAAAACAAAACAAAAGTAAGTACTCCCTTTCCCACTCCCACAAAGTATACATTGTTAACACTTTCTTGTGCAGGAAAGCCCATGGTTTTGACAAATGGCTAAAAAAACACACCCACAGTTGGTATTCAGCTGGCATCTTTGCTTTGTAGGGAAATGTATGTAAGGAAAACTGTAAATCAGTCCTTGTTGTTGTTTTAGACGGAGTTTCACTCTGTCTCCCAGAGTGGAGTACAATGGCGTGATCTCAGCTCACTGCAACCTCTGCCTCCCAGGCTGGAGTACAATGGCGTGATCTCAGCTCACTGCAACCTCTGCCTTCCAGGTTCAAGCGATTCTCATGCCTCAGCCTCCCAAGTAGTTGGGATTACAGGAGCACGCCACCATGCCCGGCTAATTTTTGTATTTTTAGTAGAGATAGGGTTTCATCATGTTGGCCAGGCTGGTCTTCAACTCCTGACCTCAGCTGATGCACCCGTTTCGGCCTCCCAAAGTGCTGGGATTACAGGCGTTGAGCCACCGCACCCGGACCGAATACACTTCTAATGTCTTCAGTGACCATGAAGCAACCCCTCTAGTGTAGCAGGATGGGAGGCTACAGGCACCCGGTCATCCTCAGTGGCTATGTAACATGTGGCTTCATGACACATTCACTCCGCTATGCTGCATACGAGGGGCTTCTGCACCTCTGTCTCGAGTGGAGTCTGAGACAGGTATGATATGCACAAGCCTCAGCCCCCAGAATGAGGCCCAGGACTAAAAAACACGCAGTAAGCACACCACTAAAGCTGTGCAACACTCCAAACCACTCAGGGAGAAAGGAATGTCCACACAAAAGCAACCCAAAAGCTTGCATGGGTTATCATTACTCGGCCCCCACACCAAGACTCAAAGACCACCTAGCATGCACTGGGAGAACTGTAGGTACTGCTCCAATCTAGAGCCCCGGGGCTGTCACCAGCCCACACCAGTGCTTCTCCCTCCCCATGTCCCCTGGCTCTTACTCCTTTGCATTCTTTGGGCATATATTTGTCTGTCCAACTAGATGACAAGTACATTTAAAAACGTGGACTCCTCGAGGCCAGGTGCAGTGGTCACGCCTGTAATCCTAGCACTTTGGGAGGCAGAGGCGGGTGGATCACATGAGGTCAGGAGTTCAAGACCAGCTTGGCCAACATGGTGAAACCTCATCTCTTAAAAATTAGCTAGGCATGGTGGCGCATGCCTATAATCCCAGCTACTGTGGAGGCTGAGGCAGGAGAATCACCTGAACCCAAGAGGCAGAGGTTGCAGTGAGATCGTGCCACTGCACTCCAGCCTGGGCGACAGAGACCCCTCCTCAAAAAAAAAAAAAAAGAAACTGAATTACAGTTTTCTTTACATTTCCCTAAAAAAGCAAGGATGGGCCGGGCATGGTGGCTCACGCCTGTAATCCCAGCACTTTGGGAGGCCGAGGCAGGCGGATCACAAGGTCAGGAGATGGAGACCATCCTGGCTAACACAGCGAAACCCCGTCTCTACTAAAAATACAAAAAAAAAAAAATTAGCCAGGCGTGCGCCTTTAGTCCCAGCTACTCAGGAGGCTGAGGCAGGAGAATGGTGCGAACCCAAGAGGCGGAGCTTGCAGTGAGCCAAGATCATGCCACTGCACTCCAGCCTGGACGACAGAGCTAGACTCTGTCTCAAAAAAAAAAAAAAAAAAAAAAAAGCAAGGAAGTCAGTCAAAATGGGCACAGGAGGCCCACTCAGTCCCCCAGCCACCGTGCTCTAAAAAAGTCTCTCCGAATCCCTAAGGTGAGGTAATGCTCTGAGGAGCAATTTTTAAAACACTGCCCTAAACACAATATGTATCAAATAAATTGCATGTATTAGATTTCTACGATTTTTCTCAATGTTTTAAATTATGTGCCAGATATCTACCAAATATGCTTAGTTTGACCAGACAATACCTCTAAGGTAGCCTTAAATTACTTCAATTTGCAAAATGACAGAAAAATATCAACAGAAAATTAAGGTGAAATGTAACATAAGGTCTCTAGAATTTTATATGTACTTGCAACCTACAGCTTCACAACTGACTTACTATAACTTTCTTTTTTTTTTTTTTTTCTTTTTTTTTTGAGACAGGGTCTCTCTGTTGCCCAGGCTGGAGTGCAGTGGCACAATCACAGCTCCCTGCTGGGCTCAGGTGATTCTCCCACCTCAGCCTCCCAGGTAGCTGGGACTACAGGTGTGCACCACCATGTCTAACTAATTTTTTGTATTTTTAGTAGGGACAGAGTTTCACCACATTGCCCAGGCTGGTCTCAACCTCCTGGGCTCAAGTGATCCACCCGCCTAGGCCTCCCAAAAGGCTGGGATTACAGGCGTGAGACACTGTGCCCGGCCTGATAACTCTTTTCTTTGTTCAGTGGAAACTACCACCATTATACATGAGGGGAAAACACAAAATTCAAATATAATATTGTCAAAAGGTACCTTTTTTCTCTCCCATAACTTCTTTAGGTTCACTAGCTTTTTTTCCATTTTTTCCATTAGGAAAGTATTTTTCAAATCCTGTTAGAAAAAGAAAAAAAATACTTATCTTCAAACTAAAATTCATCAGGTTTGTGTTCATTTTGTTTTCAAAGCAGCTGATGCATCACTGAAAAGCACAAGCTGGCCAGGCGCAATGGCTCATGCCTGTAATCCCAGCACTTTGGGAGGCTGAGGTGGGCAGATCACCTGAGGTCAGGAGTTCGAGACCAGCCTGCCCAACATGGCGAAACTCCGACTCTACTAAAAGTACAAAAAATTGGCTGGGTGTGGTGGCAGGTGCCTGTAATCCCAGCTACTCGGGAGGCTGAGGCAGGAGAATCGCTTGAACCCAGAAGGCGGAGGTTGCAGTACGCCAAGATCGCACTAGTGCACTCCAACCTGGGCGACAAGAGCCAAACTCAGTCTCCAAAAAAAAAAAAAAAAGCACAAGCTAAAAGCATAACATTTCTTGTGTACAAGTACATCAAAGTCTAAATAATATAGTTCACAACCCAGAAGTGTTAAAGGAAAAAGCCTCCTTTTTGCATATCAATTTCATTATCTACAAATGTGTTACATTTGAAGATGACATATCTTCATCGCTGTAATCAGACATAAGTTGGAGGCAGGGGAATGGGTTACAGAAGGAGACAAAAGACCCAACCTAAGAATGTAGAACACTACAGCCACACCTAAGCATTTACCTTTTGGGGGTCGAGAACAGAATCTTTGATAAGCAGCAATTATATCTGTCAAAAGAGAATTTCTGCTGGCCCTTGCTTGAGTTGTAACAAATCGGTAAAGCTGCAACAAGACATAAAAATAAAACCATAGTTATATCAAGATAAAAAACTTAAAAGAGCTTCATTTCCTGGTCATAAAGTAGATGAAAGGTCTCTCTCTTCCACAGGTGGTTATGAAGTAACACAGAATGACTCCCTTAGTGAGGACTAGGATTACCTAGCACTAGGCCACTGATTCCAGCAAAAGAACCAGGAGACACACATTATTATCCAGAAAACAAGAATATTTCAAAATCAGACATAATGTAGAATTGCAATCCAATTATAATTATGTGACAACACATTCACTTTGATGATGTTTGTTTAATTTGTAGCATTCAAAAGACAAACCCTGGCCAGGCGCAGTGGCTCACACCTGTAATCCCAGTACATTGGGAGGCCGAGGTGGGTGCATCACGAGGTCAGGAGTTCAAGACCAGCCTGGCCAAGATGGTGAAACCCCGTCTCTACTAAAAATACAAAAATTAGCCAGGCACAGTGGCAGGTGCCTGTAATCCTAGCTACTCGGGAGGCTGAGGCAGGAGTACTGCTTGAACCCAGGCAGCAGAAGTTGCAGTGAGCCGAGATCACGCCACTGCACTCCAGCCTGGGCGATGGAGTGAGACTCCGTCTCAAAAAAATAAAAATAAAATAATAGTTATAAAAATTACAAAACCAAATAAAACCACCTCACATCCACTATAATCAAAAAGACAGACAAGTATGGGTGAGGATGTGAGAAACTGGAGCCCTGTACACTGTGCTGGTGAGAATGTAAAATGGTGTAGCCACTCTGGAAAACAGTTTGACAGAGCTCCAAAATGGTACCACATGACTCTATGGGTCACCATATGACCCAGCAATGCCATCCCTACCCAAGGAAGCTGAAAACACATGTCCACGAAAAATATGCACACAAATGTTCACAGAAGCCTTATTCATAACAGTCAAAAAGTAGGAACAAGCCAAACGTTCACCACCTGATGATGAACAGATAAATAAAATGTGGTATACCCATACAAGAGAATACCAGTCACTCAAACAAAGGAATGAAGTACTGACACGTGGATGAACTCTGAAAACATCATATTAAGTGAAAGAAGGCAGACACAAAAGGTCACATATTATGATTCCATTTATACGAAATGTCTAGAATAGGCAAATCCATAGAGAGATAGACACATTAGTAGTTGCCTAGAGTTGGGGGAATGATTACAGAGAAATGCGAAATGATTACTAATGGTCGCAGGGCTTCTTTCTGGAGTGCTGAAAATGTTCTGGAATTGGAGACAGTGATGATGGTTGCATAACTTTATGAATATGTTAAAAACCAATGAACTGTACATTTAAGATGAACAATGGTTTGTAAATTAAAATGTCAATAAAAAACAAATAAAACAGAATGAGATGATTTAACTTCAAATAAATACAGAATTCCACACAGCAAAACAGGACAGGAACACCAACACTGTTTTTGTCTGAGTGCAATACTGGCCTGGGAGACTTTGGAGCTTATGTTGTGTTACACCCTGCCCAACCACAGGAACACTTGGCCTATGAAATAACCACTGATAACAGATAAGAATGCAACATAAGAGTTTTTTTCCAGTGCCAAATCCATTAAGGGTGTAGATTAAAATGAAATGTTATTCAAGCTAGACAAGTCAACAACTCCAGGCCAGGTGCTGTCAAGCAGTGGGGTGTCCGAAGGGGAATCAGAACCAGTTCCCACCCCTAAGAAGCACAGAAACATAGGGAAGAAAATCATGGGACAAATCAGTTACACTATGGCATAACAATGTAACCAAACAAAAGCTCTGAGTACAGGGAACAGGAGTGGTGCAGAGGTAATATGAAGGGGTCTTTATATTGCCACGTCTTAGTCTTAGTCCTTTCTGTTCCGCTATAACAGAGTGCCTGAAGCTGGGTAATTTACAAAGAAAGGTTTATTTAGCTCACAGTTCTGCAAGAGGGGAAGTATGAGAAACAGGGTGCTGGGCTTATGGTGAGGGTCACATGCTAGGTCAAATTATGGCAGGAGAAGGTGCTACATCAAAACACGGTGGGAGAAGGTCAATGGCAAAGCAGCCACATACCATGAGGGAGGAACTTCTACTTTATAACAACCTAAGGTCTCTGAAATTAAGCCAGTCCCAATACAGCTCACAGAACTCACTACCTCTAGAATGGCACCAAGACACTCATGAGAGCTCCACCCCCATGGCCCAAACACCTCCCACTGGGCCCCACCTCTCAATACCACCACGATGGGGAACAAATTTCAACATGAGTTTTGGTGAGGCCAAACTCAAACCATAGTACCATATAAAGCAAGTCTTTATATCACCATAAAGTTTAGTACAGAACAGGGCACTGTATGCGCTCCATAAATATTGACAGAAAAGCCCTTTTTAGGCTCTATTTTCAAATTGTGTTGACATGGAATATCCCTAGCAATAATCCGTGACTGAATTTAACACTGAGGTTGTGTTCTATGAAGAAATCATCAATGAAACTTCTTCTCCTCTGCATATGTAATCCAAGATCTGCATGTCTAGCATTCAAAGAATAATGTAAGAGATACTAATTCACAAAATTTAAGTTGAGAGCACCGCATTTTGGAGAATTAGCCTTTATGTTTGACAACAGGAGCACTTTTCAGTTGCTTTATCATCAGTCTTATTCCTCTGGGCATCACACCTGAGAACTCATCTCTCAACACATCAGAATCTCTTCCTCACCGTGAAAGCAGTACTTCTGTCTCTGATCTTTAAGGGTAGCAGGAACATAAAGGAAAACCTGTCCTATCAGACTCCCTCACAGCACAGTAATGCCCAGGTGTCACTAGGCAAATCTTCAGAGAGTACCAAAGAGTATGTATCAGGACCGCGAACCCCCACACCCTCCGCAAATCAATCAGCTACAGCTGTCAGCACAGAGGACTTCCTTATACATCAGCATCTGAGTGATACAGGGACAATAGTGTCACTCAAAAGGAAAGCCTTTGGGTAACACTTCTGACATAAAACTGCAAACTCACAATGCAGATCCCCACCTGGAACTGTATGTCTGAATCCAATATTCATGAGCAGCAAAAGAAAAGCAGTCAGGCCGGGCAAGGTGGCTCACGTCTGTAATACTAGCACTTTGGGAGGCCAAATGGATTGCTTGAGGCCAGGAGTTTGAGACCAGCCTGGCCAACAAGGTGAAACACCATCTCTACTAAAAATACAAAATTTAGCCAGGCGTAGTGGCGGGCGCCTGTAATCCCAGCTACTCGGGAGGCTGAGGCAGGAGAATTGCTTGAACCCTGGAGGCGAAGGTTGCAGTGACCCAAAATCACACCACTGCACTCCAGTCTGGGCGACAGAGCGAGACCCTGTCTCAAAAAAAAAAAAAAAAGAAAAGAAAAGAAAAGGGATCAGAGCTTGGTAAAACAGGGAAATGGATACAGGAAACCGAAAAAGGACCTACCACACGGCAGCGTGGCGTGACCATGGCGAAGAAATTGATTTAAGACTGGCAAGGGAGCCTCAAGGAGTAAAAATCATGAATGCAGGCACTATTATTCCCCCTCCCCACCCCCGCTCTTTTTTTTTTTAGGAGACAGAGTCCGTCACCCACGCTGGAGTACAGCAATGCAATCAAAACTCACTGGAGCCTCAACCTCCCGCGCCAAGCAACCCGCCTTGGCCCCCCGAGTTGCTGGGACTATAGTCATAAGTCACTGAGCCCAGGTAAGAAAAAAAAAAAAAAAACAATTTGTAGAGGCCAGGAGCTGTGGCTCAGGTCTGTAATTCCAACACTTTGAGAGGAGGAGGCGGGAGGATCGCCTGGGTCCTGGAGTTCCAGGCCAGCCTGGGCAACTGGGCAAGATGGTGAACCCTATCTTTTGGGACGGAGTCTCGCTCTGTCGCCCAGGCTAGAGTGCAGTGGCCCGCTCTTGGCTCACTGCCAGCTCCACCGCCCAGGTTCACGCCATTCCCCTGCCTCAGTCTCCCGAGCAGCTGGGACTACAGGCGCCCGCCACCACGCCCGGCTAATTTTTTGTATTTTTAGTAGAGATGGGGTTTCACCGTGTTAGCCAGGATGATCTCGATTTTCTGACCTCGTGATCCACCCGCCTGCTGGGATTACAGCCGTGAGCTACCGCGCCTGGCCTCTCCAGAAACTTTTTAAAAATCAACCACGGTGCTGTAGTCCCAGATACTCCGGAGGCTGAGGCGGGAGGATCGCTTGAGTTTGGGGCTGCAGTGAGCTGTGTTTGCGCCGCTGCACTCCGGCCTGGGCGAAGAAGCAAAACCCCGTCTCTTAAAAAATAAAAATAAAAATAAAAATCGTAGATCGGAGGGTCTGCTACCCTACCCAAGCTGGTTTCCAACTCCTGGAGTCAAGCGATTCTCCCGCCTCGGCCTCCCTAAGTGCTGGGATCGCAGGCGTGAGCCCCGGCACTAGCCTATCTCCCCTTACAGTGAAGACGTTGAGCTGACTACAAGGGCGCTGGGATAGCAGGAGGCCAAGCCAGGTTCCCGTGGCCGACCCGGGGACCTCAACCACCACCCGTACACCAGTGCAAGGCTGAGGAACCGTGTCACTTAAACAGTGAGAGCGACTATTCGACACGTGAACCTTTCATTGAGACTGATCACGGCCATGGTTCTGTCAACACTCTATCATTATGTCAGAAACACGTATCAGGTCCCGTGTGTGTATCTAGAGGGATGGCTACCAACAGAGAAAGAGCCTCCTGCTGAGAGCAGGCCCTGATATGCAACGAACACAGAGTCCCTGCTATGAAAAGGTGACATTCTTAATAATAATAGCTAATACTGCCAGTCCTGGAATGCCCGCAATGGCCCCATTCAACAGACGGGAACACGGAGACTCGGAGAGGTTAGGCAGCCCGACTCCAAAACCCGTCCTTGCGACTACATCGTGCTCGTGCTGCTGACTCAAAATTACAGACGCCTTCGTTCCGTGCTCCGGGGACACGAAAGCGGGGACAAGGACGGCCACCAAGCCAACATGACCTTCGAGGCTTCAACCGCCCCGGTGAAGCGCGAAAACCCGGCTCTACTGAAGCTGCGCGTTTTCAAAACTTGAATCCCACAGGCAGGGCTGAGCGCGAATCGGCGCTCCCGGGGCCGGCTGAGAGACAGCGCAGGGCGCCCAGGCCCTCGGCAGGGACGGCCCGCGTGCGGCCGGAGGGCGGGGGCCAGTGACCTTGACGTCCGCTCTCCCGAGCCGGAAGTGGGCCCGAGGCAGGGTGGAGGGCGCCGGGCGCCCAGGTAGGACTCACCGTCCGGAGGCAGGGCTGCTCGCCCGGGCCCACGCCGCCAGGCACGAGGAGCTGCTGTAGGCCGCGGGGCCAGCAGCCGCCCCGGCCCCACAGCCGCAAACAGCGGTGCGCCATGGCCGCCGCCGTGGCCCTCTCGGCCCGGGACGCTGCGCAGGCGCGGGCAGGCGACGACTGGCGGCCTCGGGAAGCGGGCTCGGCTCGGGGAAAGGCCGCCAGGCAGCGAAGCGCGCCGGCGGCTCACGGAGGAGCCCAAGCTCTCAACGCGGCGTCTCCTGCCGCCAGCCCCGCCCCGGCGCGCTGACGTCGGCGTCTCCTCTCCGAGGCCCGCCGCGACCTCCGCCAGTGCAGAAGACAGGACCAAATGGGAGGAGCATGGGGGCGGGACCGGAGGCGGGGGCCGACGGAGCAGCGTTGGGGGCGCGGCAGGAGGCGGGGCCGAGAAGGACCCTGGAGGGCAAGGGGGAGCTAGAGGCGGGGACCGGGCCGAGGGAGGACTCGGGAGGGCGAGCGAGAGCTGGGGGCGGGGCTGATGGCGCACGTGGGGGGCGTGGCTGGAGGTGGGGCCGAGGAAGGACTAGGAGAGCGAGCAGGAGCTGGAGGCGGGGCCGACGGAGGGGTGTGGGGGGCGTGGCTGGAGGCGGGGACTAAGGGGAGACGCGTGACTGGGATCCTGGGCTTCCGAGCCTGGGCAGCCGGGTGGGCCAGCCAGTAGGAGCGAGGGGGAAGTAGCGAAGGCCCCAGCGGCGGCAGATGGAAGGACCCTCCGAGCGCCAGCTGAGTCATGGGGTGGTGCTAGGCTCTGGAGACACCGAAGCACACATTCCTGACCCCTGGGAGGGCGATGCGAAGATTCACAAGCAGCAGGGAATGTTGGGGCTGTGCCGTGCAGCCTGCGCTCTAGGAACCCTGTCGGGGAACTGGTTCTCGGAGAGCAAGTCGAGTCTTCCAGGTAGTGGAAACTACACATTGTTTCCTGTACCGTGACAGCGGAGGAAAAAGGAGAGGTCTTTGAACTGAGGTGGGGGACTTGGGGGTTTTTCTGAGACGGGCTCTCGCTCTGTCGCCCAGGCTGGCGACGCTGGACCTCAGGCAAAGGACAGTAATCCTTGAGAGACAGGAGACAAAACCAGGTGAGTCCTGTGATTACCCCAGTGGCAGTAAAACAATAACAAAAAGATATACCAGATACACCATCATACCATGCTCACACAAAAGAAAACTGAGTAGACAAATAGATTTTAGGGCAAGGAAATTCCAAAGAAAATTAATTGCAGGGAAAAGAATATCACTAAGGATGAAGAGGATCGGGTTTCTTTTCCAGAGACAGGGTCTCAGTCTGTCACTTAGGCTGGAATGCCATGGTGCAATCGTAGCTCACTGCAGCCTCTAACTCCTGGGCTCAAGGGATCCTCCTGCCTCAGCCTCCCAAGTAGCTGGGACCACACACGCTCGACCACACTCGACTTTTTTTATTTTGTGTAGAGTTGAAGTCTCACTTTGTTGCCCAGGCTAGTCTCAAACTCCTGGCTTTAAGCAATCCTCCTGACTCAGCCTCCCAAAGTGCTGGGATTACAGATGTGAGCCACCCACATCTGGCCAAGAGAATTATTATTATTATTATTATTATTATTATTATTATTATAAAGGGGTCAGTTCATCAGTAGGACATAACAACCCTAAACATCTTTGTTCCCATTAACAGAAGCTTAAAATACATGGAGCAAAGACTGACAGAACCACAACTTCCAATTATATTTGGAGATTTCAAATCCTTCTTTTGATAATTGACAGAACAATTAGACAGGAAAATAGTAAGTATATAGAAGACTTAAACACAACCAACTAAATCAAATAGACATTTATAGAAAACTACTCATAACAACAGAATACACATTATTTTCAAGTTTTCACAGAGCACTTATCAAAATAAACCATATTGTAGGCCATAAAAATATTAAGAGGAGTCAAGTCATATAAAACATATTTTCTATCCACAATGAAATTAAATTAGAAATCAGTATCAGAAATAGGCTGAGGTGAGAGGATCACTTGAGCCCAAGAGTTCCAGACAAGCCTGGGCAAAACAAAGACCTCGGCTTCAAAAAAGAAAAAACTAGACAGAAAATGAAGTAAAACCAAAGAACAGAAAGAAGATAAAAGTAAAAATCAATAAAATTAAAAACTAAAAGACATAGAGAAATGAATGAAATCAAAGTGTGTTCTTTGAGAAGATCAATAGTCAGAGCAATCAGGAAAAAAGAAAATGACACAAATTGGCCCAGCACGGTGGCTCATGCCTGTAATCCCAACACTTTGGGAGGCCAAGGCAGGCAGATCACCTGAGGTCAGGAGTTTGAGACCAGCAAGCAGGCCAAAAAAAGAAAGAAAAAGAAACAAGGAAGGAAAGAGAGTGAGAGAAAGAAAGGAGAGAGAGAGAGAGAAAGAAAGAGAAAGAAAGTAAGAGAGAGAGAGGCCGGGCAAGGTGGCTCACGCCTGTAATCCCAGCACTTTGGGAGGCTGAGGTGGGCGGATCACGAGTTCAGGAGTTCAATACCAGCCTGGCCAATATGGTGAAACCCCGTCTCTACTAAAAATACAAAAATTAGCTGGGTGTGGTGGCGTGCGCCTGTAGTCCCAGGTACTCAGGAGGCTGAGGCAGAAGCAGAAGAATCGCTTGAACCCAGGAGGCGGAGGTTGCAGTGAGCCAAGATTGTGTCACTGCACTCCAGCCTGGGTGACAGAGCGAGATTCCATCTCAAAAAAAAAAAAAAAAAGGAACAAAGAAACCCCATCTCTACTAAAAAAAAAAAAAATACAAAAATTAGCCGGGCATGGTGGCAAGCACCTGTAGTCCCAGCTATTCGGGAGGCTGAGATAGGAGAATAACTTGAACCTGGGAGTCAGAGATTGCAGTGAGCCAAGATCGCGCCACTGCACTCTAGCCTGGAATGCGAGACTCCATCTCAAAAAAAAAAAAAAAAGACACAAATTACCAATACCAAGAATGAGAAAGTTGACATGACTTCACATTCTACATATATTAAAATGAAAATAGAATATACGCCAATGAATTTGAACAATGAACTATACAAATTCCTTGTGAAATACAAGTTACCAAAGCTCACTTTTAAGACAACACAAAAAGTCCTACATCTATTAAATAAATTGAATTTGTAGTTAAAAACGTTTCCATGGGTTGGGCGTGGTGGCTCACGCCTGTAATCCCAGTGCTTTGGGAGGCCAAGGCAGGCTGATCACCAGAGGTCAGGAGTTCAAGACCAGCCTGACCAACATGGAGAAAACCCGTCTCTACTAAAAATACAAAATTAGCCAGCCGTGGTGGCACACGTCTGTAATCCCAGCTACTTGGGAGGCTGAGGCAGGAGAATCGTTTGAACCCAGGAGGCAGAGGTTGCGGTGAGTGGAGTTAGCACCATTGCACTCAGCCTGGGCAACAAGAGCAAAACTCCATCTCAAAAAAACAAAAACAAAACAAAACCTTTCCATGAAGGAGACCCCAGGCCTGGATGGCTTAACTAAGAAATTCTACCAAACATTTAAGGAAGAAATAATACCAATTCTAAAGAAGTTCTTCCAGAAAATTAACATGGGGAAGTACTTCTCAATTCTTTCTATGAGGCCATTACCCTAATATTAAAACCAGACAAAGACATTACTGAAAAACAAACTACAAAACAAAACACTATAAGCCTATATCTTCCATGAATATAGTTGCAACAATTCTCAACAAAATATTAGCAAATCAAATCAAACAATGTATAAAAAGAGCTATATACCACAACCAGTGGGATTTATCCCAGATATGAAAGGCTTGTTCCACATCAGAAAATCAATGAATGTAATCCATCAAATCAATAGGCTAAAGAAGAAAAATCGCATGATCAATAGATGCAACAAAAAAAAGCATTTAACAAACTCCAACACCCATGCATGATTAAAACTCTCTGTAAACTAACGAATAGAGGGGAACTTACTCAACTGGATAAATAATTTTTACCAAAAAACCCACAGGTAAGATGGTACTTAGGGATAAGAAAGTAGAAGCACGCCTGTAATCCCAGCACTTCAGGGGGCCAAGCTGGCAGATCACCTGAGGTCGGGAGTTCAAGACCAGCCTGACCAACATGGAGAAACCCCATCTCTACTAAAAATACAAAATTAGCCGGGCATGGTGGCGCATGCCTATAATCCCAGCTACTTGGGAGGCTGAGGCAGCAGAATCACTTGAACCCGGGAGCCGGAGGTTGCAGTGAGCCGAGATTGCACCATTGCACTCCAGCCTAAGCAATAAGAGTGAAACTCCATCTCTAAAAAAAAAAAAAAAAAAAAAAAAAAAAAAAAATTATATATACATATATATATATGTATATATACACACACACACATTCATATATGTACTTTTTTTTAGAGACAGGGTCTCCCTCTGTTACCCAGGCTATAGTACAGCAGCACAATCACAGCTCACTGCAGCCTTAAACTCCTGGGCTCAAGCAGTCCTCCTCCCTGAGCCTCCCAAGTAGCTAAGACTATAGGTCCTTGCCACCACACTCATCTAATTTTTAAATTTTTTGTAGAGTCAGGGTCTCACTATGTTGCCTAGGCTGGTCTCAAACTCCTGGTCTCAAGCAGCCTACTGCTTCAGCCTTCCAAAGGACTGGAATTACAGGTATGAACCACAGCACCCAGCCTATATATAAAGATATATTGTATACAATATAGAGAGATGTAAATATATTTATATATTTCTTTTTATGTATTTATTGAAAATATAGGTTTATATATAATTTTATATGTAAATAAATATAAATATAGTTTACATATATTATGTTTATATGGATATATAAAATAATTTTATATAAGCATATACATTTTTATATATTTTACATATATAGTCTATAAATATAAACATAAATTGTACATATATGTTTATAAGTATAAACATATTTTTGTACATATTCTGTATATTTATATATTTAACATATATTCATGTTTATAAATATATATCATATATATGCATCACATTACTTCTGTTCTCCAGAAAACCATGACTAATACAAAGACATACAAAAAACAAGTAGCAAATGTTAGAAGTCCTTCCTTCTTATCTTCAATTACTTTAGGGCTGGGCGCAATGGCTCATGCCTGTAATCCCAGCACTTTGGGAGGCTGAGGCAGGTGGATCACTTGGGTCCAGGAGTTAAAGACCAGGCTGGGCAACATGGCAAAACCCTATCTTTACAAAAAATACAAAAATAAGGCAGGCATGGTGGCACATGCCTATAGTCCCAGCTACTTGGGAGACTAAGGCAGAAGGATCATTTGAGCCCAGGATGAGGAGGTTGCAGTGAACTGAGATCACACCACTGCACTCCAGCCTGGGCAACAGAGTGAAACCCTGTCTCAAAAAAATAAATAAATAAGTAATTACTTTAAGTGTAAGTGGATTAAACTCTCCATTCAAAAGGTAGAGACTGGCCAAATGATTAAAAAAAAAAAAACATGATTCAGCTGTATGCTGTCTACAGGAGACCCAGTTTATATCCAAAGACACAAATGGGTTAAAAATAAAGGATGGAAAAAGATATTCTGTGCAAATAGTAATTAAAAGAGAGATAAGAGGCAGGGCGCAGTGGCTCACGGCTGTAATCCCTGGGAGGCCAAGGCCGGCGGATCACAAGGTCAGGAGATCAAAACCATCTTGGCTAACACGGTGAAACCCTGTCTCTACTAAAAAATACAAAAAACTAGCTGGGTGTGGTGGCGGGTGCCTGTAGTCCCAGCTACTTGGGAGGCTGAGACAGGAGAATGGTGTGAACCCGGGAGGCGGAGCTTGCAGTGAGCAGAGATCGCACCACTGCCCTCCAGCCTGGGTGACAGAGTGAGACTCCTTCTCAAAAAAAAAAGAGATAAGATGGCTATACTAATATCAAATAAAAACACATTAAGATAAAAACTCTTGGCTGGGTGCAGTGGCTCATGCCTCTAATCTCAGCACTTTGGGAGGCCAAGGCAGGCAGATCACCTGAGGTCAGGAGTTCGAGACCAGCTTGACCAACATGGTGAAACCTCATCTCTACTAAAAATACAAAAATTAATTGGGCATGATGGCACACACCTGTAATCCCAGCTACTCACGAGGCTGAGGCAGGAGAATTGCTTGAACCCAGGAGGCAGAGGTTGCAGTGAGCCCGGATTGCGCCACTGCACTCCAGCCTGGGTGACAGAGAGAGACTCAGTCTCAAAAAAAAAAAAAAAAAAAAAAGATAAAAACTCTTATAAGACACAAGGAAGGACATAATATACTGACAAAAGGATCAATTCATCAAGTAGATATAACAATTATAAACATATGCACACCATTCAACAGAGCCCCCAAAATATATGAAGCAAATATTGATAGAATTGAAGGTAGAAATAGATGGTTCTACAATAATAGCTGGAAACTTCAATACACTACTTTTAATAATGGATATAACATTTACACAGAAGATCATTGGGAAATGGAGGACTGTGTGTGTGTGTGTGTGTGTGAGTGTGTGTGTTGTGGTTTTTTTGTTTTTGTTTTTGTTTTTTTGAGATGGAGTTTTGCTCTTGTTGCCCAGGCTGGAGGGCAATGGCGTGATCTCGGCTCACCGCAACCTCCGCCTCCCGGGTTCAAGTGATTCTCCTGCCTCAGCCTCCCGAGTAGCTGGGATTACAGGCATGTGCCACCATGCCCAGCTAATTTTGTATTTTTAGTAGAGACAGGGTTTCTCCATGTTAGTCAGGCTGGTCTTGAACTCCCGACCTCAGGCGATCCACCTGCCTCAGCCTCCCAAAGTTCTGGGATTACAGGCGTGAGCCACTGCAACCGGCCATGTTGTATTTTTAAGTCAGGATCTTGCTCTGTCATCCAGACTGGAATGCAGTGGCACAATCACAGCTCACTGCAACCTTGACCTCCTGGGCTCAAGTAATCCTCCTGCCTCAGCCTCCCAAAGTGCTGAGATTATAGATGTGAGCCACCACACCCAGCTAAACAATACTATAGCTCACACCTGTAATCCCAGCACTTTCAGAGGCTGAGGCAGGCAGATCACTTGAGTTCAGGAGTTCAAAACCAGCCTGGCCAACATGGTGAAACTTTGTCTCTACTAAAAATAAAAAAATTAGCCAGGCATGGTGGCGCATGCCTGTAGTCCCAGTTACTTGAGAGGCTGAGGCAGAAGGATTGCTTGAGCACAGGAGGAAGAGCTTGTAGTGAGCAGAGAGCATGCAACTGCACTCCAGCCTGAGCAAAGGGAGTGAAACCCTGTCTCAAAAAAAATAAAATAAAATAAACCATAAACCAACTAGACCTACAAGACGTATATGCAGAGCTCCTCCCAACAACAGAATACACATTCTTCTCAAGTGCACAGGAAACATTCTCTGGGATAGACCATATGATAGGCCACAAAACAAGTCTCAATAGATTTAAAAAGACTGAAATCATGCAAACTATCTTCTCTGACCACATTGGAATGAAGTTAAAAATCAATAACAAGAGGAAAACTGGAAAACTCACAAATATGTGGCTGTGAAACAACACACCCTCAAATAGCCAATGACTGAGAGAAGAAATCACAAGGAAAATTAGAGAATACTGCGAGACAAAGGAGAATAAAAACACAATATGCTGAAACTTATGGATGCAGTGAAGGCAGTTCTCAAACAGAAATTTATAGCTGTAAATAGCTACATTTTAAAAAGAAGAAAGATCTCAAATCAATAACTTTACACCTTGAGGGAATAGAAAAAGAACGAACTAAACTCAAAGCTAGATGAAGGAAAAAAATAATAAAGATTAGAGCAGAGATAAATAAAATAGAAAAGAGGAAAAGCAATCGAGAAAATTAACAAAAACAGGAGTTGGTTCTTAAAAAGATAAATAGGCCGGGCCCAGTGGCTCACATCTGTAATGCCAGCACTTTGGGAAGCCGAGGCAGGCAGATCATGAGGTCAGGAGTTTGAGACCAGCCTGACCAATGTGATGAAACCCTGTCTCTACTAAAAATACAAAAATGAGCCAGGCATGGTGACACGCACCTGTAATCCAAGCTACTCAGGAGGCTGAGGCAGGAGAATCTCCTGAACCCGGTAGGTGGAGGTTGCAATGAGCCGAGATCTCGCTATTGCACTCCAGCCTGGGTGACAGAGCAAGACTCCATCTAAAAAAAAAGGAGATCATGTCTAGCTATATTGCCCAGGCCAGAGTGCAGTGATATGACCATAGCTTACACAAGCCTTAAACTCCCAGGTTCCAGTGATCCTCCTGCCTCAGCCTCCCAAGTAGCTGGGACTATAGGCATTTGCCACCATGCCTAGCTCTAATCCTTTTCCTGTAAAAGGTCAATAGTAGTTACCCCACTTTTATTTCTGATTTTAGATATTTGCAACTTCTCCCTGTTTTCTTTGTCAGTCTAGTTAAAGATTTGTCAACTTTGGCCGAGTGCGGTGGCTCATGCCTGTAATCCCAGCATTTTGGGAGGCCAAGGCAGGTGGATCACGAGGTCAGGAAATTGAGACCACCCTGGCTAACACAGTGAAACCCTGTATCTACTAAAAATACAAAAAAATTAGCCAGGCGTGGTGGCGGGCGCCTGTAGTCCCAGCTATTTGGGAGGCTGAGGCAGGAGAATGGTGTGAACCCGGGAGGCGGAGCTCGCAGTGAGCTGAGATCGCGCCACCGCACTCCAGCCTGGACTACAGAACGAGACTCCATCTCAATAAATAAATAAATAAGTTTTGTCAATTTTATTTATCTTTTTTTTTTGAGATGGAGTCTTGCTGCTCTGTCACCCAGGCTGGAGTGCAGTGGCACAATCTCAGCTCACTGCAACCTCTGCCTCCTGGGTTCAAGCCATTCTCCTGACTCAGCCTGTAATCCCAGCACTTTGGGAATCCGAGGCGGGCTGATCACGAGGTCAGGAGTTCGAGACCGGCCTGGCCAATATGGTGAAACCCCGTCTCTACTAAAAAAATATAAAAATTAGTTGGGCATGGTGGTGCACGCCTGTAGTCCCAGCTACTTGGGAGGCTGAAACAGGAGAATCTCTTGAACCTGGGAGGTGGAGGTTGCAGTGAACGGAGATCATGCCACTGCACACTCTAGCCTGGGCAACAGAGTGAGACTTCATCTTAAAAAAAGAAATTTAAGAAGACTTAAATAAGTGAAAGGGTATTCCATGTTAGTGGATTGGAAAACAATATTGTTAAGATAGCAAAACTGCCCAAAGCCATCTACAGATTCAGTGCAGTCACAACTCTAAGTGCCTGCCTGCTTGCTTGTTTTCTTTATCTTTCTTTCTTTCTTTCTTTTCTTTCTTTCTTCCTTCCTTCCTTCCATCCATCCTTCCTTCCTTCCTTTCTTTTTCTTTTTGCAGACATGAAAATGCAATCTTCAAATTCATATGGAATTGCAAAGGGCCCCAAATACAACCTTGAAAAAGAATACAGTTGTAGGATTCATACTTCTCATTTACAAAACTTCATAAAATCAAAACTGTAGGTATTGGCATAAGGACAGACATATAGACGTACAGAATATAATTAAGAATCCAGAAGTAAATTCATACATGTCAACTAATTTTTGACAAGGATGCAAAGTTCATCTAATAGAGAAAGAATAGTCTTTTCAACAAATGGTTCTAGGAGAACTGGATGCAAAAGAATGAGTTGGAGCCTTACCCCTCACACCATATACGAAATTAGATTGATTTATTTACTTATTTATTTAGAGACAAAGTCTTACTCTGTCACCCAGACTGGAATGTAGTAGTGTGATCATAGCTCACTGCAGCCTCAACCTTTGGGCTGAAGTGATCCTCCCACCTCATCCTCCAAAGTAGCTGGGACTACAGGTGCACACCACTATACCTGGCTAGTTTTTTAAATTTTTTGCAGAAATAGGGTGTCACTATGTTGCTTACACTGGTCTCAAACTCCTGGCCTCAAGCAACCCTCCTACCTCATTCTCTCAAAGAGCTGGGATTATAGGTATGAGCCCCTGCACCCAGCCAAATTGTATATTTAGATGGTTTAAATGACAAATTTATATTGTAAATTTTTAGCACAATAAAAAAGAAAAAAATGCTTCAATTAAAAAAAAAGAAAAGAGGTCAGGTGCGGTGGCTCATGCCTGTAGTCCCAGCATTTTAGGAGACCAAGGCGGGTGGATTGCTTGAGGCCAGGAGTTCAAGACCAACCTGGTCAACATGGCAAAACTCCATCTCTACTAAAAATACAAAAATTAGCCAGGCATGGTGGCGCACATCTGTAGTCCCAGCTACTTGGGAGGCTGAGGCACAAGAATCACTTGAACTTGGGAGACAGAGGTTGAAGTGAGCCAAGATCACGCCACTACACTCTAGCCTCAGCCACGGAGTGAGACTCTGTCTCAAAAAAAACGCCTGTAATCCCAGCACTTTGGGAGGCCGAGGTGGGCGGATCACGAGGTCAGGAGATCGAGACCACGGTGAAACCTCGTCTCTACTAAAAATACAAAAAATTAGCCAGGCGCAGTGGCAGGCGCCTGTAGTCCCAGCTACTCGGGAGGCTGAGGCAGGAGAATGGCATGAACTCGGAAGACGGAGCTTGCAGTGAGCCGAGATCGTGCCACTGCACTCCAGCGACAGAGCGAGACTCCGTCTCAAAAAAAAAAAAAAAAACAAACAAAAAGAAAAGAAAACATGAATGAATCTTGAAAATAGTATGCTACACAAAAAGGCCACATAGTGTGTGAATCAATTTACATAAAATGTCCAAATAGGCAGATCTATAGAGACGGAAGCAGATAGTGGCTATATAGGGTTGATGGAGGGAGGGGAGGGATTGGGAAGGGTGCTAGCTAAGGGTTTCAGGTTTCTTTCCAAGGTGATCAAAATGTCCTAAGATCAATTGTGGTGATGGTTGTACCGCTCTTTGAATGACCTAAAACCATTAATTTCAACATTTTAAATAGATGAACTATATGGTATATAAATGATATCTCATTGAAGCTATTTTTTTAATGGGCAAAGGACTTGAATAGACATGTCCTCGAAGAAGACATACAAATGGCCAACCAGCACATAGAGAGAGGCTCAACATCATTAGCTGTCAATGAAAGTCAAATCAAAACCACGAGATTCCACTTCACACTCTAGGAGGGCTGCAATCAAAAATACTATAGATAGTACAAAATAATATAGATGTATACATAATAAAGATAACAAGTATTATCAAGAGTGTGGAGAAATTGGAACCCTCACGCTAGTAGGTCTATGGAAAACTGTCAATTTTCATAGGTTAAACATAGTCATATGACTCAGCATGTCCACTCCTGGGCATCTTCCCAAGATAATTGAAAGGATATATCCACACAGAAACCTGTACATGTGTTCATAACAAAGGTACATATGCTGTGTTCATAGCAGCATTATTCATGATAGCCAAAAACCAGAAAGGGCCTAAATATGTATCAACTGAATGGATAAAATGAAATGTGGTGTATTATTACAATGGATTATTATTCAGCCATAAAATGAAGACCTGATACATGCTATAGCATGGATAAACCTTGGAAACAAAGAAATCAGACATGAAAGACCACATATTATAAGATTGCATTTATACATATGAAATATGCTGAACAGGCAAATCCATGGAGACGGAAGACGGTGATTAGGGATTGCCAGGGGCTGGGGGGATGGTTGATAGAGTGTGCAAGACTAATGAAGGTGGCTGCCTACAGCAGGCAGGATGGTGTGGACTGTCTGAGCTTCTCGGTGTGTGCTTTTTCACAGTGTTTACCTTATTGAACCATGTGAAAATATTACCTATTCAAATAAAATATAATACAATCTAAGACTATTAAAGGATGTTATTTTTTTCAGTGCTGAGTGAGATTACAAGTACTTTTGAAAAAATAATTTTATGACTATGTATATTTTCCAAATATCTTATAATAAATGTATAATAGTTTTACGAGCAAGAAAATGTAAAATGTTGAAATATAAAAGGTTCAGTATAAGGATGGGGCCAGGTGCAGTGGATTATAGAATCCCAGCACTTTGAGAAGCCAAGTGGGGAGGATGGCCTGAGGCCAGGAGTTTGAGACCAGCCTGGGCAACACAGTGAGATCCCCGTCTGTACAAAAAAATTTAAAAATTAGGCCAGGTGCAGTGGCTCATGCCTGTAATCCCAGCACTTTGGGAAGCTGAGGTGGGCGGATCATTTGAGGTCAGGAGTTCAAGACCAGCCTGGCCAACATGAGGAAACCCCATCCCTACTAAAAATACAAAAATTAGCCAGGCATGGTGGCACGCACCTGTAATCCCAACTACTCTGGAGGCTGAGGCAGGAGAATCACTTGAACCCGGGAGGGGGTGGTTTGCAGTAAGCCAAGATCAAGCTACTGCACTCCAGCCTGGGAGACACAGTGAGATTCTGTCTAAAAAAAAGAAAAAAAAAAAAAACCGCCAGGCACGGTGGCCCATGCCTGTAATCCCAACACTTTGGGAGGCTGAGGCCGGGTGGATCACAAGGTCAGGAGTTCAAGACCAGCCTGGCCAAGATGATGAAATCCGGCCTCTACTAAAAATACAAAAATTAGCCACGCATGGCCAGGCGCGGTGGCTCACGCCTGTAATCCCAGCACTTTGAGAGGCCAAGGCGGGTGGATCACGAGGTCAGGAGATTGAGACCATCCTGGCTGACACAGTGAAACCCTGTCTCTACTAAAAATACAAAAAATTAGCCGGGCGTGGTGGCGGGTGCCTGTAGTCCCAGCCACTCTGGAGGCTGAGGCAGGAGAATGGCATGAACTCGGGAGGCGGAGCTTGCAGTGAGCCGAGATCGCACCACTGCACTCCAGCCTGGGTGACAGAGCGAGACTCCATCTCAAAAAAAAAAATTAAAAATTAAAAATTAGCTCAGTGTGCTGGTACAGGCCTGTAGTTCAAGCTACTCAGGAGGCTGAGGCAGGAGGATTGCCTGAGCCCAGAATTCAAGGCTGCAGTGACCTATGATCACACCATTGCACTCCAGCCTAGGTGACAGAACAAGACTCTGTCTTTCAAAATAAAAAAAAAGTTCAGTATAAATTTTTTTTTCATCAGTGTGGACAGAAACAAAGTTACAAAATGAAAAGTAAAAGTATCTTCATTTCTCATGTTCACATCTTAAAGGTAACTTTCTTTCTTTCTTTCTTTCTTTTTTTTTTTTTTTTTGAGACGGAGTCTCACTGTGTTGCCCAGGCTGGAGTGCAGTGGCCTGATCTCAGCTTACTGCAAGCTTTGCCTCGCAGATTTCAAGCTATTCTCCTGCCTCGGCCTCCCAAGTAGCTGGAATTACAGGTGCTCACCACCATGCCTGGCTAATTTTTTTGTATTTTTAGTAGAGACGGGGTTTCACTGTGTTAGCCAGGATGGTTTCGATCTCCTGACCTCGTGATCCACGCACCTCAGCCTCCCAAAGTGCTGGGATTACAGGCGTGAGCCACCGCGCCCGGACTTTTTTTTTTTTTTTTGACACAGTCTCACTCTGTCGCCCAGGCTGGAGTGCAGTGGCTGATCTCGGCTTACTGCAAGCTTTGCCTCCCAGATTTCAAGCTATTCTCCTGCCTTGGCCTCCCGAGTAGCTGGGATTACAGGCACCTGCCACCATGCCCGGCTAATTTTTGTATTTTTAGTGTTTCACTATGTTGACCAGGCTGGTCTCTAACTCCTGACCTCAGGTGATCCACCTGCCTTGGCCTCCCAAAGTGCTGTGATTATAGGCATGAGCCATGGTGCCTGGCCTTTAAAGGTAAATTTCTAGGTAGTTTTTTCTGTGTGTGTGTGTCCATACATTTTATATGTATTTGCAAGCATATAGAACTAATTTTTAGGCCAGGTGTGGTGGCTGATGCCTGTAATCCCAGCACTTTGGAAATCCAAGGCTGGTGAATTGCTTGAGGCCAGGAGTTTGAGACCAGCCTGGCCAACATGGTAAAACCCAGCCTCTACTGAAAATATAGAAAATTAGCCGGGTGTGGTAGCATGCGCTTGTAGTCCCAGCTACAAGGGAAGCTGAGGCCTGAGAACCACTTCAACCCGGGAAGCAGAGGTTGCAGTTAGCCGAGATGGTGCCACTGCACTCCAGCCTAGGTGACAGAGTAAGACTCTGTCTCAAAACAAACAAACAAAAAAAAAAAAACTTATTTTTACATGAACGAACGTGTACTTTATGCATCTTGATTTTTTCTTTTGTTTAACATATATTTTTGTATGTTAATAACATATAGTTCCCCCAAGGCATTAATAAACTCTATTGTATTCTCTTGTAAAGCTTTAATAGTTTTCTCACCAAGCGTCATTTAGACTAATTCTCATTTCTTTTTATTTCAGAAGCCACCGTGAGCTTTTTTTTTTGAGACAGGGTCTTGCTCTGTCACCCAGACTGGAGTGCAGTGGCACGATCATAGCTCACTGTAGCCTTGAATGCCCAGGCTCAAGCCTCAACTTTCCAAATAGCTGTGACTACAGGCCTGCGCCACCACAGCTGGCTAATTTTTAAATTTTTTGTAACGTTGGAGTTTCACTATACTGCTGAGGCTGGTCTTGAACTCCTGGCTTCAAGTGATCCTCCCATCTTGGCCTCCTAAAGTGCTGGGATTACAGGCATGAGCCCACGCACCCAGCCAATTATTCTTATTGGTACATGCATATATACACATGTGCCAGCTTCCATTCAGAGGATGGTTTCCTAGTAGAGAGATTGCCTGGTAAACATTAGTTTTTAGAAAATAATTTGTGTTTTGTGGCTAGGGCTTGGGCTCGCTACCCAGAGTTGTGCTGCATACGGTTCCCCACTAGGCGTCAGGAGAGCCCTATACATCTCTAGACAACGCCGTGCATTTCCAGAAAACCTTCAGATGTGTTCACAAGGCTGGTCTGGATTTTTCAAAAAATAATTTTTCTATTGTTCATAGTTCATCTCCACGAACAACCTAATGCTGTGTTTTCTATAAAGTGAAGCTGACATAATCTTTTCCAGTGGTGGTCTTGGTTTGTGCTACTGTTCCTGGCAATGGGCCTCAGGTAAAGGAATAGAAAAGACACAATGCCCAGTTGCTATTTTCCAGATGATAATGAGTAAAACCATGAATGATGTCACTGATGCCAGGGTGCTACCAATGCACGTTTCATGAATGACAACTGCAGAACATTTAGAAGATTCTTTATCACCCTTTTACTAGGTAGTGATCAAATATTTTTCTAAAAGAGTTGACCACAATGGTATACTCAAATCATAAAGTTTCTAGATTTTTCCCAATTGTGTCTTCTTGTAAAAAAATGTGATGATTGCTTTGGTACACCAAACTCCTTGTCATAAGCCATCTTTTGAGTACAGTACCGCAATCCCAGAAGGCATTATGTGAGAAGGCATTTGAAAGCTGAGAAGGAAATGGTTTGTTAGGAACCTAGTGAGAAGCTCTGTAAGCTAGATTGGATAGAATTAAAGTACCCAGAAATAGAAGTAAGGAGGAGAACATAAGATGTGTATTGAAAAGACTTACTTCAGCAATTTTTTTTTTTTTTTTTGAGACGGAGTTTTTTGAGACAGAGTTTCGGTCTCAGCTCACTGCAACCTCCGCCTCCTGGGTTCAAATGATTCTCCTGCCTCAGCCTCCCAAGTAGCTGGGATTACAGGCACCCACCACCACGCTCGGCTAATTTTTTGTATTTTTATTAGAGACGGGGTTTCACCATGTTGGCCAGGCTGCTCTCGAACTCCTGACCTCAGGTGATCCACATGCCTCAGCCTCCCAAAGTGCTGGGATTACAGGCATGAGCCACCACATCTGGCCTTACTTCAGCAATTCTATGTAGGTGTTGAAAAGAGGAAACATACCACAGAAAGTAAAAGGGATGTGCTCCTGTTTTTTCAGAGACAGAGTCTCACTTGTTGGCCAGGCTGCAGTGCAGTGGTGTGATCATAGCTCACCATAACCTTGAACTCCTGGGCTCAAGTGATCCTCCCACCTCAGACTCCTGAGCATCTGGGACAACATGCTCACAGCACCACACCGAGCTAATTGTTCTATTTAAAACAATTTTTTTTTTTTTTTGGCCAGGCACAGTGGCTCACGCCTGTAACCCCAGCACTTTGGGAGGCCGAGGTGGGAGGATCGCCTGAGGTCAAGAGATTGAGACCATCCTGGCCAACATGGTGAAACCCTGTCTGTACTTAAAAAATACAAGAATTAGCTGGGCGTGGTAACAGGCACCTATAGTCCCATCTACTCAGGAGGCTGAGGCAGGAGAATTGCTTGAACCCAGGAGGCAGAGGTTGCAGTGAGCTGAGATCACACCTCTGCACTCCAGCCTGGTGACAGAGTGAGACTTCGTCTCAAAAAAAAAAAAAATTTTTTTTTTTTTTTAGAAATGAGGTCTGGCTATGCTGTCCAAGCTGGTCTCAAACTCCTGGCCTCAAGCTATTCTCCTCCCTCAGCTTCCTGAAGCACTATGATTATAGGGATGAGCCACCATGCCTGTCCTGCTCTGTTTTAATAATATACTGGTACATCTTGTCCATTTGAGTCTCAAGATGTTTGTGAATTTAGTAAGAGAACATGTCCTTGGATTCCAGCAGTATTCTATAAGTTCTTAGAATAGCTAGGTGCTGGCAGGTAGCTAGGCACTAGTAGGTAGCTACTTCTGCAACTTGCTCTGACAACGTGGCAGGTCGAAGTCTCTGTAAATAAGATCTTTACTACCATTGTATTTGAGGATCAGCGAAACATTACAGCCTTAGTTTTGTTATAGTCCTGGGGTAATAGATGAGGCAAATATCCATGACAAATTGGAAAGAAACATCCCCTCAGAATCTTCTTACCTATTGGGAGAATGGTTTTCTCTCTAAGTTAAAACAAACTTTCTGATACAGTAGTTTTCAAACTTATTTATTTTTAGCAGCAGTCTTTTGTAAAAATGAAAATTTGACATGGACTTTCAGTGTATAGAATCTGAATATATACAAACAAAAAGTAGGACCACTGCTTGAAAAACTCCTCGGTTTACCCCCGAGCTGGTCAATAAGGTCATAGGGCTTCCCGGACTCGGCTTGAAACACACTAGACTAGACGGCTCTGTCAGTAATTACACTAGACAGAGCCCCCGCTGCCCCATGGCCAAGCCACTCCCAGTTTACAACCCCCTAGGAGTCACCCTTGACTCACTGAACAAGCAATGTTCAAGTGACTACTGTTTGCCACCACCTGGGTTAGACCCTGGGTACACAGAGATGAAGGAGGCTCAGGTCTCATCCTTGAGGAGCTCAGAGTCCATGCAGAACTACTTTCTAAACTTTAGGGAGCATTGTAATTGCCTGGGCTGCTCATTAATATGTATTATTTCTGGTTTTCACCCCAGAAATGCCCATTCAAAAGGTAAGGGGTGGAGCCTAGAAAGTTGCATCTTTAATATGCATTAACCTAGTGGGAGAAACACAAACATAAACAAGTGCAGTAATGAGGAACCAATGTGCTGGGTGTGAACGGAGGCAGCGGGAGGATTGCAGGATGACAGAGGGGCGTGAGAGGCACCCAGGCGGGCATTATGAGGCCTGGAGGGCATGCCAGCAGAGGGAGCCCCAAGGGGCAAATCCCAACTGCCTAGCTGTTAAAGTCTTCCAGAGGAGTGAGCCACAGCCAGGGCTGAAGGGGCCGCACAGTAGGGCTGGTCATACAACAGCAACCTGAGAGGAGCTCGCTCACATCGTGCACTGCCTCGCATCACTGTGCTAAGGACTTCACACTTATTCTCCTTTCATTCTCACAAGTCCCACCACATAGTGCTACTAATATTCCCACTTCATGAATGATGTTGACATTTAGCGAGATTAAGTGACTTGCAGAAGGGAAACCAGGACTGGAACCCAGGTTTGTTCCTTTCCAAACCCATGTCTTCAACTATTAAATCCTATTTCATCTTTTTTTTTTTTTTTTTTTTTTTTTTTGAGACGGAGTCTCGCTCTGTTGCCAGGCTGGAGTGCAGTGCCGTGGTCTCAGCTCACTGCAACCTCTGCCTCCTGGGTTCAAGCGATTCTCCTGCCTCAGCCTCCCAAGTAGCTGGGATTACAGGCACGTGCCACCACACCCGGCTAATTTTTTTGTATTTTTAGTAGAGATGGGGTTTCACCATGTTGGTCAAGCTGGTCTTGAACTCCTGACCTCGTGATCTGCCTGCCTCGGCTTCCCAAAGTGCTGGAATTATAGGCGTGAGCCACAGTGCCAGACTTTTTTTTTTTTTTTTTTGAGACTGAGTCTTGCTCTGTCACCCAGGTGGAGTGCAATGGCATGATCTCAGCTCACTGCAGTCTCAGCCTCCCAGGTTCAAGCAATTCTCCTGCCTCAGCCTCCCAAGTGGCTGGGACTGCAGACATGCCCCACCATGCCCAGCTAATTTTTGTATTTTTAGTAGAGACAGGGTTTTGCCATATTGGCCAGGCTGGTCTTGAACTCCTGACCTCAGGCAATCCACCCTCCTTGGCCTCCAAAAGTGCTGGGATTACAGGCATGAGCCACTGAGCCCAGCCCCTATTGCCTCTTAAAGGATGTAGACAAGGGAATGGACCAAAACAATCTGTAAGAGGTAAATTCCAGAGGACTTGATGATTGGTTGGCTGTAAGGAGTGAGCAGTCATTCCCTATTCTCCAGCCTGGGGTGCCTGAGTGATGCCACTGACCTGAACAGTGCCTCCTGGAAGAGGAGCGTGCTGAGGAAGGAAGGCTCTGGTAGCTGCCTAGGGAATGGCCTGCAGGTAGCTGGATGTGTGGGAATGAAGGTTGGGTAGAAATCTGATATAGAGATATTGGTTTGGGAATCAGTGGAAACTGTGAAACTCAATGAGTTCACTCACAGAGAGAGGCCTTGAGTGAGAAGAACAGAAGAATGGAGGAGAAGTAGAGTGTGCAAAGGAGGCAGCGAAAGGGAGTGTCATGGAAGCCAAGGGAGTGGAGTTTCAGCAAGAGTCACCTGAGTTCAAGTGACGTAGAGAGGTCCAGAAAGATGAGGGCTGAACAGTATCCACTGGATTGGCACGTTTGATGGTTGACGACCTTAAGGAGACAAGTTTCAGGAGCCCGTTACAGCACGTCGCAGAAGAACTAAGTAGGAACAACAGCAAGCTGGAGAGAGCAAGCATGGACCATTCTTTTGAATGGCTTGAATGAGAAGTGAGGGCAAAAATTGCAGGACATGACAGGGAGTGGAGCAGCCTGGAAGACAGACTCCCAGTGCTTCTCTGCACGGGTTGGCATTTGCCACCATAAACTGCTAGGATGGCGAGAGTAATCCATCCTTTGCCTTGTGAAAATGGGCTTTTGCAACCAGGCAGATGACTGTGGTTCTCAAGCCAAAGAAATGGAGAAGAGGCATCGCAGCAAGGGACGAATTTTTCTTCAGAATTCTCCATTTCCTGGAAGTCTTCATTCCTAATTCCCACACCTGCTGGTGACAAGACACAGTCCTGATTTCCCTGCCTGAGAGGCTCAGCCGGGGACCTCAGGGACAGCTGCATCCTGGTGTCCTTCCGCCAGCCAACAGGTGGCCACCTGCCCTTCTGGGTGGCATCTTTCCAGTTCTACAGAAACTATAAAACTGCAACAACAACAAAGGGACTGCTGGGCGTCGCTGAGTCAGACCCGTGTGTCACCTGGCCGCCCGCACCCCCATGCCTGCCTGCGAGGGCCTTTCTGGGCTGCTGTCCAGAGCGCATGCGCCGCCCTGCTGCGACCTCTCCGCAAGGGCTGCAGGGTGGGCCAGGTGCGTCTCTGCTGGAGCGCTCTTCTAAAAAAGGGCATGGCTCCACTTACTATTTACTTAAAAACAATGCATCTTTTTCTGTTGGAGTGGTGGGCGATTGGGGATTGCTCCTTTGTTTCCCACAAACAGAAGCAAGGGCCGAGAGGGGGAGTTCTCCTTCTTTTTTCTTTTTTTTTTTTCGAGACGGAGTCTCGCTCTGCTGCCCAGGCTGGAGTGCAGTGGCGCGATCTCTGCTCACTGCAAGCTCCGCCTCCCGGGTTCACGCCATTCTCCTGCCTCAGCCTCCCGAGTAGCTGGAACTACAGGCGCCCGCCACCAGGCCTGGCTAATTTTTTGTATTTTTAGTAGAGACGGGGTTTCACCATGTTAGCCAGGATGTTCTTGATCTCCTGACCTCGTGATCCGCCCGCCTCGGCCTCCCAAAGTGCTGGGATTACAGGCGTGAGCCACAGCGCCCAGCCTCTTTATTATTTATTTATTTTTTTTAAGTCAAAAAGACTTGGCCATATTTATAATCAAGGGTGGGATGCAGGGTGGAAGAAACCGAAATTTGAGTAGAGAAGACTTGCAGAGCAGATTCCCCCACCACCCCGGGCCCCGCGGAGAGTTGGGGAGGTAGGCGTCATCTGAGGACAGAGGGCAGTGTGGGGAGCTTGGTCTGGGTCCAGATCGTGACAGCATCTCCTGCAGATGGGATATTTGCCCTGTGTCTGACACTGTGTCAGTACTCACTACCACCTGTGGGCCGTCCAAGGCCATGAATGAGGGGTGACCCAGTGTGGGCCCCAGCAGCCGCACTCCAGAGCCTGTGCCCTTAACCAGCACAAATCAACATACAGCTCCACCGTATCTAACCAAAGGGCCCAAAGGCAATAGAGATCACACTTCTTGGATTAATTTTCTCTACGTGGCAAGCAGCAAAGTCATCAACCCAGAGAGAGAGGGAACGCGAACTGACAAGGAGGTGCGGGGAGCATGGTCCGGGTTGGGGGAGGGTGATGACCAAGGATGAATGTATTACCCTTAGGGACCTGGATAAAACAAGATACCTGGAATGTCTTCTTTGACAATCGGTAAGATCCTGCCCTTTCTCCAGTAGCACAGAGTCATTTGGGCTCCTACCAGAGAGGGCCGACTGCAGCACGGAGGGACAGAATGGAGGGACCGGAGGCGGGAGCAGCTCAGATTAGCCCTGATGAGGTGCAGGACAGGTAGGATGGGCAGGACAGGAGGGCCGGGAGTAGGAGCTAATGGAGTGTTTGGGGGCTGGGGGTGGCTATGAGGTTGAAGAGCAGGTGCCACCTGAGTGAGGTGGCAAAGAGGGAAGGACTGGAGACTGTGCTCAGAGGATGGGGGACCAGTGAGGGCTTAAAGATACATATACATTCAGATGGGATTCAACAATGCAGCCATTTATAATAAAAAACCACGACCGAGGCTAAGGAGGGTCGCTGGTGGGCTGAGTTGCTCTAGACTGAATGTTTGTGTTCCCCAATTTCATATGTCAAAGCCTAATTCCCAGTGTGGTGGTATTGGGAGGTGGGGCATTTAGGAGGGGATCAGGTCGTGAGGGTGGAGCCTTATGAACAGGATGACTGCCCTTATAAAAGGGACCCCAGGGAGCTCCCTAACCCCTTCTGCCACGTGAGAACGCAGCAAGAAAACACCATCTAAGAACCAGGAAGCCGGCCCTCACCAAACACCAAATCCACCAGGGACTTGATCTCCCCCACCTCCAGCACTCTGAGAAATGATTGATGTTTAAACACATTTATGCCTGAAGTTGCAATTTTTTGAATTTTTGCTATCAGACCTTGGTAATAACTTTGAGCAGTAGGATATAAATAGCTCCCACATGCTTAGCGTTCCGATAATGGAATACTAGGCGTAAATGGGTTTAAGCTGCCCAGTTTGCGGGATTTTGTTGTGGCAGCCAGGGCAGACTATGAGGGAGTGGCTATGTCCTTGAGAACTGTTCCTTTACTCTCTCTTTCTTCCTTCCTTCCTTCCTTTCTTTCTTCTCTTTTCTCTTTCTTCTTTCTTTTTTTCTTTCTTTCTTGCTTTTTTAAAATTTCTTTCTCTCCTTCTTTCTTCTTTCTTTCTTTCTTTTTTTGTTTTTGATGGACTCTCACTCTGTCACCCAGATTGGAGTGCACTAGGGCGATCTTGGCTCACTGTAACCTCTGACTCTTGGGTTCAAGTGATTCTCCTGCCTCAGCCTCCCAAGTAACTGGGATTACAGGTGCCTGCCACCACTCCTGGCTAAATTTTTGTATTTTTAGTAGAGATGGGGTTTCGCCATGTTGCCCAGGTTGGTCTCAAACTCCCGGCCCCAGGTAATCCGCCCACCTCAGCCTCCCAAAGTGCTGGGATTACAGGCATAAGCCATCATGCCTGGCTTTACGTTTTCTTTCTTGCTGGTGATTTTTACCCTCCTGCTGGCATTGAGATGGCCACACCAGTTCCAGAAGCTAAACAATGGAGAAGACTTGCTCTTTGGACCAAGGGTCTTTTTCCTGGCAGCCTCTCAGCAGTCACCCTCATGTCTCCCAGGCCTGTGCTGGGTCACATGAAGGCACCTAAGTGAACCTCAGACCCTCAGACCACAAGGCAGCCTTGCAGCAAGCGGGGCGGCTTCCCTGAGGCACTGAGTTTGAGGTAGGTACACCACAAAGTCAAGGTTCTGTTAGGGAGGAAGAAGGTCCTTATAGTGGGATACTGGCGTTTGAGATTTTTGAGGTGAAAGAGTTCAAAATGTGAGCAAGAGGCCAGGCACAGTGGCTCACGCCTGTAATTCCAGCACTTTGGGAGGCCAAGGCGAGCAGATCACCTGAGGTCAGGAGTTCAAGACCATCCTGGCCAACATGGTGAAACTCCATCTCTACTAAAAATATAAAAATTAGCTGTGCGTGGTGGTGGGCACCTATAATCCCGGCTACTCGGGAGGCTGAGGCAGAGAATCACTTGAACCTGGGAGGTGGAGGTTGCAGTGAGCCAAGATCTTGCCACTGCACTCCAGCCTGGGTGACAGAATGAGGCTCCATCTCAAAAAAAAAAAAGACAGGAAGGCCCAGGGACCACAGGCCTCTGGGTGGGTCATCCATGGGGATATTGACATCACCCAGAATTATGGCACAAGGTGGCTGGGGCATGGAGAGGGACACAGCAAGCCAACCTGCCAGACCCCATAAGTGGAGGGGTGCTGGAGAGGAGCAGGTGACAGACAAAGAGGAAAGGGGGGTGGGGTGTGCTTCTTTTCCTTCTCCCTGAACCCCGTTGACTATAAGCACCTACTGCTTCGTCCTACTGCTCTGGGCAGGTGCCCATGTCTCTTCTATCTAGAGCAACAGCTTCTTGCCTGGCCTCCCTGCCTACCCATGCTCCCTCCACTCCCTGGTTTCCAAACTTCACTGCATTCCGGAATCCTCAGGGAGCTTCTCAAAACCTAATGCCCAGGCCACACTGTAGTCCAGTTGAAGGAAAGTCCCTACGGCTGCTTCCAAGCTTCAGCGCTTGCCAGAACTCCTCGGGTTATCCATTATCATGCAGCCCAGGTTGGAACGACACCTCTGCCTGTCCCCACACTGCCCATTCTCTTCTCAAAAGCCAGGTGGAAGTGGTACAGTTCTTTTGGAATTTGTCTAGCAGGTCTTCTTGTTTTTACTGGAAAATCCTCCAAAGGAAAAAACAATAAAAAGGCAGTAGGAGCAGGTCATTCCCATTCATTCAAAAAACAGTTGTCTGGCTAGCACCGTGGCTCTCACCTGTAGTCCCAGCACTTTGGGAGGCCAAGGCAGGAGAACTGCTTGAGCCCAGGAGTTCAAGACCAGCCTGAGCAACATAGCAAGACCCTGTCTCTACACTATCTTTTGTTTTTATTAGCTGGGCATAGTGCCTGTGGTCCCAGCTACTTGGGAGGCTGAGAAGGGAGGATCACTTGAGGCCTGGAGGTTGAGGCTGCAGTGAGCTATGATCACACCACTGCACTCCAGCCTGGGTGACAGAGTGAGACCCTGTCTCTTTTTTTTTTTTTTTTTTTTTTTGAGACAGAGTCTTGCTCTGTCGCCCAGGCTGGAGTGCAGGGGCATAATCTCGGCTCACTGCAACCTCTGCCTCCTGGGTTCAAGCAATTCTCGTGCCTCAGTCTCCCAAGTAGCTGAGATTACAGGCACGCACCACCACACCCAACTAATTTTTGTATTTTTAGTAGGAGACGGGGTTTCACCATGTTGGCCAGGCTGGTCTCGAACTCCTGACCTCAAGTGATCCCCCCCTCCTCGGCCTCCCAAAGTGCTGGGATTATAGGCATGAGCCACCACACCCGGCTGACCCTGCCTCTTAAAGAGAGAAAAAAGGCCAGGCACGGTGGCTCACGCCTGTAATGCCAGGCCGAGGAGGGCGGATCACGAGGTCAGGAGTTCAAGACCAGCCTAGCCAATATGGTGAAACCCATCTCTACTAAAAATACAAAAATGAGCCTGGTGTGGTGGTGTGCGCCTGTAATCCCAGCTACTCGGGAGGCTGAGGCAAGAGAATCGCTTGAACCCTGGAGGCGGAGGTTGCAGTGACACGAGATCACGCCATTGCACTCCAGCCTGGGCAACAGAGTGAGACTCCGTCTTAAAAAAAAAAAAAGAAAAGAAAGAAAGAAAAAAGAAAAAAAAAGTTGTCAAGTCCCTAATATTTTCCAGGTACTGGGAATACAAAGATAATAAATACATGAGGGTCCCCCACAACAAAGTCAAACAAAGACACTTCCTCAGGGGACATAAGTATACACAGCACTGTGATAGGTGCTATGGCAGAGGACAGCTCCACGGCATCCAGTAGTCACCTCTAAACCCGAGGTGGGGAGGGGGCTAGAAGCCTTCCCAGAAAGGAGGCCCTTTCCGGCTTCGCCGTCTTCATCTCCACTTGACTTTGGCCTCCCAGAGACGGCCAAGCCTACCTCCTGGACCTAGCTTGAGTTAAACGGTTTTGCCTCACAAATCTCAAATTCTAAAACCTGTCTGAGCTCACCATGAATTATAAAGCCTTTTGTAATTCATGTGACAACTTGTGCCATGAGCTGTGGCTCCCGTCTCCCTTTCTGGACTCAATTCTTGCCATTTGCCATGGGACCCTACAGTCCAGCCTCCAGCTTCTGGGCCTTGTGTATTCTGCTCTCCTCCCAGGAGGATGCCTCCAGGACCAGCACAGAGCAGGGCTCTCTGGGTGGAGGAAACTGAACCAGTTCCTGGGATGAAGAAGGTGAGGGCATGTGCAGGAATCACCATAGCTCAGGTAGGCTGAGGCCAGTGCCCCTAGGACGGGGAGGGGTCTCCTTTAGTGTCAGCGTCTCCCGGAGAGCTGGTCAAACCACGAGTTCCCGGGCCCCACCCCAGAGATGCTGCATCCTGGGTGTGAGGCGGGGCCTGAGAGTTTACCTTTCCAACACACTCCTGCGCGATGCAGCTGGCTCTGGACCATGGGAGGTGACACGGAGTGAGGAACAGGGAGAGACAAGAATAGAATGTGGACTTAAAAAAAGATGTATCTGTCAGCATAGGACTTTAAGATGAACTTTATTTATTTATCGTGTACCTACTATGCTTCTGACTCTGGAAACAGCAAGAAGAAAAATAACATAGTTCTTGATCTCAGAATAATTTTAGGTCTGGTGCCATGGCTCATAACTGTAATTCCATAAAATGACAGCACTTTTGGAGGCTGAGGTAGGAGGATTGTTTGAAGCCAGGAATTTGAGACCAGCCTGAGCAACTAAGCAAGACCCTGTCTCTACAAAAAAAGAAGAAGGAGGAGGAGGAGGAGCAGGAGGAGGAAGAGGAGGAGGAGAAAAAGAAGAAAGAAGAAGAAAAAGAAAGAAGAAAGAAAAAAGAGTCAGGCGTGGTGGCACACCCCTGTAGTCCCAGCTACTCAGGACAAGAGGCTGAAGCGGGGAGGATCCTTTGAGCCCAGGAGTTCAAGGCTGCGGTGAGCTATGATCACACCACTTCACTTCTGGCCTGCCTGGACCACAGAGAGAGACATAATTTTTTAAAAAAAGAGAAATTTTTTTAGCCCAGTGGGAGAAGCAGAGAAATACGCAGATGATTTTAACACACTGTGGTGAGTCTGAGGGAGGTGCATCCGGGTGGATGTGTAACTGCAGAGGGGAAGCTGCAGAGGAGTGACCACATCTGCCCCAGGGCTTGGACGCCCAGTGGAATTCCGATAGCAGGGTGTGAAGTAGATTTGAGGGTGAGGCTGGATGCTGTGGCTCACGCCTGTAATCCCAGCACTTTGGGAGGCCAACGCTGGTGGATCACCTGAGGTCAGGAGTTCAAGACCAGCCTGGCCAACATGAAATACTAAAAATACAAAAATTAGCCGGGCATGGTGGCTGGTGGTGGGTGCCTGTAATCCCATCTACTTGGGAGGCTGAGGCAGGAGAATTTCTTGAACCTGGGAGGCGGAGGTTGCAGTGAGTTGAGATCGCATCACTGCACTCCAGCCTGGGCAACAAGAGCGAGACTCTATCTCAAAAAAAAAAAAAAAAAAAAAAGATTTGAAGGTGAGGGTGGCAGGGGAAGAGGCAGAGAACATTGAGACTGTGTTGTAATAGTCCAGGGATTGAAGTCTGTTCTCATTTCATTACAGTTTTCCGTCTGTCCAGCTCCACCACTAAATAGTGTCTTTATTCCGAGGAGCTACCTGATTTGGGACTCAGTCTTCCTACAAGGCAAAAAGAGAAGACCTGGATGCTCCACGTGGTCCAGACATGGAGCAAGTAAACCGAGCTCTCGCCACACCGCACAGTCTCCTCAGCCTCCTGCTCAATGTGCTTTCATTGGAAATGCTTATTGTAAATGATGACACTTTTTTAAAACCAAAATTCAATTAAATTCAATACATATTTATTGGGCACATGCTTCATTTAAGTTCCTGGTTTACAAAGATCCATTCCTACCCCTGAGGACCTCATAATCTGTGGGAGACATAAATAGAAACAGCTGAGAATGATCATATAAAATCCACACATAGCCTCTTGCACACATATCCCAGAAAGGAAAGGACAAAACTTTAAACGCATCCATGCCTTTGGTTTTGGAAATGTTACGGATTTTGAGAGTATCAAATGCAGTACATTCTCCTATTATTGAGAGTTAGGTAGCTCAGACAATCTTCTACAGAGATATGAAAAGATAGGTTGAAAAAATAAGTCTCCAGTTTCTTTGGAGTTTGCTGTTTAGGAAAAAATGCAACGTAAGTGTCTCAGGGTTGGCTGGGTATGATGACTCATGTCTGTAATCACAGTGACTCAGAAGGCTTCAGTGGGATGGATGGTTGAGTCCAGGAGTTTGAGACCAGCCTGAACAACATAGCAAGAGCCCGTCTCTAAAAACATTTTTTTTTAATTAGCTGGAACGGTGGCACGTAACTGTAGTTCCAGCTACTTGGGAGACTGGGGCAGGAGGATCACTTGAGCTGAGGAGGTCAAGGCTGCAGTGAGCCATGATCATGCCACTGCACTCCAGCCTGGGCAACAGAACAAGACCTTGTCTGGAAAAAAACAGAACAAAACAAAAAACCCACAAAAGTTACAGGTTGAAGTAGACAATATGGTACTAAGATTCATAATAAAATAATGGGAATCACTTATGTACTCTATTTTACTTAGTCATTGCATTTAAAATCTGTGATGAAATATACAATTATAGGAATAATGTAATTTAAAACCAGTGAAAGGCTGGGCATGGTGGCTCACACCTGTAATCCCAGCACTTTGGGAGGCTGAAGGAGGTAGATCACTTGAGGTCAGGAGTTTGAGACCAGCTTGGCCAACATGGTGAAACCCCGTCTCTACTAAATATACAAAAAATTAGCCAGGCGTGGTGGCGTGTGCCTGTAGTCCCAGCTACAAGGGAGGCTGAGGCACAAGAATTGCTTGAACCTGGGAGGCAGAGGTTGCAGTGAGCCGAGATCACACCACTGCACTGCAGCCTGGGTGACAAAGCAAGACTCTGTCTCAAAACAAAAAAAACAAACAAACAAACAACAGTGAAAGACAGAACTGGTAAGAAGAAATCAGATCTGCCTTAAATTTGGGATCTGCTAAAATAGTGGCTCTGTGATACATTGTAGCAAGTCAATGGATAGCCTCTGCCTTTAGGCAAAGCGATGAATATTAATCACGAAAGCTCCCCCAGTTTAAGCAATCTAGTAGGCAGAACCAAATTCGGCATATTGTAAGAGCTCTGGTCTTCCAGCCAGAATGCCTGGTTTCTGATTGCAGCTGTTACTTCCTAGCTGTGTGTTCTTGGAGAAGTTACTTGATCCTCCTGTGCCTCAGTCCCCTTGACAGTAAAATGAAGATGATGGTAATAGTATCTGTCCATGACTAAATGAGTCACTCCACAGCCCAAGGCAAATGCTCCATCAGTGCTCAATACTATAATTGTGATCATGCTGGTGTTAAGCATCCAGGTTTGGGGTTAGGATCTATCTAGGAAATGATTCCTGACAAAGTTTTCAGAGATCCTGGAATCCGTTGATGAGGGTGGTTGCAGTGTCTCCTCTCTAGAATATTTTAGAAAAGAAAAGGCTAAGAGGCTGGACCGGGTGGCTCATGCCTGCAATCTCCGCACTTTGGGAGGCTGAGGAGTGTGGATCACTTGAGCCCAGGAATTTGAGACCAGCCTGGCCAACGTGGTGAAACCTTGTCTCTACTAAAAATACAAAAATTAACCCAGGATGGTGGTGCGTGACTGTAGTTCCAGCTACCTGGGAGGCTGATATGGGAAGATTGCTTGAGCCTGGAAGGCAGAGGTTGTAGTGAGCACTCCAGCTTGGGTGACAGAGTAAGAACAAGAAAAAGAAAGAAAGAAAGAAAGGAAAGAAAAGGAAGAGAGGGAGGGAGGGAGGAAGAAAGAGAGAGAGAGAAGGAAGGAAGGAAAGAAAGAAAGAGAAAGAAAGAAAAAGAGAGAAAGAAAAAGAAAAAGAAAGAAAGAAGAAAGAAAGAAAGAAAAAGAAAGAAAGAAAGAAAGAAAGAAAGAAAGAAAGAAAGAAAGAAAAGAAAAGAAAAGAAAAAAGAAAAAAAGATGCTAAGGGATAGTTATCTGGCTAGCCTTAGCTAGTGATAGAAGGAACGGATGTTCTAAAGATACTAGTAAACCGTAATGTCCACACATGGATGCATCTAATCCTTACCACACACCAGTGGGGTGGGCAGTATGATCCTCATTTGACAGGTAACAAGACGGACTGGATGAATGAATGTTCCACAGCTAGATCTGTTCCTACTCCTAGAGGATAATAAATGGCAAGACTGGACTTTGAAATCAGGATGTGGCTTTGAATTCTGGGTGGGATAACTCCTAGATATGTGACCTGGAACAAGCGTGTTGCCTCATGTTTTTTCAATAGTGCTTGGCATACAAGAAGTGTTCAACAGCTGGCCCAGTGATAATCTAGAATCAGTGCAGCACAGTGGGGAGGGGGAATCTTGTAACCTGGGTTCTCACCTCAGCGTGTGATCATGGGGTAGAGAGCTTTGAAACCTGCTTGAACTTCAGTTAACTCATTTGTAAAACGGGAAGAATAGCACCAACTTTGGAAGATCATCCTGAGCTTAACGCTGTAGGAGGTAGAGGTCAATGTGAGTGGACGGTGGAGCCAGGACTGTAGCCCAGGTCTTTCGGGTCATGCTGTGTGCTCTTCCACTTCCCTGCCTCACTGCACAAATGCGCTCCCCACGCCCACGGACGCCCCAGGGGCGCCAGGCGCTGCTCTAGGCTGAGACTCAGCCGACTCAGACAAGGGCCCTGCCCTCTCGCCCTATCTCATCCTGGAGAAGAGTACCCTCTTCTTAGAACAAGCATCTCACTTCCGTGCACTTCAACTTCGTTTGTGGCAGTGCAGGGTACTTTGCAAAGCTAAAAAGTAGTTTATGCGAAAGGGAGACTCTTTTTCCTTAGAGGATTTGCCAAGTTGTAATCACAAATTCTTTTTGAGATACACGTACATTTTTTTAAAGCTAAATAAGATTTCCCCCCAGTTTTATAACTCAAGAATGTATTTTCTCAAGGACTTGGGAGTCATCTCTTTG
Source organism: Homo sapiens (assembly GCF_000001405.40). Taxonomy (NCBI): domain Eukaryota; kingdom Metazoa; phylum Chordata; class Mammalia; order Primates; family Hominidae; genus Homo; species Homo sapiens. The sequence continues at coordinate 12,406,885 of NC_000018.10, forward strand.
AAATGTCATCCCCGTCTCCCAGTTTTGTGGGAGGGTAGGAGCCCAGCTACCAGAGAGCACCTGGCTTCAAATTGTAAACCTACCTCCTGTCATAAAGGTATGAAAATTCATTTTTCCTTTGGATAAAGGCAATTAGCAAACGCAAATGGCCACTGCATTTACCAATGGCCACTCCATCATCAGGCGAATTTAGGATGAACTCTGCGACAAATGGTGTAGTGGAGTCCCCTCCCCGGAGGGCTGTCTCGTTTACCTCGGGAGCATGCGTGGGGTAGGTTGCATCCTCCCGGCTGTTTGATACAGGCTGAGATTTCTGTCTTTGCAGCCTATTTGGCGGATTGCTTGTGATGCACATCACATGCTGGTTTTGTTTTGTTTTGTTTTGTTTTGTTTTGTTTTGTTTGAGACGGAGTCTCGCTCTGTTGCCCAGGCTGGAGTGCAGTGGCGGGATCTCGGCTCACTGCAAGCTCCGCCTCCCGGGTTCACGCCATTCTCCTGCCTCAGCCTCCCGAGCAGCTGGTACTACAGGCGCCCGCCACCACGCCCGGCTAATTTTTTGTATTTTTAGTAGAGACGGGGTTTCACCGTGTTAGCCAGGATGGTCTTGATCTCCTGACCTCGTGATCCGCCCGCCTCGGCCTCCCAAAGTGCTGGGATTACAGGCGTGAGCCACCGCGCCCGGCCTCACATGCTGGTTTAATGTTTGTTCAAGACCCAAACTGCAGTGGAGTTTTGAGGGTTGGCAGGTTTGTTTTTCATCACACGTCCCCGACAGTACAAACCGGCGTAGCTGGACAGGGCCTTGGGAGAATTTGGACAGTGGGAGTAAGGACGAGCGTCGCCTCCTACGCCCGCGGCATCTGCAGCAAGCGCGCATCGCGCACCCCAGGGTAGCAGCGCAGGTCTGGGGCTGCGCCACAGCCGCGCCCGCAGAGCTATTTTTAGCCGCTGCAGCCAGCCTAGCCACCAGACGGGGTGGGCGGCATCCAAGGGCGCCCCGCCCATCGAGGCCCCGCCCACGCCGCGCCCGGAGCCGCGCGGCCCGAAGCACCCGGCCCGGATCGCAGAGCCCGCGCCCTGCGCCGGCGGCAATGAAGATCTGGAGCTCGGAGCACGTGTTTGGGTGAGGCCGGGCTGAGGGCCGCGGTGGGGCCGTCCAGACGCCGGCTCCTGCTCCCGAGCCCGGCTGGAGCGGTCCAGGAAAGGCCGGACCTCACAGCGGGCCTCGCGGAGATCCCCGCCCCGCGCCGGCCGTTCCCAGACCGCAACTTCGGCGTCCCGGAGAGGGCACGCGCGCTTCCCCGGGACCGCGGTCTGGGCGAGGCTCTGCGCCGGGTACGGCCTCTCCCCCGGCGTGCGCAGGGGCCTGGCTGCAGGCACAGAGGCCCCGCTGGTGGTCGACAGCCAGGGCGGGGGCAGCCGGAGCGGGGGCGGCCGGGGCGGGGGCGGCCGGAGCCGGGGGGGCGGCCGGGGGCCTGGCGCTCGCTGCTCTCCTTGGGGTCGGGAGCAGGGCAGGGGAGAGGCCTGCAAGCTGGCGCCTTTGCTGAGATTGTCATAAACCTTCCGCGCGTTTCACGGAGGGCCCACGGCGGGCTGTGAGCTCTGGAGGAAGCTAAAGGGGCAGAAGGCATTTCGGGGGCCCTGGCTCTGAACTCACTTGTAGGCATGGAAGGCCTCCAAGCTAGCGTGGAAAACCTCGAACTGTTTAAAAATGCTCCCCCGGCACACGGATGGAAGTGGAGGTCATTATCTTAAGTGAAGCCAGGCCCAGAAAGACAAGTATCGCATGTTCCCACTCCTAAGTGGGTGCTTAAGAATGTGTTCACATGGATGTGGAGAGTGGAACGTCAGATGATGGAGACTCTGAAGGGTGAGGGGGTGGGTGCAGGGAGGATAATGAGAATTGCTTAATGGGTGCAAGACACCTTCCCGGGTAATGCATACCCTAGAAGTCCTGACTTGACCACTACGAAATTTATGCATGTAACGAAATTGCACATATACTCCATAGAATTGTGCAAATAAAAAGAAGAAAAAAGTGCCCTCCTAACCTAAGTGGTATCTTTTCCTTAAGTCAGTGATCTGTGACACACTGAAATTATTCTTTAATGTTTATTTACAGCAACAAAGATTTTTTAATTATCTGACCTCACTTAAGCATTAAATATTTTATTTTGGGGGGAAAAAAAGTACTGCGTGGAAGGAAATTGTCATCCTTTGACTCTTTTTATTTATTTTTTTCGAGACAGAGTCTCATTCTGTCACCCAGGCTGGGTTTTTTTTTTTTTTTTTTTTTTTTTGAGACATAGGCTCGCTGGGTCACCCAGGTTGGAGTGCAATGGCGCGATCTTGGCTCACTGTAACCTCCCCCTCCTGGGTTCAAGTGATTCTCGTGCCTCAGCCTCCTGAGTAGCTGGGACTACAGGTGTGGGCCATCACGCCCGGCTAATTTTTGTATTTTTAGTAGAAACAGGGTTTCGCCATGTTGGCCAGGCTGGTCTCGAGCTCCTGACCTCAGGTGATCCACCCGCCTCGGCCTCCCAAAGTGCTGGGATTATAGGTGTGAGCCACCGTGACTGGCCTGACTTTAAACATGTAAAATTATAATAAAAATATATCAAGTGGTTTCAAAACCTCTGAAATTATTTTTCATGAAGTCTTTAGACTTGATGGGATCTAATTTTTTGTATGGCTTGCAGTGTTTCTCAAGTGGGTTTCCATCAGCAACAAGGATGGGGGCATCACTGAGCCGTCTGGATGCTGTGGACAGTTAAGTCATTGCATACCAGGAGTGCCAGGTGGTTGGGGCTCAGTTTTCTCATGGAATGGCCGAGGTCTGCCCTAGAGGTTTGTGAAATGTCTGTGGACAAGCACAAATGAATAGCTAGCTGTGAAAAATCACAGTTGATGCTTTTGAAAATTGTTGCAGCTGCTAACTCCCATTTATTTTTTTTAAGCTTTACCGAAGGATACTTTACATACCATAAAATTATACACATTTTAAGTGTATAATTCATTAAGTTTTGCTAAGTATGACCATCACACACACAGTCCAGTCTTAGAACACTTCTGTCCTCCTGCAGAGGTGCCCCATGCTCATTAGCTTCACATTTTACCCCATTTTCACCCCTGCCCCAGGCAACCAGGAATCTTTTCTGTTTCTATGAATTTGCCTTGTTGGGACATTGCATGTAAATGTCATCCTGCAATATGGGGTGTTTTGTGTCTGTCTGCTTTCACTTAGCATGATTTTCTTGAGGCTCACCATGTGGTAGAGTGTCAGTATTTCATTTCTCCCATCATTCATTTTGTATTCCTGGCACCCCGCCGGGGCCCGGCGCCTAGCAGGTGCTCGGAAGGGGTGAGGAATCTTACATGGAGATCAGATGTCCTTCCAGGACAGGGGCAGCTATCCACCAAAGGAATCCCGGTCATCCCTGGAGCTGCTGTGGACTAGGTGCTGATTCTCTGCCATAGACTTTTGAACTTGAAAGCAAAGGGCCGTAATGAAGCCT